>NC_000018.10:76345661-76647017 GCF_000001405.40 Homo sapiens
TCAGCTCATTGGTGGTGATGGCGATGATGGTGATAATGATGGTGAGCAAACCTCCATGGTCATTGTTGTGTGCCACCAACGTGGTGTGGATATTTGTTTTCTAGGTCATGAAATAAAGCAGTGGCCAAGACAGTCTCTGCCTTTAGGGCATTTATATTCTGGTGTGGGAGACAAATAATAAACTATACCTATGTGTGTTTGTGTGTGTGTGTGTGTGTGTGTGTGTGTGTGTGTGTGTATGAATGACACATAGTGGCAAGTACTAGAAAGAAAAACAGCAGACAAGTGGATAGAGCATGATAAGGGAGCATTCTAGCTTCCACAAGCAGCCAGGGCAGCTGTACCTGCCCTCTGGGAAGGGGCATGGGGGCTGAGACCTGTGAGACCCAGATGAAGTGAGGCAACAAGCTGAGCGAAGGCCCAAGGAAAGTGTTCCAGGAAGCACAGGTGCTTCGCGGAGGACAGTGTTTCATTGATCACATGTGGCCTGCTGCCCAGGACAGAGACAACATTTGGTATTTGTCGATCAAAATATGGAAAAACACAGGGTGTCTATTATTGGGCTTCTGAAATGTTTCCAAATGGTGGCCAAGATTAGAAGATATGCATCTTTCCCAAAACCAGAAATATTTCTAGCTTTAGTTAAATTCACTGTATTTATAGGTGAGCTAACTGTCAAGCTTTCATCTAGAAAAATACTTAAATTTGAAAATCTAGGAATACCTCAGAAGTCTAATCCACCTACACTTGACTCATCGAGGGCTGTTTTCCAGAACTTTCTATCATACTTATTATTTCAAAAGGTGAAGAAAATCCAGTCAGGGAGTCATTCACAAGGGACCAATGAGCCTCCAGTCAGTTCCACACAAGGGCCGGGCACTCGCTGCTGCGTCCTGCCTCCCACCTCCCCACGGGCTCCGGAACTGCGTCCGAAGGGTGGCATCCTTCCTGCCTGGCCTCAGCTGAGCCTGCACTGCCCAAGGTCCCCAGCGGTTGGCTGGAACTGACTAGTCAGGGCCGGGCCGGTGGGGCATGAGCGGCTCTTGTGGCCCACCATTGGCCTGCGAGAGGTAAGCAGGGACTGCCACGTCCTCTCTTAGGAGCCCAGGCCTGGGATAGGGATAAACTCTGCCTGTGAGCTCCCAGCCTGAGCCAAGGGTCGCGTAGATCCAGGGGCTGGTGCAGCCACTGGAGGCCACACGCAGGCAGACAGCTGAGCAGACGAATTCCATCCAGACAGGGGACAGCGGGACAGAACCCGGGGGTAGACTCAGGGCTGGGGCCGTGGGCGGCCAGGACCACACCTGGCTCCCGGGGACACTGGGTCCCTGCGGAGGCCCCACGGCACATCCTCTCCCCAGAGTACCTGAGCCCTCGTTTTAGTCTGAGAATCAAACGTCATTTGTATCGGGCCAGCCTGAGGAGCCGTTGCTCCTTACGGCAGTCCCAGAGGCACAAAGTCCCTCAACCATGACAATGTGGGCTTGACAATTTGGTCAGCCTTGCTCCGCCACCAGTTTCTCTCTGAACAATCAGCTCTCGGCTTCCCGCCTTTCAAACCAGCCATCGGCTCACACACTCTCCACAAAGCACTCCACCAGTAAAGATGACGGGAGGCAGCCCAGCCCCACGCCCCCCACTGTGAGGAGTCACGGCCTGTACCCCTTCTGTTCCCCACCCTACTGCGTCCCTTGAGGCACCGGGGTGCTGGCCTCTGCCTGGTTCTTTACCACACTGCAGCCTCCCCAGGTCATAGAAAGCCCTGAGGCTCGCACCTGCCCGGTCCAGCTTTGTGAGGCTGGTGCTCAGGAGCCAGCCCCAGGCAAGACAGGAAGGAGGCGTGCCTTGCCTCAGTTTCCCCTGCATCATCCTTGAGGCCCATGTCTGAGTGGCCAGCCCCTCCTCCTGCACCTGCTCCTCCCCAGCCTCCTCCCAGGGTGGGGGACCCTGCTCTAGGCTGAGCTCCATCTCCCTGTCACCCGCAGTATGAGACCCTCACCCCCAACCTGATTGGTGTGGAGACAGGGTCTTTTAGGAGGTCATGAAGGTTACGTGAGGTCACTAGGGTGGACACCTGATAGGACATGATGGGTGGAAAAAGACCCGGCTGTGAAGCTGCCCAGGCCTGGCGTCCTGTGTGGCAGCCTGAGCAGGCAAATACACTCCTGTCCCGCTTAGGAAGAAGGAAACTATTCCCCAAAACGGAACATCTGTGTCCTCTGCCTCACACCTCCAGCCGGCCCAGTGAGAGCCGTCCCCAGATGCCCCAGGTGCCCCCTCAGCTGCTGCCCCCCTCGCGCTCCTGGTCCCTGAGCCCGGCTGTCCTCTTCCTGCCCCCTCAGCCACGTGGGCAGCCTCTCCCTGTGCTGCTCAGGGCTCTTCCCCTCATTCTCTGAGCCCAAGATGAAGGGGGGCTCCCACCGCTCCTCCAGCTCACGCCGAGCCCTGCTCCGCCCTCAAGGCACCCACTCTCCAGCCTGGAGACACCTTCCGAGCACTCAGACTTTCCATCCCCAGCCGCTAGTTGCCTTCATAAATGCAGACCCATGTGGGTAGCTGTGGACGATGCTTCCCTGAACCCCCAAGAACTCCAGGTCCTACCCCCAAATCACGCGTTCCTCTCCCATCCTCCCCACGTTGAGTCAATCACACCACTTCACACACCCCGAGGCCCAGGCACCCAGGCCTGAGGCTGCTCCAGGTCTGAGGCTGCTCAGTCAGGCCCAGGAGGCCAGGGGGCATCCACCCAGAACCCTTCTCTTGTCCAGCCATGCAGGTCCTGTAAGCCCCACAGCTCCCGCCCACCTGCTCCAGCCTCCTCCAGGGCCTGTGAACAACGGCTTTCAGCTTTTGTGTCCACTACCAAAGTACATTCCACACAGGCAGGGAGATCCATTCTGCCAACTGCCAACAGCCAAGAGCCAATTTATGTTTGTCTTTGACAAACACAAATCAGATTATGTCACCCACCGGGCAACACGCCTTAGCAGGGTCTGCGCGGCCGGGAGAATGCAGCCACGCGCCCTGCTCTCTGGCCTGCCCTCCCTCCTGCTCCTGTGCGGAGCTCCGGTGTGGAAGGTCTCCCTTCCTTGGGCGCATGCAGCGGTCTCCCTCCAGTCCTTGTCCTCTCCTGCGCCCTGAGTGCTGTTGACTGCTCGGCCTGCATGCAGAGGCCCTGGGATGAGACCAAGTTCTCCGCCTCCAGACCCCCTGCCAGGCTCTGCCTGTCGCACTTGTCTCTTTCTGAGATGTCTGCATGTATCTGCTTGTCTGATTACTGCTTGCAACCCTAGGAGAACACAAAACCCCATGAGAGATGGGCCCTCGACTTCTGAGCTGCTGAATCTCCAGTGCCTGGAAGTCAGCGCGAATGTGGCAGGGGTTCCGTCAAGATCCGCGGGCAAACAGCGCATACCCTCATCACCGTGGGCCTGTGTCACCCTGCCAAGCACCGTGTGGCCCCGGGGGCCAAGCATGTCATCTTCATCTTGGTAGCCCCTTCCGCATGCAGCGGGTGCTTAATTTATGCTGGCTGAAGACAACGAGGTGAATGAATTTGCATTCGGCGTTGCTTTACATTCATGTGTGACGTCCGCCTGCCATCTAGTGGTGGAAGAGGGCAACTTCAGGAAAACGGGCTTTTGAGAAGAAATTAGAGAAGCCCTTCAAAAACGGATAAAGGAAGATCGGGCGCGGAGAGATGGTCCCTTTGACTGTTGGTTTGCAATCACTTCCATCCCTGCTTACTAGAGAAGCGCTGAGAACTCCCCTGAGAACTGATTCTGGCACATTCTGCGGGAGGCGAAAGTACGAAGGCGAAGGCGGGGAAGCCCCAAGGCTAAATGAGTACCTGTCCTGCTGGCCTGCACGCCAAGGGAGGACAGGCCCTTTTGTTCCCGGGGGCACTGCACGGGGCAAACCCAGGAAAAATGTCAGAACACAGGAAGGCCGTCTTTCCCGCTTCTTAGTAAGCAGAGAGAATGTGGGGAAAGTTAAGCTACATTGAGAAGAGTGAAGAATGCAAAACCGAGGGGGACAAGGTGGTGAGAACGCAATGGAGAGAAAAGGTGCTTAACGCAGAAAACCTGAAAGGCAAATGTAATCTTGACGATGTAACAATAACAGAAACGGCCGGGCGCGGTGGCTCACGCCTGTAATCCCAGCACTTTGGGAGGCCGAGGCGGGTGGCTCACGAGGTCAGGAGATAGAGACCATCCTGGCTAACACGGTGAAACCCCGTCTCTACTAAAAATACCAAAAAAAATAAAAAATAAAATAACAGAAACATAGAGTAAAACTGAAGGGGCTCACTAAGGACCTGTGAACGCACAGCCTCTCCAGACCTCAGCCTGACGGAAAATTTTAGACTGCGTGGTCCCTGAAGAGTGTTTCAACCTTCAAGTTTTCTAACTCTCTGATTTTAAAATTAATGTAAGGCAAATCCCTAACAAAAACCTAACTGTGTATTTGTCACGAGACTTTTCTTTGAATAACTGCCTGTCTCGGCGGGGGCTCTTCTCACACTGAAGGGGGCCACTCCTGGATCCAGGGTCGCAGGTTGAAATCACACCTGAGCCTGCGCCACGGGTGTAGGACGCCCAGCAGCAGCTTCTGGAGAGCAGAGAGCCGGGGGAGTGGCCACTTCAGAGTGGGGCCAGGACAGCTGGGGCCACCGCCTTCCCGGCGCAAGGTGGGCCAGGCCCCACAGGTGGCCCCAGAATTGCAAAGCCAATGGCAGCTTCCTAAGTGGTCACCGAAACGCACTTTCAGTGTGGACCCGCCGGCCTGTGTGTATTCAGCAATCCCAGCCATCCAACCTGACCTCGGGCTGCAAAGACGATCGTGGCCGGAGCCGGCTGGCTCTTTGCGAAAGCGGCGGGACCCGGGGACAGCAGGCTGCCTGCGCCGCTTCCCTCCGGGTGGCAGGCCCACTCTCTGCGGGCACCGCGTCCTGCTCACCCGTGTTGTGGTCGGGCCGCAGAGCAGGCCCCTTGACGGGGGGATCCGGAGCCGCCTGGTGCCGGCACAGCCTCAGGGAGCAGCCCCTAAGCTGCCCCGTGACAGTCAATCGCCCGCTTTCCCCCCGTGGGAAGTCTGTGCCGTGACCAGAGCCTCTCACCCTCCCACGGCCCCACGCGGTGTCCTTTGCTCAGCACCTCCCAGAGCACCGGGCAGAGGCACCCAGAAAACCGTCACCACCTGATCCCGCAGAGAATCGCCCGTCCTCTCCGGAATTCTGTCCAACTAGCACCGCCCCAATAAACAGGAAAAGCCTTTTTCTTTTTCCAAGTCCACCTCCATTTCAGAACGGCCAGGGCAGATCTGAGGCAGCTTAGGACACTCACAAGCCCGAGAAAAGAGCCACCCAGATAAGGTAACATGTGAAATGCTGAGAAATCGGCTGAGTTTCCCTTTACCAGCCCAGTAAAAGCCAGTGACGGAACCCATCCTCGCAGGCACTTCATCCCAGCAGGGCTGGAGGCCTGAAACTACAGGTCTAAACATCGCGGGGTGTTCACTGGTTTCTATTAAGTAATTCCTGTCCTCAGAGAGTATGATCAGCTCTTCTTTAATAGTTGTCAAATAATAATAAAACAGTTCTCATTAAGAGCGTCATCAGCGGCTGGGTGCGGTGGCTCATGCCTGTAATCCCAGCACTTTGGGAGGCCGAGGCGGGTGGATCACGAAGTCAGGAGTTCAAGACCAGCCTCACCAACATGGTGAAACCCTGTCTCTACTGAAAATACAAAAATTAACCAGACGTGGTGGTGCACGCCTGTAATCCCAGCTACTCAGGAGGCTGAGGCAGGAGAATCACTTGAACCCGGGAGAGAGAGGTTGCAGTGAGCTGAGATAGTGTCATTGCACTCCAGCCTGGATGACAGAGTGAGACTCTGTCTCAAAAAAAAAAAAAAAGTCATCAGCTTGCTTTTTCAGTCTACCTGAAACCTATACTTTCGTGGATAGGAGAAGAAATCCAACTGTTTACCTAGTTAAAAAAATTTATTGAACAAGGGAAAATGACTTACATCTTGTGTGTCATAGGTAACAGAAATTTCCAGATTCATAAACGCAATATAGTTTAAGAAAGAAAAAAAAATGCTGGTGTCTAGAGACCATGCTTATTTAAAGACAACTTTATGGGACTTGAAAAAACATTGTCACTCAAATTTCTTGGAAGTAATTCCAACTTACATTTACATATCGCATTAAAGTTGACAAAATGCAGCCCATATATCGTTTGCCACAGTAACACCAATACTGGGAGATGGCCATTCCCACTGCACAGCTGTGGAAACTGAGGCACGCACTCATCACCATGTGTTCATTTACGAAACATACACACGGAGAGCCACGGGCCTGGCTTTGGTACAGCCACAGAAATGCAGTGCGGTGTGTCTGCCTCAAGCACTGCCAAGCTCAGCTCAGTGGGAGGAGGCAGAGAGGGTCTGTTTACTTTCAGATGTTGTGACTGGTGCAATAGCACGCCAGGATGTCCAGAGAGCTGGGGGGAGTACAGGGGAGAGGCGGGAACCCAGCCTCCTCTGGCGTGGGAGAGGCAGGAGGAGGAGTCAGAGTCGGCCAAGGCTCCCGGGCCGCTCCCCTCAACCGGAGCCTCTGAGAAGGCAGGAAAAGCGGCGCGCAGGAGCGCAGCACCGTGAACGCACCTCGTTTGGCATCGAGTGCCAGCGGATGACTTGTGGGCGTCAAATCACGAAATGATTTGCATGGCACAGGGAAGCATTTGGGGTGTTTCTGGAGGTAACAGAAAATTACTGAACGATTTCAACCAAGGAAGTTGAATGATCTGTGTTCCAGCAAATTCCTGTGGTAGCAACACAGAGTGAGCTGGGGTGAGCTGGCAGGTGTGTAATCCCAGGAAGAAAGACCCAGGTAGTCCAGGTAGTTCTTCCCCAGGGTCAACACAGAGGACAAGGCCAGAGAGGTGGATGGAAGGGAACGTAGCATTCATAGATAGATACATAACTAGATCTACAGATGATATCTCAATCGCTCAGAGATGCACACTGAATTATTTACAGTCGAAATGACACAATGTCTGAGAATCACTGAAATATTCCAGGACAAATGACAACAAAGGGTAGAAACAAAACTTGGTAAAATATTGCAATTGTTGCATCTGGCGAGTGAAAAATATATAGAAATGTGCGTGTATGTAATGTGTATTTTTTTCCTTTTACTCTGCATTTTATCCTAGCTTTATTTAAGGCAAAATAATTATACTCAATGACTACGAGGATCTTGGTAAGTTTGAGGAGAGACAGTGCAGTGAAGCAGGTGTTGGTGATAAAAGCTAGAACAAGGAGGGTAAAGTGATCACGGACGAGGTTTTAGGAAGGAGGAAAGGTAAGGATACAACAGGTGTAGAGGGTTCTGGGGTCCCAGGAAGGTGTTTCCTTGGTGGTGTTTTTGGGAAGGGAGTGTCTTGAGCATGTCCACATGAGTAAGGGAAACAATTGACAGAGAAGGAGATAGAAATGGGAAGAAAAAGGCTACTGGACATGCCCACTTGGCATGCAACACACCTGGAACTCACACCCAGGTCTGGGGAGATCCCAGCGTTCTTACCCCCATGCACGTTACAGCTGAACTTACAGAAGGTCACCCAAAAGAAGCCTTGATCCCTCTGAGGCAGAAGCTCAGAAATCCAAAACGTCTTGTTTTGATCCACTGAGGACCTCCAATCATCTCGCTGACAGGATCCACACCCTAGGTCGCTGCGGTGATCCATGCGGGTAATGGGTGTCTCAGTGTTTTGAAAAGTGGCAACATGTGCTATAGTTTTGATACGTGTCCCATCCAAACCTCATGTCCAAATTTCGTCCTCAATGTTGGAGGTGGGCCTAAGGGAAGGTGTCTGGGTTATGGAGGCAGATCCTTCATGAGTAGATTAATTCCCTCCTGGGGGTTGGGGGTTTAGGGATTTCTTGCTCTACTAACTCCCAGGAGGCCTGTTGTTTAAAAGCCTGGTACCTCACCCCCTTGCTTCCTCTCTGCCGTGTGATCTCTGCACACACCAGCTCCCCTCCACCTTCCACCATGAGTGGAAGCAGCCTGAAGCCTCACCAGAATCCCAGCAGATGTTGGTGCTGTGCTTCCTACACAGCCTGCAGAACCGTAAGCCAAATAAACCTCTTTTCTGAATAATTACCTAGCCTCAGATATTCCTTTATAGTGATGCTCAACAGACAGGGACATGCCACAGGGATGATCCTTCTTACTAACTGCATGCATCCCTCCAGTCAGTACAACAAAGCAGAAGAGTGCAGAGTGGTAGGTCTGCAAGCACAGCAGACATGGACTCCACTGCTGTTTCCGCAGGTTCCTGGCTGTGTCTCTTTGGGTACGCTACCCTTCTCTGTCAGTTTTCATCTATAAAATTGAGTTAATAGTGCCTATGTTGAAGAGCACTGTGAGACTCGAATAAGATAAATTAGATGAAAACATCAGAGTTCCTGACACACAGGTAGCCCTTTTAAGTATTAACTTCTTGTAAATTTCTCTCTCAAGACTTAAAGCTGTATCACCTACACGTAGGCCAAGAGAGTCACTGTACAAAATGTCTATCTGATCCATGCCCTTCCAGTCACAGACTTCCTCTTAGCCTTACTCTTAACTAATCCATCTCACTTTTTCTACATCTGATGTTGAAGTTTCCCCTCAGCCACTGTGTTGTCCACCTCTGGCTTTTGTCTAGTTCCTTGAATTTTAATAACAGATGCACATATCAACTCAGAAACAGGCACACAGTACCTTTATGGTGCTGGTGGGCCACTGTGCCATTTTCTCCACAGTCTCCTGCCTGCTGATCCCCAGGCTGCCAATTTTGCCGTCTGAAGCCTCACTTTGAATTAGTCATCAAGGAATAGTTGGCAATGATCTCAGTCTCTTTCCTCTGTCAGATTTGACAAAGTATGTTCTAATTGTACTATGGGTTATTTCCAAAAATACACTCCCTTAGCTTTTCCTCACTGAAATTCACATGTCACTTGTCTCTCCCATCTTAAGATCTTACAGATTTTCCAAGTCAACTAAGGTTTACTATCAGAGGCAAGTTTTGTTTTAATGCCACCTAATTACCCCATTATATCACATCCTTCCAAAAGTTTCAGGTGTGTGTCACCTAGTCCTGGTGACACCTGGGTATCTGATTAGATCCTTGACCTCACTCCCCAATGGAAGAGGCTCCATTCCTCTTCCACAGACATTGTGAGCTTGTATGTATTCCCTCTGAATTAGAACTCATTTTTTTTTTTTTTTTTGAGACAGTCTCACTCTGTCATCAGGCTGGAGTGCAGTGGTGCGATCTCGGCTCACTGCAACCTCTGGCTCCCTGGTTCAAGCGATTATCCTGCCTCAGCCTGCCGAGTAGCTGGGACTACAGGTACGTGCCACCATGCCCAGCTAATTTTTCTAATTGTAGTAGAGACGAGGTTTCACCATGTTGGCCAGGATGATCTCGATCTCCTGACCTCGTGATCCGCCCACTTCAGCCTACCAAAGTGCTGGGATTACAGGTGTGAGCTGGGATTACAGGTGCCTGGCCTAGAACTCATCATTTTTAGACCCATGTTCCTCCTCCACTGTGACAGCCCAAACAGCAGGTTCCATTTTGTTCATATTTCTATGCCTGCACCTATTTCAGTGCTTACCACATGGCACAGAATTTGTTAAGCAAATTCATAAGGTTGAAAACTTTCTGTACCATTTCTACAATTTTAAAGAAGCCTAAGATCTTTTGATTAAGTGAAACTTGCATGTTTATCTGGTTCCAATTTACTTCTCTGAGTAAGGACTCTAATATTGTATTCCTTAAAAATGAATGTCGAGCTTCTGCTAAGACACAGGGTCAGGGCGAGTCATCTACTCCTGCACAGCCTAACCTACAGGTGACGTTTTATTTTGAGGCACCATCAGCCTGTTCCTTCCACCACACATCAACAGTTCTACTATGCAAAATACCCATGCCAGACCTCCAAATATTTCACAGCGGTTCATCTAATTTTGCGAAGTCTGTCTTAAACCCTCCCTTTAGACTCGGTAACCCTGTCCTGGGAACATTCCGGTCCACCAATGCCACTCTTATAGAATGGAAGAGCAGGACATAAGGAGATTGATGTACGAAGTCAAGTGGGTCTCATGCTTGTGACCTGAATACTGGTCTTCCATGGACAAATCTGGGCACATAAAAAGGCAAGATGGAGTCCCCTTGTCCTCTTGCCCTTTATAACTTGAAACTGTTGGCAATGAAGAATTTACTCTTGGCAGATGAAATAACCCACCCAAGGGCTTGGAATGGGAATCTCCACATCTCCCTCAGTTGAAAAATGAAAACAGGAGACAGCATTTGCTACGGTTTGAATGTCTGTGTTCCCACCGAATTTCATACGTTGAAACCTGACACCCAATGTGTTGGCATCAACAGGTGGGGTCTTCGGGAGGTGATCAGGGTCATGAGGGCAGAGCTCTCAGGAGCAGGAGCAGGGCCCTCATCAAAGAGGCCCGAGAGGGCTTGTTCACCTCTTACTCCACGAGGACACAGCAAGAAGGCTCCATCTATAAAGTGCAAAGCTCTCCCCAGACACGGAACCTGCTGCCACACTGATCATGAATGTCCCAGCCTCCAGAACTTGAGCAAAAAATACCTTTAAAAATTGCCCAATCTTAGGTATTTTGTGATAGCAGCCTGAAAGGACTAAGACAGCATTCTCATTGTGATTGTTTCACTACATTTTCCCTACCCATAAAGAAATCAGACAGAGGGATGTGGGACTGTCACCTGCTCCAGATTCCTAAGGAAGTTCCCCTTCCTTAAAGCCATCCTAAGCCCCTGTGCCTCAGCAGACAGTGAGGAAATCGGACATCCCAAGAACGTGTCACGCTGGTAAAGACCAGGGCATCTCGCATTTTCTTTCTGTAATTTACAGTAACATCTTTTAAAAACGTAAGATTGAGAACATTAATAACACACATTAGAAATGCACCACTGTTTTCAAACAGCTAAGGAAGGGAAAATAAAAGTGCTGCGATGAATGCAGCCATTCGTGGTAAGGTTTTACATTGTTGGGGGTGGGGGGCGTCATGATACCCAGCTTCCGCACCTAGCACGACATGGGCAAACTGCAGACACGGAGACCCCGCGCCACTGCCTTTCACCCATTTCCCACCCAGCAAGATGCCCAGAGCAGCCAGGGTAGATGTCGCGCCCTCACTGCTGGGTGATCAGGAGGTGGATAAAGGAGGATGTAATACTGCTTTCTGGGGGAAGGAGCTTGGTTACTTGTGGAACCAAAGGGTCTGGGATGTGGCTACAGGAACACCAATAAGCTCCTGTGTTACCAGGGGAACTGACCATTGTCAGGTGACACAGAGAGATGTAGGCCAGGGTTTTGTTTTGTCCTAACACAAGTGTTCTTAGCCCTTCACTTCAATGTCAGCTACCTATTAAGGACTTTGGTGTTGCCACTTCGTTTCGGATGCACGCCCGTCTCAGAAGAACCAGCCATCCAAGAGGAGGGAGGTTCTAAACAGCGAGGCATAAACCTCAGCAGAGTTAGACAAGGTCTGCACTTCATCTAAGGGCCTTTCAGAGTATCAAAGGCCTTCGGGCTTCCACAACAGCATTTTCACCGCAGAGTGGCGCACCCAGCGCAGAGTGGCGTCCCCAGCGCAGAGTGGCGTCCCCAGCGCAGAGTGGCGCACCCAGCGCAGAGTGGCGTACCCAGCGGAGAGTGGCGTACCCAGCGGAGAGTGGCGTACCCAGCGGAGAGTGGCGTACCCAGCGGAGAGTGGTGTACCCAGCGGAGAGTGGCGTACCCAGCGCAGAGTGGCGTACCCAAGGCTAGACGCTCCGGTTGGGGGAAGGACGCCCAGTGCTGTTCAGAGTTCCATTTCCTGCCCAGCACATCTGGAAAGCCACATTCGGGAACTTATCTAGTCTGTTCTTTCCTCAGCCAGTAGAGACACAGTTCTATCTTTTAATTTTAAAACACATTTTATCTTTTTAAATTAGAATCTTTATTGCATCTGATGGTCCTGTCTCATTTTTGCTGTCTCATCAGTAAACCATTGCAAACCACAGTGCCAGCCCTTGTGTCCCCACATTTTTGACACAATAATTTCCTCCAGGTGTGGCTGAGTCAGAATTCCGTCCGCGTCCATCCCTGTGCGTCCTGTATGGGTGACAGTGCAAGGGTAAGAACAGTGGGTGTATTCAGTGGGGAAATAACATGTGTGCTGTGAAAGAAAATGAGAAAAACACAGCGTCTCCATTAAAAAACTGTATGTCCTCGAGTCCACAAAAGAGTTGGAAAAAAACCACTCGGGCCATCTGGGCATCTGTTCAGATGAACGATCTTGTGAATTACCCTAAAACTCTTCCATAAATAAAGAGCATTAACACTTTGGTTTATGTTCAGCCAACAAAAATAAATAACCACAGACCAAAGCGGGCTGTCAAACGATTTACGCCACCCTCTGAAATTGGGGAAAAATGTCTTACAAATCTCAGAACTCCAAGATGTTTTTATTTATTTCAAATTCCAATAGAATGAATATGTTTTATCTAAATATTTTTATCACACAACTAAAACATTGAATTACTTTTTCAGAAATAGTTAAATACATCAATCTAGTTACAAATTCTAATATAAAGAGTACAAAATATAATGTTATAAATTGTATTTTAAAAAAAGAAATACAAATTCTATGGTCTTTTGCATTTTACTGCCTCAAAGCAGAATTAGCAAAGCTGATGAAGAATGAACATTTTCCCTTGGGCGGGTGGCCCTTGGTCACTCCCACAGGCACGTTACCGGGCTCCGGCGTGTGCTCCCACCAACCACGGCAAACAAAGGCGTCCTCCTCACTTGAAGTCCTGGCCTGTGGTTGTTTCATCTGTTTTTTTGCTCAGTGAACAAAACGTTCTGAAATTAGAACTCACCAAAGTTAAAAGCAGTAAAACAACATATGCTACTTAAGACATTTTGAAGCAGAAAGTAAAGCTATGTGAATGCCGTCCTTCCTTCCTTCCTTTTTCTACAGCTTGGAAACCTCTGAGAATTTGCTGGGGGTGGCAGAGGAGGGTTTGTCTAGTTTGAAGGAAGGAATGTTGGTAGACAGTCTCCAGCCACGAAAGCCCAGGAGGTGCCCTCTTCCACACAACAGACTAAGCACTACACCCACTTTCTTTGATCCAGAAAGCATCCCTACTGACCCTGTAACCTACACCCTCTCTGTCCAAAGAACAGAGGCCGACCAGAGTTGCCAGCCTGGAGAGGCACCATGGAGATGAAGCTTGCCCTTTCTGCACTCAACCCCTGCAGCCTGAAGGAGTGTGAGACGATGAAACCCACATGTGCCGGAGCCCCTGCAGAGGTGTTCTCACACCCTCAGCGACCTGTGCACAGTGGCCGGATCAGGGGTGGGGGCCTGTCATACTGGGCGCTCCTTTCTCTGACGAAGTAACTGTATGCAACTCCCAATTGCTACTTCCTGAAGCACCTGCTTTTCAGGGAACCAGTGTCTTTCTTGGTTTAAAAAATAAATAAGTAAATATTGGGGGACCTCTTAAAACACTTAATACTTTTCAGAGCCTCAAAGGCAAAATTCACCTGGCTTTGAAGCCAAATCTGTATGGTGCTGAGAATGAAATCTGTCCGTCTAAGATGACAATAAGACCTTCCAGGGAACCAGGCAGAAAGGTGGGCAGGTACAGTGGCCAATTTCCCAGAGAAGATCCTCAATATCTGACTTTTGAGAGAATTTAAATATTCATTCTTCAAATTAAGGAATACAAGTGAACAACCTGAAAAGATTTTTAGAAGCTCATTAGCTGTGTGTTATTTGAACGCAAAAATGAGGAAGAGATATGAGCAGGAAACAGGAGAGTATAGGAAGGCAGGCCAGGGTGCAGCCAGGCCCCAGCAGGGGCAGAGCGGGAAGCAGCGAGCGGAAAGCAGGGGAGAGACACCGAGAAGCTGCAGTGTAGACAACCAAACCCTTTATTGTCTAAGTTACATTAGACGCAACACTGTAAAAAATCCTGTTAAGAAACAAGGAAACAGCAGATCGGGAGAGGTAGTAGAAAGTCTGTAACAGTCAGAAGACAACGTACAGAAGTGTATCATGCAGAAATTACCATTCGGAAAAAAAAAGGCAATCAAAACGGTGGCTAAATAAATAAGGAAACACAAATCATATTAAATACTATGACCAAATCAACAAATTAACAAACCAACACAATACTGACGATGGGTGGAAGGAAGGGACCACACATCCAGGCCTGCCCACAGCTGGCCTCAAGGGATGGCGTTCTTGGGGGGGCTCCCCAGTCTGTTTAACTGGGTGAAAACCTTCCTCCTGCACTCTGTGCACCCTGCGCGGCCCCGCAAGCTGACTGTCCTCCACGCCTGCTCTCCTGCAAGCCAGGAAGGATCCAGCACGCGGCCGGCAGGGCCCCAGCGCCAGCCCACTCCCCACCAGAGCCTCCAGGATGGAGCCTCACCAGCAAGACACTTCCAGCTCCAAAGGCCAACTGCACTTTTCCATGCCGCTTCTGAAACAGTAAAAATGTAGACTACACTTTCGTGTCACTTTGGGTACAGAATTTCTTTTTAATAACTAAAACACAGAGAAACAGGACTGGGTCACTAGTCCCTGACATTCCTAACAGTCACCATTCACTTTCAGCCAAGAAAACAAAAGCCAGAAAATGCAGAAATGATCACTGTGGGGAAACTACTGAAATGATTAAACATAAATCAACAGAAGAGTCTTCTGATTTCTTAGGTGGACAGAGGAATGTGTCTCCGCAACTTTGCCCAAAATAACTTTACAGAACAGTCAATTACAGTTGTTTAACTGTATCTGCATGGACATTCCTAATTACACCAACAGGACAGATCATTTTCGTACATATCTGGTGTAAGAATATCAGAAAAAAATAAGTAAAAAAAAAAAAAAATATATATATATATATATATATATATATATATAAGCTAGCCAGTTACATTGCATCGTTTGAAAGTGTTGCAAAGTAACCTGAACCGTCAAGTAATTTAAACTCAGTAACAAGTAGAATCCAGAACCAAACATTACTAATAACAATAACAATAATAATAATAATAATAATAATAATATAATAATATTCAACAAATCATTAGAACAGGAAACCCACACTTTAGGGTGTGTGTGTGTGTTTGTGTGTGTGTGTGTCTGTGTTTAAACAAGACTTTGTATCAGAAGCCCACTGTCTACAAAAACTGCACTAGTCCATTACCGTATTAAGTAAACTGTTGCTCTCGCCAGTATTAAAGGTTAGGATAATTTCTGTACATGTAAAATTATTGCTTTTTTGAAAAATATATTTAGCATGCTCGTTTTAATCCATTTCCTGCCTTTACAAAATTTCACAATTAAAAAAAAACCTAGTAAAGCTTTTGCAAAAAATTTCACAGAACATTTTCATTCAAGGCAGCAGTAACTTTTGATAATGCATAAAATCATATGTGCAAAAATCTGAAACTCTCAGAAATATTACCATCACACATAGTGTCACGGCAATGGGAAAAGAAAATATTTATATCTGTGGAATACCATTTCAATTGCGTACACTGCATGGTTTAAGATCCTTTGTTATGGGCCTTAACCCCCACCACAAAAACTCGCATTTGCATTACTGAGGAAGAGGTATATGAAGCCGTCCCCCACCCAAGGGGCTGGTGATCCCCACCCTTTATGAACAAAGTCACTCATCCTGTGGAGGTCACCAGGCCCAGGGAGAAAAGACACCCACTTGCTGGGGTGGCTCAGGGAAGGGGCGGGGAGGCAAAGAGTGGGGACAGAAGGCGCCAGAGCTCAGCACCCTAGTCATCTAGGGCACCTGAACCTGCTCAGGGATTCTTCTGCCATTACTAAAACAGGTCCGAATCGGGAGGACTCAGTGGCTAAATAATTTGTTAAGACGTATAGTCTTCCTTTGTAAGCAGTTTGCAGAATGTAGCCCTGTTACAAAAAGGTCCTGAGAATAAACAAGAAGCCTGCTTTTCTTAGTGTTGCGCTAGCTCTCTTCCGAGGCGGAATCTACGCATTCCCACAGACGTGTCTCCTTTGCCAGATTCGCTCAGTTCGAATGGTGGGAAGAATGGAACAGGCACACGGCCCCAGGGAGGAGTGCGATGGAGCCAGTGAACAATGAGGGTCTCATCATCATACCCCTCCGCCAAGCCTGCTTCCCACAGCACCTGAACGTCACCTCCTTCCTCTCTCTTATTTACTATTTTAAATACCCACTAAGACAAGGAGAGGCAGTAGTATTAATACTCGATCAACCTCAAATCCACCACGTCTTGTTCTGACATCATCCCCACAGTCCCTCTTAACATGGGAGGCCCCTGTGACAGTGCTCAGCCTCGCCACTCTGTCCAACACACACAACAAGTATCTTTTTTTCCAGTGTCTCAAACTTGTCTTGAATAAGACAGATGCCTTGTGCCCCTACTGTGCCTGCCAGTACTACTGTTTATTATAAGAAAATATGGGACTATGGACGATGAGCACGTAAATGCGTATATAGTATCTACATGTATTTCTAGAATATAGCATCTTCATTTATTTCTGAACGTTTAACAAGGAGAGGCATCTGCCTTCAGTTTCCACTCCAGCGCAGCGGCTCGGGATGTGAGGTGTCTGCTCAGGAGTTCCCCGGCTGTTCTTCCATGGAGCGGCCAGGTCACAGGTGGGAGGCTGCTGGGACATCGTGAGGGTACTGCTAATGGCCGTTACGGGGACCTGGGGTGCGTCGGAAACACGCCTTTAGGTTCCCTTTCTCAGAGGCACTGTCTGGACGGTACCTGTGTTAGAATGGTCTCTCCCCTGGGTGAGAAAAAGGAAAGAACAGGAGAAAAGCTCATTTCTGCCTTTTGGTTTCTAAATGCATTTTTCCTATTAATTTTCTAATCAACATCCAAGAACACAAACAATGACCTTCACAAAGCAAGCCAACCAAGTAGGCGAAGACCCCCTGACCTGAGCTGTAACTCATTTCATAAAATGAGCAGCAAGTATTTCAAATGTGCCTTCCTGCCTTAAAGAGAGGCAGCTTGAAAACGAATCATTTCCAGTGTGATTTAGAAAGGATCATTAGGCTTCTCTAATGGTTTCACATGTAAGAATGGCAGATGATAGTGTCTGAACCAGCTCTGGAGAGAAGGTTACAAGTTGGCAAGATGAGGAGGCGGCCAGATTGTAAAACTGTATAGTACAAAGCAGATTTACAAGTGAACGGTAGTTCCAAAACAAGGCTGAATTTGGGGGTCATACAAACAAAAAGAAGAGCACGGCTCTCACGTAGGTCTGTCAGAACTTCAGAGCGTGTTCACCCATTTCCATAAACAATTACCAAGTTGGAAAAAGGGAAGGAGTATTCTAAAGTGAACTGCGAGAGAAAACCAAGCATAAATGGGGGTCCACAGCTTTCAGAGAATGCTCTCCAATGACATTTGAAGCATCCCTGTTTGAACAATAGCATTTACAATCTGAGGACAGAAACAGTATGGCCAGATTAATCTTACTTAACTGCATTAACCTTCAGCTAAAATCTTGATGAAGTGAAACTGACCAGTGGAAATTAACATGCATACATAAACTAAGGGACTCGTGTAAAATTCTGTTTCCAGCTATGCCTATAGGAACCCCAGAAATAATGGCGGAGTGGGGGAAGGTCTGGTTGACATAATGAATTAAGGGCTTTTCTTTAGTTAATAGTTCCAGAAAACTCCTACTTACAGCTGGCTCTGTGTTTGTGACATCTACCAGTTGGCATGTAGTGGAAGTCAGAAAGATACTGGACAAAATTTTACGAGGGGTTAGGGGGTGGGCAAAGTGGTGGAGACAGCAGTTTATTTGAAATGTAGGAAACAGTAATGGAATGAGAGATGTGATAAAACTTCCCTAAGTAGATGGTGAATTTCCTGCAGTAAACGGACAAAGACTGTTTTACATTTTTGTACAGTGACGTCAGGCCGTGAAGACATCTCTGAGGTTCTGATGGGAAATATTCATCATCAACAGGGCTCACTAAGAACCAATTCCAAATACATTCTGGAAGGAAAATGGTCTTCGTGTTTACCAAAGAAAACTGGGAGTTATAGTTAGCTATTGGGTGTTTGGCCTTGACCGTCTCTGCATAGCAAACATAGACGTCAGGGACCGTAAGAGGCGGGCAGGGGATGCCTGTGAACACAGGTGCTGTGTGTGCCTAGATTGCACATGGACAGCACCCCCAGGGCACATCCACCTGGGTAGCTCTTCTTTTGGACCAGAAGTCACAGACTTGCATTGGGTTAGGCATCAATGGACTGTTCCAGAGGCAACAGGAAGACGGCCCTCCGTCCATGAAGGGCTAACGTTTTATATTACAGGGCTCAGAAGGCTTTAAAAATATTTATTTTGGAAGCACTGCAAAGTCGGGATAAGCCAAACAACTAGGTGGTTAAATTGTGTTCACAAATCCAGATGCAGAGACGCCCATTTTCTCTTCATAACTGAAGGGATGTGTTCCAATACCTCATTTTTTTAAGATAGTTGCTTTAAGTTATTGATTCACCGGAGGCCACCATGTTATTATTCAATAAAGCAGCCCTAGAGCATTTTTAAGAAATGAATAAAACAGGGAAGAAAGGAGGCAGAGAAATATTCAAATTAAGTGGACACACTATAATCTTTTGAGCACGCCCACCATCGCCTTGTCTTCCTGGAAGGGAAAGAGTAGTCAAAACATGAGAAGCTTTCGGAAGATTTCGCTTTTCTTTTCTGCAGCTGTGAACTGTGGGCTTTTCAGTAATGCTGAAAGACATACTATCTTTCTTGAAGGTATTTCAGTGTTCTAGGGATGGATATTGACTACTGGGACTTCACGAGGTCCACTTTCTCTCTTTCTTTTAGTAAGGCAAGGGAAATGTGTATGTAGTGGTGGGTGTGGATCGATGCCCCGCACACAAAAAACCTGCCATGCCCCAGGACACACGGGGCACCTCTCGGCCTTCAGAGGGAGGTCAGCCTGTAAACAGGGCTTGTGGTCAGCCACGCAGGCAATGCTAAGTGCCTGAGGACCAATTATGCACAATGCTTTACTGACTAAAACCTTTACCCAACAAACCATAAGTAAACAAAGGCTATGTGACTGGGGGGATTTTGGGTAATTCGCCAAGTCTAATTCATGATTTTTGGTAGCATATTATATTTAGAGAAAATGGAAAATGTGTTTTAAGATGCTTGTTTGGTTTAATAAATAAGAAAAGCTTAAGCAAATGAGCTGAATTTCAAACTCTGATCTGTGATGCTGAGACTCTGAAAGTGATACTGAAAATAGATTATGCATATATTCAAATGTACCAACCTACGTGATTTCTCCATCATTTGCATTATAATAGCCACAGCTAAAAATGAGACAAATTAGGTCGCCATTTGTTTTTTCATTTCCTGTTATTTTGATTAATGGAATTATTTATCCAGCTTAACCATTTTAAAATAACATTTAGAATAATAAGAAATAAACTATTAATCATAGTCTTTAAATTCTGGCAAGGAATCCAAACAAATCAAAACACCAGATTTCATATTTCAGCAGACATTCTGGTCTTTCAATAAATCCCAAAACCACGAGGTTGGGGTGAATAATTTTTCTTGGTTTCAAAAATCATTTTAATTTCTAATGTTTAACAACAATGCAACAAAAAAAATCAATTTCTCTGCAACACTAAAGAAACTTCCTAGTTTTTCCTCTAACATCCACAGGACAAAACACCCAGATTTCAACATATTGTTTTCAGAAAGTGTTCTTTCTAATGATGAATGCTGATGATTACTAGAAATTAAACATTTATTCAGTTGTGCTAAATGGATGACCAAGCATCTTTTAAACGACAACATGCATGAGCTCTTTCCCTCATTTAGAATTTGATTTGGAGGATCAGCGGTCCTTGATATTGGAACCATCTTAATCCAAAACACAGTAAAAGCACCAAGGACAAGCACCGGTGCCACCGCCGGGCTGGAAGAATCACCCACAAGAGCGGATGCCCTCACAGCTGGGCTCCTGAGGCCCAGGGCCCGGACCCTCTCACCATCTTCTAGCTTGTCTACGATCGAGGCAAAAGAGTGAGATGCCTAAAGGGGTGTGCTGTGAGCATCCACAGCCTACGGGAAGCCCTGTTATTTATCCTCCATCTCTGCCTTCCAAGGCTCCAGGCATCCTTTCCACCCTTACCACCTACCAAAGGAAGGTGTTCAGAAAGAAATGGCTGCTTGACTATCTGGTTTTCATAACCTCCTCTACAGTCTTCAAGTATGTGTATATAACATGGAAGAGGCTTAAACAGTGCGTGTGCTGAAAAAGACTGCCACTAGTGTCACCACGAAAGGAAACTACTTTATTTCTCTTCAAGCTTCAGGTGTGTGCTGATCAATTAAACTGACTTTAATTATTTATTCCTGATTCTAACCTATGGTGAATTTAATCAATTTCAGCAGATTTACCTGGCCCTCGTGCCTGTTGAATTGTTTTGCTGAGATAGACGGTATATCACAATTTCTCAGAATTTTCCAGTATAGAATATTCAAATATTAATATGACAAAGTAAGGGCAGTTGTTCTACAAAAACCAACCATGTCTGTCTACCAACCGGAGGGCTTTTGAACAGAATGCAGCAAATGAGGTAACTATGCCTATCTTGACAACACTTTTCTCAAACTCACGGTTTTCCTGCATCCTCTCTTTAATGAATAATTAACGACAAGTCTCTTAAACCAAACAAAACAAAGAGAAGCACGCTGGCAGGTTCCGACAAAGCCACAAGACACCAAGTAAAGAAAACATGCCATCAAACTGAGTTCATAAGCAACATCTACCAACTGGCTTATCAATGACAGCCATCTGTCTACACGGGCGTAAGTATGTGTGTAGATGTGTTCACGTGTGTGCTCACCACAGAAAGGCTCTCCAAGTATGTGAGTTTCCTCCAGTTATTAAGGAAAATTGCTTATTTTTAGACTAAATGACAAGAGGTCACACTGAATGTGTGCTCTGTGGTGTATGTCCTAACTTGATTTCCACAGCAAGTATACAAAATAAGCACCATTATCATTATTTTACAGATAAGGGAACTTAGGTTACATTATATGTCTATGGTAGAGGATCAAAGTTAAAGCCTCTACTCAATAACCCAATAGATTATATTATCTGGGTCTCTCAGAGTAGAACTGGCTGACCTTCAATGAATTTAAATGTTGACAGCTATTAGATACAGTCTCTGCCAGGATCTCTCCTCTCCACTATAAACCCGTATCTTCGCCTGCCTATTAGACATTCCTACCTGGGTTTCCACAAAGCTCTCAAACTTACCTTGAATTCTATCTGGAAATGTTTTATCCTGCTCCTCCTTCCAGCCTCAGGGGAATGGGTCATCCCTGGGGCCAGCTGCCTGAAGCCAGACCTGGGGTCAACACCATTCCCTCCTGTCCCTCACTTTCCAAGCCCAATCCCTCTGTTCTAGTCCCTCAAATCTACCCGCTCTCTCCGGCCCCATGCCAGCTCAGGCCACCTTATCTCTCGCTGGGATCAAGCTAAGCGCCTCCAAAGACCTGCTTCTGCTGCCGGGAACCACTAAGCCCATTCTCAGTAGCGTGTGACCTGCTCATTCTTCTCAAGCTACAACTCTGACGGTGTCAGCCCTGCCTAGGGCTCTCTATCCCCTGTGGGAAGAAATTCAGAGTCTCAACAAGGAGACCTGGTGCTCTCTAGACCCCAGGCCCGAGCCTCTGCCCACCCACTCTGGCTCTCCCTCCGTGAGCTGACCCCCACCCAGTTCCTCCAGTGGAATGTGTTCCTCCACTCCGGGCCTTCCACGTGCTGAGCTCTTTAGGGACGCCCATCCCTCCGCCCCTCCATAGTCTTCCAAGCGCCTCCAGCCTCAATGACAGGGCCCTTCCCATGTCACAGCGCTGCCTTGCTCTGCCCTACTTCCTGTCTAAGCCACCCATGGACCTTTTGAACCAGAGAAGCAGGAAAAATGGTTATCTTGTCGCCCCAGTATCCTGCACAGGCCTGGCACGCAGTGGGTGGTCAATAAATATTGTTAGTAAGTGAATAAATTATTATAAAATGGAATTTCCAAATACTGTTTCAATTACATAATGTAGCATCTATTATGTATATCTATAAAAGTCCATTGACTTTAAGTGTCACATCAAATAATTTCTGCATGAATACACGGTGTTGCATGATCAAAAAAAACCACAGCCATGATCCCTAGCATCTAAAGCCCACAGGAAAAGAATCCGATTTAAATATTAATGAATGTTAGCAAAGCACGCTAAACATGAAAAAGAACATGGCTGGTAAGTATGAATCACATTCTAGACATACATAACTACAGAATGTTTTCTATAATCTATAAGGTATCTTAAATTTAACACAGCTATTGTGGTTTCTGTAAACAATGAGAATTATAGGATAAGAACAAGGAACCCTAGGATTTAAACCTCTACCTATTACTGATGTGTTTTGCAATTATCCTACCCAACAAATCTCTATAGGAATGCTTATAGTTCCAAAGTACGTTAAGGAAAATGGAATTTCCTTAGAGAACTCTGCAGAGCATTCAGTGATAAATCACCAAAAGCTACTTTAAATGTAATGAAAGACAAAAAGTACCATCAGAGGCCATGAGCTCAGATATGGAATTTAACAAACCAACTGCCACAGCAGGAGACGCATACAAATCTAGCTCAGTTTTAATGCCAGGCCTGAACTGCCACTGTCCTATGAATGAAAGGAAAGCTCACCCACCGAGATCTTCACACCAACAGTTAATACACAGGCTAAGTCTGAAAGCCACATTCACTCAGACCACAATATTGAGTTACTGTAAACTTGAAACTAAGAGGATAGTTGGTATGAAGTATAAAATAACAATATTTTAGTCTAGAGAGACAAAGAGAACAATATAAGTACATCTTTTCTATATCAGAATCAAGAATGAGTAACAATTATTATATTGTTACTCATATAATAAAATTATTATAAACAACTGGTTATGCTGGGGCATAACCAATAAGTAACACAGACATTATTTAAAATAGTCTAAATGATTTGCTTTTTGATCTCCTATTTCTCCCTGGGACAAGAGTTTTTCAAAGAGGCTTAGGTAGAATTAATAGGCAGCAAATAAACTGACATGCATTCCTGAAGAATCTCACCAACTTGTTCCTAGATCCACCTGGCCTGGCTTCCCGCCCCTGTCAAACATTCCTACCCAAAAGCCAGGTCTTTGGTGGGTTGAACGGGTCACCTGTGTAAGCAGGAACACTTGGCACTCACTCCAGTTGTAACATCAACTTGTAATTCTCAATTACGGCATGACCTTGCTCTTACTACATCCCACAAACACATCACGGTGACTGTTTGTGGCAAGAGGGTTTTATTTCTGTTAAAAAGGACAATGCTTCCTAACTGCAGTGGAGGTCATACACTTGGAAATCTTTTCATTCCATTTTCAGCAAGATGTTTTACTTACTTATTTCGTAAGTTGTCATAGTATTGGGTAACTATGGGTTTTATTAAGAAAGGCAGAAGCTAATTATTTAAAACCTGTAATAAATGGCAAGGGTTTTTGTCAACAATACATGAAGCAAAGGCCTTTAACAATACACAGAAATTCCAACAAGGCAAAAAAAACAAAAACAAAAACAAAAACCGAAATCCCTCATCAGGTAATGTCAATTCTACATCCAGCCCAGCTCAATCACTAATTAGCAGTGGGTCCTTGGTGAAGCCATTTCATGCCTCTTATCTTTTTCCTCTAGAAATAAACTAGAACGATTCTCGAGTTCCTTTGAGACCTCACTAGATCATAGAGTCTTGAGATCCCTTGGAGGTCTTAACTGCCCTCATCCTCACCAGCAACCAGGAATCCCACAGACAATTAGATATTTCAGCGCAGGGACACAAACTGAATTCCACCACCCAGACACGGCTTGACTCTCACGGCAAAGAAACTCTTTCCTCAATGACAAAGGGGAGAGTTTGTCTTTGGAGAAAGCCAGAATGTTACTTAGAGAATGCTTGTGCAACACAGGTGTGACGTCCTCCAGGAGGGCAAAATGGGAGAGCAATGAAAATACATACTCTCAGCCTGAGAGAATGCAAGAGACCCGCTGCGGGCTGTGGGTGCCTCTCTACTTTAGAGCAGGACTCAGAACCGTGTGCTAGTGCCAGGGTCCCACACACTCAGTGTGTACTGAGTCATGCATGTACACAGGTCACGCCTGGATGGTAAGGTGCATCACAGACACAGGCACACAGCTACTTTCAGGCACTCTGGCCTTGCCAGTCGTGTTCGTAATGCAGAGAAACAAGGCACAAAGCCGCAAGACACCACGCTGGACACGAAACTTTTCTTACGGAATAACACAAAAATAATGTTCTTCAAGGAGGTTAACCACAATTTGTTCTCAAGCAAACTCACATCCAAAACCATCTTGGAAAAACTGAGTTTCTAGTGTTTGCAGTCACCGCCAGTCTATCCCGACTTCCTCCTCCCCAATACAACCAACAACCAGCTGTGTGCACCTAGACCCTGCACCACCCGGCTGGGAGGACCTCTGTGCGGGTACTGCCCACAGACGGCCCCGAAGGGTCAGGTTCCAAGTCAAAGCATATAGGATTATTTACACATCTAGTGAAAAAAACAAAAAGAAGGTCATGCTTCAGTGATGAGCATCATGGTGCACCTTTCCCAGCTACCGCATCGAAACCCAGACATCCAATTCATCATGAGACCTACTTGTTTGGGGGCGTCTGCGGAGGTGGTATGAACTTCAGAACCCCGAGGCCCATCGGACTCAAACACCACTGTGGGAACAAGGGGTTTGTTAACAGATCAGCGTGTGAGCTTCCGGACGTGCACATTAAATGAGTCCATTACAGATTAAGTACTTCCACAAAAAAAGACACCAGCGCCTAGCCTGTGGCTGGAAAATACCAATTTACCGTAACACTTACAGTAAGAGACTGTGATAATGGCTGCCTGGGGCCACTGCCCTTTTTAATTCAGACCTCGCTGCTGAAGAAAGCAATCACTGACAACATTAATTATCGGTGTGTGTGTAAGGGACCCTCTTCTTGCATTACTTACCACTCGGCCTGTGTCATCTTGCATCAGACCAGCTTCTGTGTGCATCCTTCACACTCCTGATAGAGAACCCCGTCTCCCTGTCTCTCTAATGCCCCTGCGCTGTCCTGACAGTTTCCAGCCCGATCGGGTGCAAGCTCTCTACATAAGGGCTGAGGGATTTTGCAGTACATCCTGCATGGTCCAAAGGGGCCCGGGTGTATCCCACAGAGTCCAGTCAGTGCCAGTGAGGACACAAAACCAAGCCTACGCTGTGCTAAAAGGGTGCTTTGATTAAATGTGTGCTGGTGGCAATGCCATTCATTAGCATATTCATTTCTGAGGAGTCAGTTACTCTCTAATTAAAATGGAACATTTGCAAACAGGCTTATCTCAAATTAAACCACATGGCACATGGACACCAAAAAAACCCATTTCAGGTGTGGAGTGGGGGCGGCCTGTATACGATCCCGGAGGCAGATGGCAGGCCCCCCGCCGCCTGGTAGGGGCTGAAATCTCAGTATCTCCCTCGCTGCGGATGGTCAAGCCACTGACAGAAGAGACCCCTCTTCCTCTGCTCCCCTTGGGGATAGCTGGGCGGGAGGGCGATACCTGAGTGTGCCCGCATGTGGGCCCTGAGGTGGCCGGGCTGGTGGAAGCTCTTTCCGCACTCGATGCAGACGAACTCTCCTGGCCGGGCCTGCGTCCGGAGTGTCCCTGCGGTGGCGAGGTGGTGGTGGTGGCAGGGCCGTGGTGGGGTTGGCGTGGAGGTGAGGAGGCAGGAGAGCGAGGGGGAAGCGAGAGGAAAACATCATTAGTCTGTCTAATGTGTCATCATGTGAGGCTCCCTTCAGGCCCTGGTGACAACTGTCAGCCTTCATCTCGGCTCTGCTGACAGGCCAGGCACTCTCAGGACTGCAAGGATGCATAAATTACAGCGAATTAAAAACCACTCCCTGGGACAGGAGGTGCCCGCCAGGCAGCACGTCGGGCTGTGCAGCTCCGAGCAACTGCAGGCTGGGCACAGCCATCACCCGGCTCTGTCAAGCAGCACATCCAGCAAATCAGAGTGACACCGGCGTGACAGAGACGAGGCTCATGGAAAATAGGAAGTGAGCGGGACCAGAGCCCACCGTGACCCGGCCGCGATCCTGGGAGACCCACGCAGAGTGAGTGCGGCCACAGGGTGGCCCCACCTCTGGCCCTCTCTCCTGCCTGCCTGGGCAGCTCTGAGGCCCCGGCCCCCAGAAGGGAGGGGACACCTACAACCACCAGGCAGCAGGCCCCCAAGGTGCGTGCACCTGCTGGCCATCGGCAAGGGGGGAAGTCCCCAAGTCCCACCTTTTCCCCAAAGATCATGCCACATCCCTGCACTCAAAGGCCGGGCTTTGTGTTTCCTTCTGATCCAAAAAGCCACACGACTTTGATTAGAAAGGGATGCAGAGAGCGTTTATTTGTCTGCACAACTTTTCTCTCTGAAGAAAAGGCTTGATTTCCATGTGCTGGCAGCTCCAAAGAAATTTCTCTGGCTGGGAGAGTCACTGTTATGCGCAATAGTAACTCAACTCAGTAGGAAAAACAAAAAAAACAGAAATAATAACTAGAAAAAGTTACACCTGTTGCAGTAATTTTTTAAAACGCTGCTTTATGCAGCTGAGTTTTTATGTATCTAAAGGCTGACACCTGAGTGTGAACAGCAAATGAAGAGAATGACAAAAGGCACCTTAGTCACACTGGTTGAAAACAAACCTTCAATATTGTTTCTCTTACCCTAATTCAGAGTAGCTCAATAGGTAAAAACATAAAATCATGCTTACACTATAGATCATGTTTATGGAAATAAGAAATGCATGAACTGTGAGGCACATCTTGTCAAATTTCTTATATGACAGATCATTAACATGAATCAGAGAAATTCAACAACTTAGCCACCGACTACTCAATATTCCCATTGCCTTACATACACAAAAGGAATAAGAAGAAACATTTCAACCAACACTCAAGTTAACAGGGGCCAGGTGCGGCGGCTCACGCCTGTAATCCCAGCACTTTGAGAGGCCAAAGCGGGAGGATCACTTGAGCCCAGGAGTTCAAGACCAGCCTGGGCAACAGAGTGAGAGCCCTCATCTCTACTAAAAATGTAAAAGCTATCCAGGCGAGTGATGCATGCCTATGCTTCTAGCTACTCAGGAGGCTGAGGTGGGAGGATCACTTGAGCTCAGGAGGTCAAGGCTGCATTGAGTTGAGATCACACCACTGCACTCCAGCCTAGGTGACAGAGTGAGATTCTGTCTTGAATGAAAGAAAGAAAAGAAAGAGGAAAAAGAAAAAGAACAGAAGAGAGAAGAAGCAAAGAGAAGAAGAAAAGAGGAGAGAGGAGGGAAGAGGAGGGGAGCGGAGGGGAGGGGAAAGGAGGGGAGACAGGAGAGGAGAAAAGGGAGGGAGGGAAAGAGAAGGGGAGAAAGAAAAGAAGGAAGTAAAGAAAAGGAAGGAAAGGAAAGAAAGAAAAGAGATTTTTTAAGCTATTTTGTTCCCCCATTCATTTGCATTAGAAACACCACCCAGTGGAGCTCCTACGAAATGAATTTCTGAATACTCCGGTTGTCTGGATTTTCCCAGGTACAATCTAGACTGCTTCTACAGGTGGAATCTGACCACGCCTACACACAATACTGACTAATGATGACGACATGCAATGTCATCTGTGTCTAACATTCACAACTTTCAAAAACTAAGTCATTATTCTTTTTTCAAGTAATTATTGTAGCTATTTCCTATCCAAATGAGCAACAGAGAAAACATGGATAGCCCTCCCACTCATCCGTGCTTATTTCCTTGAAGTAAGGGTGCATGAGCACGCGTGCACACACACACACGCAGGCGTACACGCTCACAAGTGCACACACACATATGAGTTTCCCACACATCTCACCATATCACTTTCTCTTTACTTTTTAAAGACAGGGCACTTGCCCTTATGGCCAATAATATTATGCCCAAGCTACAACATTCCGAGTCAATCACAAAGGTTATAAACTTCATTTGAACTGAAGACCACCTGGTAAGCACGCAGCTCAAATGTTCTCACCTAGAAATTCAAGTTGTGTTTGGAAAGTGGACTTAACGGTCAAAGAAAAAGGCCTGGCCAACTTCAGAGAGGGACACCCAGCCCTGCTACGTTGCGTGTCATTATGTGGTGCTGTGCTATCCATAGAGAAAGAGGAGATGAAAAAGATTCTACAAAGAGAGATCAAACTGCAAGAAAGCACAAAGCTTTCATCACCACAATATGAAGGCCTCCTTGGTATAAATGACTTTTTTAGGTCCCAATAAGAAATACCATCTATTCTATCTGGAATTATTTTATTAGCTTCAAATTTTATTCTAAGATTCATACTATCAGATCATCTAGACTGGCCGTAAGGTCTGAAAACACAGATCATGTATTATTTTATTACTGTTGTAGCAATAAGTCATTTATGTTCTATTCCTGTATGTTTATAGACTTGGTAGTCACACTGTACAATGATTACAGAAAATGCAGTGGGTTTTTCTTCTTAAATGGTCAGGGAGTCCCTAAAGGAGGTAGCAATAGTTCTTTCCTTCCTGTTTGGGTAGAGTTTTTAGACTCTTCATATCTACAGAAACATCACCCGAACACATGTGGGGGCGGGGAAGTCTTTGAGACTTCCGTTTCCTAACTTCTGAATAAAACCTGTCTTAGAAGCATCCTCCAATAGCAACATTCTCTGTATAAATGGAACATGTCCACTGCAAAATCACAGAATCACACTTCTAGCACCCACAACTATTGCATGTACACGTGAGATGACTTCCTATTCTCTGAGACCATTCTCCTCTGCATATTTCTACCTCCCCAAACTACAAAATGATGCTACAGCAATAGGGGTAATCAATGACCACTCACAGGGAAGTTGTGATCTTTACAGCTGCAGACGACACCCACCTAGCAGACACGTAACAAACACATGCGGTGAGAAGAGAAGACCAGAAAGCAGAGATACACTTGTATAATAAGACACGTCAAAAAGATCAATTTGACCAAGGAAGGAATGAAACAAGATTCTAGACTCATGACTCAAAAATCAACTACAGGTACACCACAAAAAAGAAACAGCTGAACAGAAACAAGTGGAAGAAAAAAGCCCTAAGAAAGTGTAGTTACTCCAGTATTCAGCAACACTCAAAAAAGGAAATCCAGGCTGCACAGATTTCCTGGGCTGCGGTAACAGAAATCGAGTCTCTGTAACAGGAAACATGAGTGTTCTGTTCACCTTTCCAATAGTCTGACCACACCAAGGCTGCTGGGTTTCCTTCTGGCTACAACACTTTAAGGGCGTCAAAAACAAACATTCAAGTAAGGAGAAAGGAAATGCGGAAGGTCCCAGAGACCAAATAGAGGATGGATGTGAAGGTCCTGGACACCAGGTAGAGAGTGGACAGGGAAGGCCCCAGAGAACAGGTAGAAGGATGGACACAGAAGGCCCCAGAGACCAGGTAGAGAGTGGACGTGAAGGCCCCAGAGACCAGGTAGACAATGGATGGGGAAGGTCCCAGAGACCAGGCAGAGGATGGATGGGTAGGTCCCGGAGACCAGGTAGAGGATGGACAGGGAAAGCCCTGGATACCAGGTAGAGGATGGACGCAGAAGGTCCTGGAGATCAGGTAGAGGATGGACACACAAGGTCCCGGAGACCAGGGAGAGGATGGACCCAGAAGGTCCTGGGGACCAGGTCTCCTGTCCTGGGAGACCTGGGAAGGCCCAAGATGGGAAGGCCCAAGAGACCAGGTAGAGGATGGATGGGAAGGCCCCGAAGACCAGGTAGAGGATGGATGGGAAGGGCCAAGAGACCAGGTAGAGGATGGATGGGAAGGCCCAAGAGACCAGGTAGAGGATGGATGGGAAGGCCCCAAAGACCAGGTAGAGGATGTATGGGAAGGCCCCGAAGACCAGGTAGAAGATGGACACAGAAGGTCCCAGAGACCAGGTAAAGGATGGACACAGAAGGTCCTGGGGACCAGGTAGAGGATGGATGGGAAGGCCCAAGAGACCAGGTAGAGGATGGATGGGAAGGCCCCGAAGACCAGGTAGAAGATGGACACGGAAGGTCCCGGAGACCAGGCAGAGGATAGATGGGTAGGCCCAAGAGACCAGGTAGAGGATGGATGCAGAACACGGATGCTGGGTCCAGGAAAGGCAAGAGGGAAATGTCTGAAGCCTTAAAGAACTATGACATAGAAGAGTTCTCAACTTGTTCTGACAGCTTCAACACAGAGACCTGTAGGCAAGGGAAGTTCACCAAAGCTAGGGGCCCAGGAGGTGCCGAGCCCCCTCACCGGAGGCGTCCCATCTGGAGATGCTCGGCACTTCTCAGGTGCACTGACCAAGTATCTAAACAGGCTGACCTCAGGTACTCTATACCCGGGAAGCCAGGATCCTAATAATGCACCTACTAACAGGTATATTTTAAGACCAAAAAGGTGAGAGCACTTCCCTTAAGAAACCCAATTTACAGTACACTTAGAAACCCTAAATTTGCTGACTCACACTATGTCTCAATGTGTACATTAGAAGAATAAATAACCCAAGATGAGTGCATGTACTTTGTGACTAGTATTTTTCACATATGAAAGATAAATATTTAACCTCTCTCTTTCAAAAAAAAAAAAAAAAGACCTTAGAACCATTTATTTTTTAAAATGTCTGTAAGAAAAGGGAAAATACTTCAGACTATTTTGGACTTCAAATTCTATCATCTAAAATTTCAAAACCTGACCTTAAAACTCACTTCTACTTTCTTAGAAACAGCAACTACGCCACCCACAGGGCAGCTCAAAAGCCTTTAAAAACGGGGGACGGCACTTTCCAGGTGTGAGCTGGCAGGTTGTTTAGAACCTAGGGTGCACGCAGGCTGGAGGGCATGATTAATTAAAACTATGAGTCCGGTGGATCAAGTGGGCGTCAAACTCCCCTTGCTCTGCTGGGAGGCGGCCACCGGGGGAAGGACACAGCGGGCCAGGTGCAGCTGGGAACACCCAGCATCCACAACAGCACAGACCTCACCACTCAGCCTTCTCTGCTTTGGGTTCCAAGAAACCCCACATCTCCAGAAGTGAGGCTGGCATCACATCAAAAGGCCACCAACCAACTTGTTTTCCACTTAGCAGCAAATAATCTACGTGACTGAGAAACCCTGCTGACGCTGAGGGAACTCGCTCACTGTAACTGAACGTGGAAAAAGTCAAACCATCAATCCACATGGCACTGCGCCGCGCCTCCCACCCACGACAGCCTCCTCAGGTTACACCGTCCACCCAGAGCACATGGGCGGGGAGAAGATGAGGATCTAAGACCACGCCTCAGGGACGCCACTCCTGAGTCACACCTCAAGCCAACGTGAATGACGAGACCCTCGGGTGTCCGGGCCTACGGCCTCATCCTAAAAAGTTCACAAGTGCTCAGCGGGCTCTTCAAAGCAGGAATGTAACAAGGTTGGCTGGAGTAAGGCCTTTGCCAGCAAATCTGTAAGAGGGGCAGCAGGCCTGTGATGTCTCCTACTGGAAAACACCTTGGGTGGGCATCCCTCATGCCAAGACAGCCCTGCCAGGCCATGGATCTAGGCAGGCTCTGAAACCCCGGCCTAAGCCAGGAGCTCAGCAGGTGACCCCAGCACCCACTGGGACACTGTCCCACGGTGGATCTGGGGAGGCTGTCTGCTGATATCTCCCAGACCCAGAACCATGCCCCTGACAGTCCTGCCAGCTGCCTGGAGTTTGCAGCCCTGGATCTCAGATGTTCTAATGGTAACCACTTTAAGAAACCACAGGCTTACAACGTTATTTTTTTTTTTTTTTTTTGAGATGGAGTCTCACTCTGTCACCCAGGCTGGAGTGCAGTGGCACGATCTCTACTCACTGCAACCTCCGCCTCCTGGGTTCAAGCAATTCTCCTGCCTCAGCCTCCCAAGTAGCTGGGATTACAGGTGCACCCCACCATGCCTGGCTAATTTTTGTGTTTTTAGTAGAGATGGTGTCTCTCACTATATTGACCAGGCTGGTCTTGAACTCCTGACGTCGTGATCCGCCCACCTCGGCCTCCCAAAGTGCATGGATTACAGGCGTTGAGCCACCATGCCTGGCCACGACAAACAATTCTATCGAAGAACGGTTAGGACTTCCCAGGCAATGAACTGAGAGACTCTGTTTTGTTTTGATTTTTAACAGAACTTAGGTTTGTGTTCTGGACGTTAAGTGAGAGTGACCTTCAATTATGTTCCAGAACGGGGCACCGCATGCAGTGCGCGTGCCGGAGGAGCAGGAGGAAAGCTAGCAACTGCTTCTCAGTGTTACTATCAGATAGCAATACTAAGGCAGAGGGAGAAGGGAAGATAACCTTTTCCAAGTATTTTTTTCAGGAATTTTTGCACAAATCCCATTCTCCAGACTTTATATGGTACATCGATCCTCTGCAAAGCTTTGCTTACTAATATTAGAGGACTAATTAGGTGTTTTTTTAATTACAGATGAATAAAAATAAAACTTAATACATTAAATGAATATTCTTGTCTTTTGAGAGACAGGACAATGAACATCTACGGATTCTGTTTAAAATGACAAACACGTGAAGTGCAATCACGTCGGCCTGCTCCTGCGGAATGTCGGTGTGGAGGAAACGTCCTCTCAGCAGGAAGGAAGCCGTGCAGGGCTTGCGACCTCCTCCCAGGGCCAACGTGCAGAGGGCCACCAACCCCAGGCAGGCATTCCCCGGCAGGGCAGAATGTGGAGCCTGGGAGAGCTGTTCCCATCTGCTGTGCTCCTCGGCCAGGGCAAGGGAGCAGCTCTCAGCTCAGCAGTGGGATGGGGCCGGCTGGCTCTGTCCTCAGGGACATGGACAGGCAGGTGCGCAGCAGCCCTGGCCCTCCGGGGGTGGTTCTGGGGGTCACATGTGGCCTGGGGAAGAGAGGGCCCGCACATCTTACCTCTGTGCTCCAACCCAGGGCCGCTGACACCCCATCCCTGGTAGAGGGTCGCAAAGTCCTTTGGAATGTACGTCTTAAAGATGTTGAGGATGTCCAGGCGCTTCTCATGCCCCTCGGCCACCGGCTCCTGTTTGATGGAGTGTAGGACGGGGGGCGCCCCAGCCACGCCGGGCTGGGCCTGCAAGGCCGCGTCGCCCCTGGACCCCGCAGCACAGGTGGCCAGAGTCCTCAGCTCCTGGGCTGCCTTCGAGGGGGGCTCGCGGGGAGGTAGAGGAGGAGCGCCCCCTTCGCCCTTTGCAGGAGGTGGACCCTGAGGCTGAGCACTGAATTTGGCTTTCAGGGAGTCCGGGGCACTGTGCTTATTTGTGGGGGCAAAGCCAGCCCCCGCTGGGGGGACCCCAAACTTCTCCACAGGCTTGCTATTGGCCGAGGGCTGCGCGCCAGCCCGGGCGATGACGGTGGGCGTAGGGGTGGCGCTCCTGCTGAAGCCCCCGCCACCCGGGGCAGGCACCGGTTTGGAGCTAGCCTCCTGCCTGGGCTTGGCCAGGGGCCCCTGTGTGGCCGCGCCATGTGGCTCCTGGCCGTGACAAGGTTTGGTCTGTCGATACCCGTCAGGGCCGGGCGCCCACAGAGCGCAGGGACCTCCGGAATGGCTCTCCTTATTCTTAGGCATGCTAGCGGCTTTTGTGACCACTCCCAGGGGAGAAGAGCCACTTTTGGACCCCGGCATCCCCCCTGGCACCTGAGTGCGGGTGAACCGAGCAAGGAGCAAAGGCTGGCATTCTTTGCCACCGAGGGCAGGCGGGGGGCCCGTGCGTCCGCTCCGGGAAAGGAAAACCAAATTGCTTCTGATGCTTTTGTAACCATTGGGCTGAATCCACGGGGGAGCCACGGAGTTGCAGCTGACGCGGTGCCAGATGCGTTTGTGCATCCACAGGACCTCGGGGTAGTAGGTCTTGTGGCTGCAGTAAGGACACGGGTGAACGACTAAAGCCGCCTGCAGGGAGGAGGCCGTCTCCTTATTGCTGGGGTCATCCCGCGTCGACCTCGCACTTAAATCTAGCGGCATGAGGTCTGGGGCCAGCGCCCGCTTCCCTCCCCCAGAGTGTTCCTTGTTGTGCAAATCGGACAGCTTTTCTGCAGGGTGACCCGTCTGGCCCTCCGCTCCCGTACTGGAAGGGAACTCCACACCATCACCAGGGACGGGCACCTCCTGCTTGGGGTGAAATGCTGGCATCTTTAAGTCCATAGAAAATCTGTGCTGCTCTTGCCTTCTAGAAGTCTCTCTGCTACTGTTTTCAAGTATGGACACAGAAGCTGCGATCCCTGCCTTGGACTCGCCGGTGTCTCTTTCCGAGGCGTTATCTCCCATCTTGTGACTCTGGTCTCCACTGGAGAGCTCGGTCGAAGTCACCTCTTCGGAAAAGCAGCAGCGGCGCGGCTGTCCCCCTAGAGGAGGCAAAATATGAAACGGGAAGTTACCATTTCTCATCAGAACACAGCAAGACACACGGTGCGTACAGCTACAGCATGTTCCAAGCCATCTGTCTTCAGCGGGAGAAGCCACCCTTGAGTCTGGGTGGCTCTTAGAAAACCCCTGAGGAGCCACCCAGACAAGAACAAAAGGGGGTGAGTCAGGCAGGACTTCTTTTCTCAATTTAAATGACCTGAAAGATCACAGGGAAAAAATACAATAGCAGTGGTGTATCTAGTTACATGTAACGACGCTGTCCCTAGTTAACAGAGGGTGACTGGTATATTAAAACTTGGGAAAAAAATTAATTATTCACAGCAGTATAAGGTTCGTATGACTTTCGAGGAACTCTACATTTAGGGCTCTTGTGGAATCTTCACAATCATTCATTGCAGGGTAAGAAAACCAGAGAAGTTGGGTGGAGCCCACAGTCACAGAAGCAGGCTTGGGCAACAGCTTACTCTGTCCAAAGGACCCCCCGTGTCTGCCTCCGAAACCACTGGGCTACCGACCACCTTCCGCCTCAGCCATAGGGCTCCCTCCCTACGCATCTCTCCTGTGAGGGCAATTCTCAAGCCCAAAACACTGATGCCCCAAGGTCCCCCAGAGGCGGGTGAGCAAAGGCAGCCACGCTATCCACCTCCATGCCGCCACCTGCCGGCTGCCCAGGAGAACTGAGCCCGGGGTTCCGCCCCTCAAGCTCTGCGCCCCTGATGGTCGGACCTTGACGGAGAGCGTGTCTGAGCCACAGTCTGGGATGAACTCTGCGGTGGGGAGGGATGGTGTGGTCAGAACCCTCCCACTTTACCCAAGGAACGCGTGAGACAGGGAGAAACACAGCCGAGGTGTGGGCTGTGCTCGGAGGTTTTAAGGCTTTTCCAAAGTCAGAAGAGACTGTACTGCAAGTGGACACAACACGGATTAACAAAAATTCGGTTTTATGTTTTGCATTTACGGCCTTGGGTTTCTGTAAATCTAGACATCGAAACAGGGCAGGAGTACAGATGTTTCCGGATATCTTAAAACTCTCTGAACTATAAAACACAGGATTCTTCACCACCCAGCCGCCATCTGCAGTCCCTTACAGCCATGTCTCCGTATAAGGCCCCAAGTTCTTGGTTTTCAAATAAGATTTTCAGAGATTTTTAACATTCAGTAAAATGGAGGGATCTGCTAACTCAGAATGTTCCTTTAAAATGTTCTAAGTGTATATTTGGAGATAACACTTAGGAATCCCAACAAACTGGTAACAAATCCATTCCAAGGGGTTCTTCATCAGGGTGAGACAGCGCCTGTCACTGAAGGCACTTGCCCAGATCTGAGGGACACGGTAACAAATGCTGGTTTTCAATCAGCGGGCAGTTAGTGCGCAATTCATACGCCGTGTTAAAGGACTTGTCCATGTAAAAAACGCCAGCAGTTAAGGGCTGATCAGCAGAACTGGTGCGGAGATGAGACAAAGGAAGAAAAAACTATCCAACTCCTACCGGCTCCTAAAGGCTAATATTTAAATAAAGTCAAGGCTGGACACAGTGGCTTATGCCTGCAATCCCAGCACTATGGGGGGCCGAGGCGGGTGGGTCACCTGAGGTCAGGAGTTCAAGACCAGCCTGGCCAACGTGGTGAAACCCCGTCTCTGCTAAAAATGCAAAAATTAGCCAGGTGTAGTGGCACGCGCCTGAAGTCCCAGCTACTCCGGAGGCTGAGGCAGGAGAATCGCTTGAACCCAGGAGGTGGAGGTTGCAGTGAGCTGACATCACGCCACTGCACTCCAGCCTGGGCAACAGAGCAAGACTCCATCTTAAAAAATAACAGTAATAATGATAATAAAATAAATTTTAAAATAAAAAATAAATCAATGAAGTCAGGTATATGAGTCTGTTATACGCACACAGTGGTATGAGAAAGGAGACTGGGCAGTGCTAGGATGCACCACGGATAAAAACATGGAATTAAGTATATGAAAGAGGAAACGTTAGCCTTTGTTTAAGTCAGAATGGTGCTCAGTACGTTCGACTCATTTCTAAATATTCGAAAAAGGCAACATCCAGCAGGGAGAGATCTAGTTTTCCCTGCAGTAAAGGAATACAGATTTCTGAACACACATGTCCAAGACTACTAGTGGAGTCTGTCAGTGTAAACAATGCGGCTGTGTCATCGGCCCCTGTACATCTGTGGGGTTTTCAAAGCACGACTGTCGAGGCTTCCAAAATGTTCCCCAAAAGGATCATAAAACATCACCTAGAACTTCCAGTACCTCTGACCAAGACACTGAGTAATAAACTAAAAGTGAATAATCTAGCCAGGCACAGTGGCTCAGACCCATAATCCCAGCACTTTGGGAGGCCGAGGCGGGCAGATCACTTGGGGCCAGGAGTTCGAGACCAGCCTGGCCAACATGGCAAAATGCTGTCTCTACTAAAAACACAAAAATTAGCTGGGCATGGTGGCCAGCACCTGTAATACCAGCACTTTGGGAAGCCCAGGAGAGCGGATCATTTGGGATCAGGAGTTTGAGGACAGCCTGGCCAACATGGCAAAACCTCGTCTCTACTAAAAATACAAAAATTAGCCAAGCGTGGTGGCATGCGCCTCTAATCCCGAGGCTGAGGCAGGAGATTCCCTTGAACCCTGGAGGGGGAGGCTGCAGTGAGCCGAGATGGCGCCACTGCACTCCAGCCTGGGCAACAGAGCAAGACTCTGTCTCAAAAAAAAAAAAAAAAAAAAAAAAGCGCATGGTCTAGCCCAAGTTATCGATGTCACCGGTCGAGAGTGAACGGCAAAATGCCTCTGGAACACACAGACCCTGCACAGAGTCCCGAGCCACCCCAGGAGGGCGGGAGAGAAGCATGACCACGAGTGGAGGGGCAGCGGGCAGGAAACTGAAGCTATTCGCAGAAGCAGCTGATGAGCAGAAAGACTGAACAGCTTTCCAAGGACCTACTTCCTTTCCAAGGAAGAAAACACGTGGCTAACTGGAGAGGCGCAGGATCCTCAGCAACAAGGAACCAAGCACCTTCTCAGCCAGGGACCCAGGACCCTCTTCTCCACCAGGCACCTTCTCAGCCAGGGACCCAGGACCCTCTTCTCCACCAGGCACCTTCTCAGCCAGGGACCCAGGACCCTCTTCCCCACACCAGGCACCTTCTCAGCCAGGGACCCAGGACCCTCTTCCCCACCAGGCACCTTCTCAGCCAGGGACCCATGACCCTCTTCCCCACCAGGCACCTTCTCAGCCAGGGACCCAGGACCCTCTTCCCCACCAGGCACCTTCTCGCCAGGGACCCAGGACCCTCTTCCCCACCAGGCACCTTCTCAGCCAGGGACCCAGGACCCTCTTCCCCGGACCCTCTTCTGACCGAGGTTTCTTCATTACAGGATCAGGGCCACTGAAACAGCAAAAGCCTCTAGTGAGCTCCCGATCAGGCCTCAGGCCTTGGTGTACAGAGAGGCGCAGGCCCAAGCGCTCCCCGCATTCATCATCAGTAAGCCACAGAACAGACGGCTTCGCCCCTCGTCCCCGGCTCCTGGACCCAGTGCTGTTGGTTGACAAGGGCCCTCCAGGGGCCTCCAATCATGGGAATAAACTACTGCCAAGTCCAGTGGGCCTCGCAAAGTGCTGCCACATGACACAGCCAAGGTTTCCTTACTGCCAAGGTTTCGTTACAGCCAGGTCAAAACAAAACTAAGACGAGGGGCCTCCCAGGCGGCCCAAGGGGACCACGACACCCATCCACTGTTCTCAGGTTCCTGAGTGCCATTCTGACTTTTTCATTTATCCCTTTTCTACACTTCCCATTCTCGTGTGCACTCCATCTACTGCACACGCGAGGTGAACCTCCCAGAGAAATTAAGCGCCACCACTGGCAATGAGAACTCCTCAGGACACCCCCAACAGGTGGCAGCAGGCACAGGACACACCCGTGCCCCCTCCACGGCCCCCACGCCCCCACCAGGGCCCACACGCCTTCCTCCACAGCCCCCATACCCCCTCCACCACCCCCACCCCTCCCTCCACGGCTCTCACGTCCCCTCCACGGTTCCGACACCCCCACCACGGGCCGCACCCCTTTCTCCTTAGCCCCCACCACTCCCTCCACGGTTCTCACGCCCCGTCCACGCCCCCCACGCCCCCACCACGACCCGCACACCTTTCTCCATGGCCCCCATACCCCCTCCACAGTTCTCACGCCCCCTCCACGAACCCCACGCCCCCTCTGTGGTTCCACACATCCCCTCCATGGCCCCCAAACTCCCTCTCCACAGCTCCCATCCCCCACCCCCCCTACAGTTGGGACCTGGCGTAGGTGGCTTTTGATGTTTCGGTGGCCCTGATCCTGAAACGGAAGAACTCGGCTAGAGAAGTGTCCGGGGAGGGGGCTCCAGCTCCCTGGTTGAGGAAATGCCTGGTTCCGTGGCTCCCATGCCACACAGGGAGAAAGTCTGCAAGAAAAAGCACTTCTGCTCCTCAGTCCCCACCAATCTGACAGCCCCTGGGTGGCAGTGCTCACCGGGCACTTTATTAGAATTGAAGGAAAGAGAACGGTGCTGATTTGAGCATGGCGTGGCCCTGCATAGATGGCTGCCTCTAACCCTGACCGCAGTGCCGAGGGCACACACCAGAGAGGGAAGGCTGGCTCAGAAAGGCCTGGCAGCGGCCCTGTGCAGAGGGAGCAGGATCTCCAACACTCACCCCATGCTCTCCGGGTGCACGGAAGCACGTGCCAGGAGGAGGCAGCCGGGTCCGAGCAGCCCTAGAGAAGGCGCACGTCGCTCCCAACCCCACGAGTGTGCACACGCGTGCCACAGACGGTGACTATGGCTGCTCTGTCCTCGGCTCAAACACACCAGGGGCTCCCGGGTTCCTTTCTAAGCAGGACCTTCCTAGATGTGTCTTGGAAACACAAACATGGATTAGGTCTTGGGTGACTTCACTGCGTCCCAAGCTGGCCCTGGCCTGGCTGGTGCCGCACACCGCCGACAAGCATGTTTCACACGGGGCCCAGGGAGTGGCAGACTTGCACTGTCTGAAGTCCCTGAGGCAACATCTTCAACACACACAACCGCCCTCAAAAGCACAGAAATGCGGTGAGGGCACTTTGTATAAAGTTACTCCCCTTTCACTTAAAATATTTTTTATTACTGTAGTAAAATATACATAACAAAAAAGTCTGCAGCCACGCAGCCACGCTGAGGCGCTCCCCTTCCGCGCTTACGGCTGCTCTGGGGCTGCCTATTCGTCATGTTTTCGGTTTTCCATGGGTGTTTAAAGCACTTCATTCTCAGTGCACATTTGTGCCTCTTTTCTTCTTTGAAAAATAAACAGGACCCCAGGAGCGCCCTGCTGGCTGTCACTCCAGGAGGGGCAATGGGCAGCAAGCATGGGTCTGCGCCCAGCTCTGGTGATGCTGAAGAACCGGGCCCTGCATGTAGGGTGCCACTGCACTGCCCCCCCCCCGGGAGCTGTACCCCCATGGGAGCGGTTGCCTCACTCCTCCTCCCAGGCAGCCCACCTGCAGGAGGTAGCGCCGGCCCCGGTGCCAGGACCCTCGTGGCCCCCTGTGCACTGACAGTGCATCCTCCGGCCAGTTTCCTGAGCTGCTATTCCTACAAAGCGGCCCTTCCAAAAACCAACTTCCTCCTGAAACGCATCCCCATGCTCTCTCTGCAAGACACTTTTCTTGCCTAACTTCGTAAGTGTTTAGAATAAAGATTTTTCTCATTTCTGCCCCTCTATATTGGGCTTCGTAAAAGCCATTATTTCTTTCCACCCATAACGGATACAGTTTAGTTAATTCCGTGAACAGGAAGGGGTGTCTGCCCACCTGGCCTCTCTGGGTTTCTAAGGGAAGGTTGGGGGCCCTTGCTTGGGGATTGGGGGGCTGTGGTGTTTTGCTGGGCTGGGCTTTGTTGAACACACAGGGTGGCTGCAGGCAGGTCCCCACTCTGCACAGTTGCTGGACCCGTCTGCAGTCAAGTTCACGGCACATCCTGAGCTCAACACCGGGGGCTCACCTGCATATTAACAGGGAGTGAGAAGTGAATGAACAGGTAATTGCAAGCATCACATTCGTCAGTGACATCTCTGATTCAACTTTAGGCTGACAAGGAAGGGGGATGGGAGGTGAGGGAGGAGGGAGGAAATGGCACTACTTTTATAAAGGTTAAGAAAAGGTAAAAGTTCCACAATATTAAGATTATACAGGGAAGAAAGCTTGATGCTTTTTTTAGAAGACGAATTCAGTTAAGCGACCATAATTCTAAGGAGCCTCAGGAATAAAACTTCTCACCTCCCAACCTACAAACGGCATCAGAACCACCAGAAAGAGGCCCTTTAATGAACAATTGCATGTACAGAGACTTGTATGAGGACTTTTATCTCGTTCTACATTTTTCAACCTTATCACAATGATTTCCTTTCTAATGGATGAGAGCTGGACTTTTCAAGATTTTCCAGTTCTATGACTGACAATTTTACCCACACATGTCATTTTCATCATGCAGCCAAACATCTTAAATATTTTATTCTATAATTTCGGCAACCATCATGATGGTTCCCACAGGATGTGGTATAATTTCGGCAACCACATCCTTCCCACAGGAAAAAACCTGCCAAGGGCATGGGGAACCCGTTAACACCCCAAATTCTCACTGGACTGATCTCTCGGCGCTGGCTGACCGGACACCTGCTGCCCTGAGACCAGAACCCATCGCTGGAGTCCCTGCCACCTGGGCAGGACCATGCCCCGCCCCTCTGAAGGCTCCGTCATCCATGTGGACTCTGCTCCTGGGACACAGCCACCGTGGGACGAGCCTGCAGCCCCTCTCATTTCAGCCACATCAGCTCAGGTCAGACACGTGCACAAAATTCACACTTCTTCCAGGCACCCCACCACGATCATAGAACAGGAAGAATCTTTGAAGAGACGTGGCATGTCCATGCACCACACCCAGGCCGGTTTAGTAACCCGTGGATGATTCTTACGTGCCTTACACCCGCTTTGCTTTTCCAATACATTGTATGTTTGCAGGAGTGAAGGCACCGAACAGCAAGCAAGGGAGGCAACTTGCAGGTACACCAGCACAGGCCCGCACACGCTCTGCCATTGACCTGCTGCAGACGCAGATGAGATCAATTCTGTGTGTCGTGGTAGGTTTATAAAATACAAATTGTTTTAATATATTTTATCCCAGATTTGCCAAGAAAAAAGAAAAAAAAAGTCACTCAGTCACACAAAAGCACACCAACTATATAACGTGATTTTCTTTTTTCAGAGGATTACTAAGCTGGTAATGTAGGAGACCGAAGCATGCATGGACTTGGTCTCTCCCTGACAGTCTTGGGGACAGGAAGGAGAACACGGCTGGCTTTAGTGCACAGAGGTCAGCTGGGAGCAGGCCCAATGCCTCTGCCCAGGAGTGGCCATTCCTGAATCTGACATGGACAGGAGACAGGGAAATACTGGATAGAACAGGGCAGTTCCCTGGCAAAGGCCCCACCCTCGAGCTTGGAAACCTGCGGCCCTAAATGGGAACAGGTATTCCTGTTTTCAAACTCAAGTGTTGCTTTTGGCCCGCCATGCCTCCCTATCCTGTACCCGTAGAAACCCCAAACCCCAGGCTCCAAGAGCAGAAGAGCAGAAGACTGGCAGAGTGGCAGAACGGCACGGCAGAGAAGAAAAGAGAAGGAGCATCTGAACATCGAGAGGAGTATGGCTGCGGACAGTCAGAGAGGAGGTCGGCCGTGGGACAGCTGAACTCCAGGGGAAGATCATCTTCCCACTCCATCCCCTTTCCAGCTCCTCATGCATCCCCCTGAGAACCACCTCCACCACTCAATGAAATCCCTGCAATCACCATCCTTCAAAGCCTGTATGACCCGATTCTTCCTGGACACCAGACAAGGACCCAGGTACCAAGATGGCAGGGTGTAAAAGGCTGTCACCCTGACTCTCCACTGAGCTGGTTGAACACTTAGCCATCCACAGATAGCAACTGCTAAAACAGCATTAATTGTCTAGACACTACCATGGGGCCAACGCCCAAAAGCACTCACCCAGCTCCTGCACCTGCCAATCTGCTTGCTACCCCTCCTGTAAGGAGTTTGAGCGCAAATAAGCCACGCCCCTGTTGCAAGTCCCGCGAGGGGTCAGGGAACTCTCCTGTTTCAGATCCACAAGGAGGAAGGTCTCAGAGGTTGCTGCAGTGCCCGACCTCCCATGAGCCATCATGTACATTGATGACCCAGATGGAGAAAGGGAACCGGACAAGCTTATTGGAGCAGGGCTGACACTCAGAGATGAGGGAGACCAAAGCAGCACAGAGACTCAGAAGTTTTCGATGAGATGCAACAAAGGCTTGAAACTAACAAGATGAAATCCCGTAAGGAAAAACAAAGTGCAAGAAGAGAAAGTTCTGGCCACGGAAAAGACCCCAAGCTCCTAGGAGACCATGGGCTCAGTGTGAGTTACTCGGCTCAGGGTTGAGATCAAACAGAAGCATCCTCAGCAACAGCCGGGGAAGGAAGGCCCACGACGGGGCTGGCCAAGGGTCCTCTCTTCACACTGGGCGGCAGGAGCCCAGCCTGGGCTCTGAACCATACATGGAAGAGCAGCAAATGAACCATACATGGAAGAGGAGCAAATGAACAAGAGTGAGCGGGTCCAGAACAGGCCCGGGGGAGGCTTCTGGGAACCAAGTAATACGAGAATGACTGCAAGAATGTGGACTGTTCCACCCAAAACAGGCGGCTGGTGGGTTGGGCTGCCACAAACCCCGATGTTACTCGGTGAGCACTGAATGGATGCAGGAAAATCAGTTCATCCATGACAGCCTTGCAGGTGGCATCTGAGAATCATCTGTCAAGGTCACGAGCCACAGCTGGCAACAACTGGTCAAGGCCAGAACCTGGCCTAAAGTCCCGGCTTCTGAGGGAGTGGCCTGCACATTCTCCAAAAAAAAAAAAAAAATCTCTGGGTGATTCTAACTGCAGCCAAGATTGAGGAGGGCTGGGTAAGATAGGACAAATAAACAGAAATCAATGAGAATGAGATTTCAGGGGAGGCCAAGGGAGAAGCCTTCAGCTGAGAAACAGCTGCCTTATAAACAGTGCATCCCTCACCAATGAGAGGGGCAGGCAGAAAGCAGGAGGCAGCTCTCGGGAATTCTGCAGGGACAGACCTTCCATCCGCACGCACATGGAGGCATGATCTCCCCCCGTCAATTCTAAGGTTCTAAGTTTCGTGTACGGAAACGACCCAAAAATTGCTAACTAGACAGGAGTAATTCATTTCTTATGTACTCTTCAATGTCATTTTTTGTTCTGTTCAATTCCTTGTGACTTAGTTGATTTTTGCAGAGTTATTTTTAAGCAGTACAAAGTAGAAACACACTTCTTGAAACAAAAATGCTTTGTCATTTCTTAATCTCTACCTTTAAAAATAGCAAGCAGCTATTTCACTCTGAGGAGCGCTTACACAGCCATCACTGCCCGCAACCCTGGGACCTGAGGGGGAGATGGGTGAGTCTGGAGAAAAGGCTGTTTCCTAAGAGTCTCGTTGCTAGTCCTGCTCGGTCACATGACCTCACCTGTGGTCCCGAGCGATAGTGGGCAGCACGCAGTTTTATTACATGAGGCAGTATGTCTCCCGGTTCACGCTTATTATAGCAATAATTCCAGAGCTTCTCACTCTTGGTTAAAACAGAACAGAAACACAAATGCAATACCAAGCACAAAACCACGAACATCTTTGAGTAACTGGGCTCTTCCTCCTACACAAAACGTCCTGACGGGTCCCTCAGAGTGAATCTATGGTCACGACCCGGACCCCGGAGGCCTGTGCATTGAGTATGCGCTAAGGTTTTTAATACAACTGGCTTCTTTCCATTGTCTCCCAAATATCCCACCCCAGGTAGTTGGGTACTGAACACAAACTGGTCATTTTGATATGAGAATGAGCAAATCTACCAGAAAATTACGAGCCATGTATGTCTGTAATGAAATCCACAAGGAACCATGACTGCAGTTTCTCCAGCCCCATGGCACACCTGTGTCAGGGTTTACACCAGTGGCTTTAACAATACAGCCCAACACACACACCTGTTGCGGGGTGGAGCAGGTCACCCAGGGAGGCCAGTCCCAAGCCAGGAAGCAGCAGTGATGTGCCCAAGACGGCACCTGTCTCAGATGCATCCCAGCTCACCAAGGACCAGGGGATTCCAGGGAAGCACCAGGCAGGCCTTGGGTCGACGGCCAAGCAGCCCAGCTGCCAGCACCACCCACAAGTCTCCAAGTCTCCGAGGAAACGAGGGGCACAGAGCAACCCGGGTCCCGCAGGCAGGAGGCCCATGTGGACGTCGGTCATTATCCTTTGGAGAGGAGAAGCTGGGTTTGCCAACTCAGCCTGAGCACTGCATTCCCCAGCCAGAAGCACCGAGCGGCGGTGTGATAAACACATGACACTTTCCGGGTTCACTGGGTGCCTGGAACCATGCCAGGAACTTCACATCCATGACCTGCCCCTCGGAAAAGGTCTAGGGAGGGAAGGTCACCGTCCCATTTTGTAGATACGAAACCTGAGGCACAAAGCAGCTTATCTAAGGCCATCAGGCTGAGAGCTCAAGCCAGCTTCAAATGCCTCTATCTCAGCTCACACCCCACAGCGCTGAGCTCATTGACACTGGCAGGTGTTCCCAGATCCCAGGAGGGCCACGAGGGAAGGAACCCAGGCACAGCAGGTACGGAAGGTGGGGACACCAGGGGTCCACAGGAGGACAGAGATTGCACAAAGAAATCATTAAGGAGGGCTGCGAGATTTCGAAAAGAAAAGAGAAAATGATATGAAGAGTCTGCACTTTAGGAAACACGCTACAGGGTGAGTAAGTGTGAGCGTAAGGGCTCTGGCCGAGGAGGGTACTACCATAAGCACAAGCCAAACCACAACCCTAATCCCAGCACAAACCCTAGCCATAGCAGTAGCAATACACCTAACCCTAACCTAACAACTAACATGAACACCTGATCCCAATCCTAACCCCCTCAACCCTAACCGTGAACCAACCATAACCCTAAACCTAACCGCTAACCATAACCACTAACTCTAACACTATTAACCCTAATCCAACTCTAACCCTAACCCCTTACCCAACTCTAACCCTACCCCTACACCTAACCCAACTCTAAACCTAACCCAAACACCTAACCCTAACCCAACTCTAACCCTAACCGCTCCCTCTGTCGCTGTGGACTTGCCCGCAGCCAGGTCCTCCTGCAAACCTGCACAGCCCCATCCCAGACACGTGACTAGGACAGGGGTCCCCAAACATGATGTACTGGCATCCTGGTAGCCTGGGCAATCACACCAGCCCTACAGAACCTGTACTAAAATACCAAATTAGAAACAGGGACTTCCACAGGTGCCCAGGCAACCAGGTGGAAAACTGCAGACACAGAGGTCTCAGTCATCCCATGGCCCCAGCCTCATTGTGTGCTTTGGGGATAAGGCTGTTGTCTCAGCCTCGCCCTGAAGGCCGGAGACCCCATCAGACAGAGACAGGCAGAGCCAGCAGGAGGAGGCCGGGCAGGTAGGCCCACAGCAGAGAGGCCACGAGAGCAGGGGAACGTGACACTCAAAGGGAGAGGGACGGCGAGGCAAACAACACCACGGTCCTCTCTGCCGCGGCTCACAACGCCGCCCCTGGCTTCCGGGGAGCACACAGCTGAAGAAGAGCCTCATTTCCGCCACCAGCGACGCCAGTCAAACCAGGAAGCCAGCGCAGACTCGGCCACTGGACCAAAGAAACACAGTACGGCCAAGGGACAGGCCTTACATCCAGGGCTCAGGGTGGCCTTTTCCTCACTGTCCCCATGAAAATGAGAAGACTTCACAGAAAGGGAAAGAAGCATCTTTTGACATAGGGAAAAAGACTCTAGGTTCCTAAATAGATGTAAGACCACAGGGAGTGTCACTAATAACAGGTTATAGTTTTACAATCTTCTGGTCAGCCACAGGCTCTAGGGTTGGCAAACGGGGCTCTTCACCCAGAAGGTGACATTCACAGGGCTCAAAATATGTCCCAGGCAACACAAGTCACCCAGGAAGTAGCGCAGCCTGGGAAGCCCTTTGCATGTTCAAGAGCAGAGACCAGGAAAGCAGGAGGCCAGCTGGGAAGGCAGGTGGGAAGGTAGGTGGCCAGGTGGGGGAAAGGTGGATGGGAAGGCAGGTGGCCACGTGGGGGAAAGGTGGATGGGAAGGCAGGTGGCCGGGTGGGGGAAGGGCAGGTGGGAAGACAAGTGGCCAGGTGGAGGGAGGGCAGGCGGGAAGGCAGGTGACCAGGTGGGGGAAAGGTGGATGGGAAGGCAGGTGACCAGGTGGGGGAAAGGTGGATGGGAAGGCAGGTGACCAGGTGGGGGAAAGGTGGATGGGAAGGCAGGTGACCAGGTGGGGGAAAGGTGGATGGGAAGGCAGGTGGCCAGGTGGGGGAAAGGCAGGTAGTCAGGTGGGAAGCCGGGAAGGCAGGTGGTCAGGTGGGGGGAAGGCAGGTGGTCAGGTGGGGGGAAGGCAGGTGGTCAGGTGGGGGGAAGGCAGGTGGTCAGGTGGGGGGAGGGCAGGTGGTCAGGTGGGGGGAAGGCAGGTGGTCAGGTGGGGGGAAGGCAGGTGGTCAGGTGGGGGGAGGGCAGGTGGTCAGGTGGGGGGAAGGCAGGTGGTCAGGTGGGGGGAAGGCAGGTGGTCAGGTGGGGGGAAGGCAGGTGGTCAGGTGGGGGGAGGGCAGGTGGTCAGGTGGGGGGAGGGCAGGTGGTCAGGTGGGGGGAAGGCAGGTGGTCAGGTGGGGGGAAGGCAGGTGGTCAGGTGGGGGCAGGGCGGGTGGTCAGGTGGGGGGAAGGCAGGTGGTCAGGTGGGGGGAGGGCAGGTAGTCAGGTGGGAAGCCGGGAAGGCAGGTGGTCAGGTGGGGGGAAGGCAGGTGGTCAGGTGGGGGGAAGGCAGGTGGTCAGGTGGGGGGAGGGCAGGTGGTCAGGTGGGGGGAAGGCAGGTGGTCAGGTGGGGGGAGGGCAGGTGGTCAGGTGGGGGGAAGGCAGGTGGTCAGGTGGGGGGAAGGCAGGTGGTCAGGTGGGAAGCCGGGAAGGCAGGTGGTCAGGTGGGGGCAGGGCGGGTGGTCAGGTGGGGGGAGGGCAGGTGGTCAGGTGGGGGGAAGGCAGGTGGTCAGGTGGGGGCAGGGCGGGTGGTCAGGTGGGGGGAAGGCAGGTGGTCAGGTGGGGGCAGGGCGGGTGGTCAGGTGGGGGGAGGGCAGGTGGTCAGGTGGGGGGAAGGCAGGTGGTCAGGTGGGGGCAGGGCGGGTGGTCAGGTGGGGGGAAGGCAGGTGGTCAGGTGGGGGGAAGGCAGGTGGTCAGGTGGGGGGAAGGCAGGTGGTCAGGTGGGGGCAGGGCGGGTGGTCAGGTGGGGGGAAGGCAGGTGGTCAGGTGGGGGGAAGGCAGGTGGTCAGGTGGGGGGAAGGCAGGTGGTCAGGTGGGGGCAGGGCGGGTGGTCAGGTGGGGGGAGGGCAGGTAGTCAGGTGGGAAGCCGGGAAGGCAGGTGGTCAGGTGGGGGGAAGGCAGGTGGTCAGGTGGGGGGAAGGCAGGTGGTCAGGTGGGGGGAGGGCAGGTGGTCAGGTGGGGGGAAGGCAGGTGGGGGGAAGGCAGGTGGTCAGGTGGGGGGAGGGCAGGTGGTCAGGTGGGGGGAAGGCAGGTGGTCAGGTGGGGGGAAGGCAGGTGGTCAGGTGGGAAGCCGGGAAGGCAGGTGGTCAGGTGGGGGCAGGGCGGGTGGTCAGGTGGGGGGAGGGCAGGTGGTCAGGTGGGGGGAAGGCAGGTGGTCAGGTGGGGGCAGGGCGGGTGGTCAGGTGGGGGGAGGGCAGGTAGTCAGGTGGGAAGCCGGGAAGGCAGGTGGTCAGGTGGGGGGAAGGCAGGTGGTCAGGTGGGGGGAAGGCAGGTGGTCAGGTGGGGGGAGGGCAGGTGGTCAGGTGGGGGGAAGGCAGGTGGTCAGGTGGGGGGAGGGCAGGTGGTCAGGTGGGGGGAAGGCAGGTGGTCAGGTGGGGGGAGGGCAGGTGGTCAGGTGGGGGGAAGGCAGGTGGTCAGGTGGGGGGAAGGCAGGTGGTCAGGTGGGAAGCCGGGAAGGCAGGTGGTCAGGTGGGGGCAGGGCGGGTGGTCAGGTGGGGGGAGGGCAGGTGGTCAGGTGGGGGGAAGGCAGGTGGTCAGGTGGGGGCAGGGCGGGTGGTCAGGTGGGGGGAAGGCAGGTGGTCAGGTGGGGGGAAGGCAGGTGGTCAGGTGGGGGCAGGGCGGGTGGTCAGGTGGGGGGAAGGCAGGTGGTCAGGTGGGGGGAAGGCAGGTGGTCAGGTGGGGGGAAGGCAGGTGGTCAGGTGGGGGCAGGGCGGGTGGTCAGGTGGGGGGAGGGCAGGTGGTCAGGTGGGGGGAAGGCAGGTGGTCAGGTGGGGGCAGGGCGGGTGGTCAGGTGGGGGGAAGGCGGGTGGTCAGGTGGGGGGAGGGCAGGTGGGAAGGCAGGTCAGAACACAGCCTCCAGGAGAGTGCTGTCCACACACAGAAACTCATTCATTGCCCAATCACCACACACGCCCTTTCTGACTGAACCACGGTTGACTGGAAGAACCGGATGATATCCCAGGTCTGCATTTTTCAAACTCAGTCCCGATTCCAACTCCTTCTGCTCTAACTAAACACATGAGTGAGCATTTGGTCATCTCAGGCCAGGCAGGAATATTGGAAACGGATGGAGCAAAGTCACAGACAAAGCCTGCATGCCTGCATGCCATGTTTTTAGGTTGTAAGGGAACAAATGTTAAACACAAGAAAGGGAATTTTGGCCCTAACCCAGCAGAGTGGGTTTCCCACACAGGCACTCCTGCTGCCGCAGGGCCTCTGCGCTCGCTGTTTCCCCCGCAATTCACAAGGCTGCACCCCGTCCTAAACGAGCATCTCCCAGACACCAAGAAAGCAAACCTTGTTTCACAGCTTTATCGCCACTATCTAGCGCATCTGGCTCCTGGGAGAGAGACCATCAACAAATATGCATTTATGGGATGAATGAGGTGAGTAGGAGTCATTTAATATCCAAGACTCACATGCAATGAGACAGTGCACAGGAAACTGCTAAAAAGCATGAAGCGCAAGATGAATTCGTTAATTCAGCAGGTATCTCTTAAGGACCTGCAAATAAGAACAGTAACGTTAAGCACAGGCAGCCTCAGGGGCAGGTACGGAATTCTGGCAGCACAGAGCACAGCTCTTAACCCAGTTACCAACCTCGAGTGGGTGCTGAGGTGGACATCCCAGAGCTACAGTCACTGGAGTCAGTGACCACGGACAGGCTGGAGGCCACGCATTCTAGATGAGGGAGTCTCTCTCCAAAACAAGACGCACCAGCACGTGCCGAGGAAATGAAACTCCAAATGACGGTAAGATAAAGCACTTCCCAAATGACGTCACCACCCTGGTCACACTGCAGCCGGCCGTGAGGGTGGGCCAGCCGCCCTGCAGGAGCCAAGTGTTTCAGGGACAGGACCCCGCTCCTCGTCCAGCTCCCCACACCGCGAGCTTCACCGTCCGGAAGTGCGCAAAGCTGCAAGTGAAAGAGGAAGCCCTGCCTTCTTCCCAGCATCCACGCTCCTGACCCAGAAGGTGATCCACGTACAACCTGAAGTATGAGATTTCATTAGCAGCCCATTCTCTTAATTAAAAGCCAGATGGAATATTTGAGGTGATGGCCTCGAATGGTAGATGGTGCTCAGGGCTGACAGCAAATAGGATATTCAGGTCACTGGTTCTCCCATCCCCAGTAGCTGTGATTAGGAGATGGTCACACCCCTCCTTCACTTTCTTCTTCTTAGATGTTCCCTCTTATTTAAAAAGAAAAATCTATGAAACTAGCCCCATACAAGTGTATGGGCATGGGGAACAAATAGGTATTTGTGATATAAAAGCAAACAGCCTCTATCCAAATGACACTGAGGATTTCAACCATATATGGCGCGCAGGGTCACCCTCTTCCCAAGGTGAAAATGCCCAGTGCCAGGAGCCCGACGCTGTCTCAGAACTCAGGGCCACTGCATTCAAAATCATTTCAAGATTTCAGCATTTACTTTTAATATTTGTGAATCTGTAGTAACTTTTATAACAGACATGACTAGTTAACAAAAAACTGGATTTGACAGCAAGAACATCACAGTCATCAACAGTGTTGCTCAGAAGAAGATCCATCTATCACTTTTAACCTGTCCTGAAAGGGGGAAACTTGATGAAATCAGGCGTCCAGATTTCATCACAATTTGAATTTCTAAGACAATCAAAATGCCAGAGACTAAGACAAAACTACATAGACATCTGGGGGGAAAAACAGCCCCTGGAAAGATATTCAAGCTGAAAGGATCTTGGCAGCAGGCAGAGTGGTTCTCCAAACTGTGGAGAAGAGAGGCCATTCCACTGAGAGTGAGAGGCCGGAGCACCGCTGTCAGACGATGTTTTTGGATATGATGTAGAAAATGCACGAGGAAAAGTTGTAGCTATAATATCCACGGGGGCTTTTCCATGAAAAAACAAGACATAAGCTGCCTGTGCAAGGGGAGCCAAAGAAATGCTGAAAACCACTGCCACAGGCTGGTGTGATCTGGAAGTTCTCCTCCTGAAACACAAAAAAATAACCCAGACAGACTCAGTGCTTCAGAGGGACACAAGGAGCACAGAAAAGCCGGGGGACACATAATTGCTTTCAGAGGCTACGCAGTTCAGAAGCAGGTGCAGCCCATCAGGAAGCCACAAGCCCCTCCAGAGGCACCGAGTCGGGGAGACCCAAGCCCCAAACACCAAGGCCATGGAGTAGGAAAGTGACAGCGTGGGTCTTGCCCTCATTCTCATCAAAGGGCAGCCCTGGGCTTTCATACAGAATAATAAACGCTGCTGCCAATCGTCCAGCTCAGTCCTATGGCCAGAAAAGTTTCTTCTAAAGAAATGTCTTCAAGAATGATTCTTATCATGACACATACAATGTGAACTACAAAAAAAAAGAAAAAAAAATCTGAATGACAAGAAAATGCCAGGACTAGAGCAACATGGAACTGAATGGTATTATAAAATTTTGATAAATTATACCCCAAGATGTTTATTCTACTTTTTCTGGATGACTGAGTACACGTTTTCATTTTAAGTGATAATCTACTAACATAAACAACTTGCGAAAGTATGTTATCTGTGTTAACAGAAAATTACATAAATATCTTAGTACTCTGGACACGATATTTTATTTTTGAGACAAGGTCTTGCTCTGTCACCCGGGCTGGAGTGCACTGGTGCAATCACAGCTCACTGCAGCCTCAACCTCCCAGGTTCAAGCCCTCCTCCCACCTCAACCTCCTGAGTAGCTGGCTCTACAGGCGTGTGCTACCATGCTTGGCTACTTTTTTAAAAACTTTTTGTAGAGATGGGTCTCACTCTGTTGCCAGGCTGTTCTGAAATTCCTGGGCTCAAGTGATCCTCCCTGGCATCTCCAAGTGCTAGGATTACAGACATGAGCCACTGCGCCCCCAGCCTTGGAAGCTGTATTTTGATGTCCGAACAAAAACAGTCCCAAATTAAATATAGAATTTCTGACTAGACAAATTATTCGTGTTACTTTTTAAATCAGTGAGTACAGAATCAACAACTTAAAGGTTAATCAAATACCTCTAGCTTCCATGACAGCTTTCGGTTAAACAGCAGTTTATCCGGCATAAAACATAATCAGGTTCCAGAAACCTGGAATTTACTAACTGCTTCCTATTGACTCAACCATAAAGAAGCGTCGCTCAGGTTTGGTTTTTCTGTTGTGAATCAAATGCTGAAGTGAATCGAATTCAAGTTGGCTTTCACGGCTACTCTACACCTTACACACCTTCCTTCGTCCCCAGATCCTAACAGCCAACCAAAACACATCCACTGGAGAAAATACAATCAATATATTCTTTTATTATTTTTTAAAACATGGCAAACCATACTTTAATCAGAGAGCAATGAAGATTTCCACTTACAAATTTATCCAAGTTGGCAAAAAATAATTAGCTAACACGAATCTTTCCTTGTATGACGCAGCTGTCTGAAGCAGATGCCAGCTAGCACAAAGGCCGTACATGAAGTCTTATCAAGAATGGTGGCGGGGACTGTCGGGAAGAAGGTGCTGACGCCGCTGGTAGATGTTAGAATGAAAATAAGGAAGCTTAGAGTAAGGAGGAGAGCAGGAAAGCCAGGCCCATAACACTAGTTATGAAGGAATGGGGGCCTTTCTGAAGGAATGGGGGCCTGGAATCTTCCAACAGGAGTCACAAAGAATACAATTAAACCACTTGTGTGTTTTCTCCTACACAAAGTGTTTTAAGAGGCATAGGAGGGAGTAAGTCTCAGGAAGAGAAATAACACTGTACACTTCTCCGACTTAAAGCCAACTAATATACACACAAACTAGCTAGCACCTGCATGGCTTTCTACAACTTTTTCTATTGCGATGCATAAATGTCCAAAAACACAGAATCCAAATTCCGTGTCTTTTACAAAGAAACTGTAATGAGTCTTTAAAAAAAAAAATCAGGATCACTTATTAGTAGAGTCTTCAGATTTAAAATCAGGCATGTGTCTGACTTACGGAACAAAGGCCATTTCATAACACAAGCGGTCTCTGTCCTCCGTGACAGAGGAAGGCGGATTTCCCCGAGGCATCCTGGCAGCCCGCGCAATGCATGGAAGCTACCACTAGATGGCACCTGCGCCCAAGCTATAGCCCGACTCCCTCCTGGTGCTGGTGCTACGCGTGTGGTCCCCGTACATGGAAGAGCCATCCACTTTTCAACAACAGGCATTTATCTGCAAAAGACTTACACCAAGAGCTTGCCTTAAAAGATCATCAGGACAAATGCAAAATGCACATGTCTTATGAAGCACAGCACTGTCAGTATAGCAATGCATCCTTTTGATCTGCATCTTACATTTCAGTTTGCACCTTCAACAATATTTTCAGAGGCTAAAAATGCAGAGGGCTTTAAATTAATAATATATTTGCATTTTGGCATAGACGGAATTAAGCAAACTATGTCCATGAACATTACATGTGGGGGATTATATATATAGTCAGCATATCCAACTTCAAAAATGTCCAACCTTGCAAAAACTTACTCAAATGTAATGAGTTAGCAATTGACTTAAAGTATGTTAGTCATTTAGTAACTGACTTGAAAATGCTCTCCATGCTGGCTTCAAGGCAGCTCATCTCAGCGAAAGCCTGGGTGCGTTCTAAGCGCTAGAGAGGAGGTTCAGGAAAACAGCACCTAAGTTGTCTTCTGTCACCTCTAGACTCGAGGTCCACAGGTCTGACTTCTAGCCCCAGGGCCCCCCTGATACTGTATAAGTCGGGAAACACTCTCATCCCTTGAACATAGCTCTGGGTGACATCGTCCATTCAATACCGGTCCCAGGTGGTCACCACCTGCAGGAGGAGACCCAGCCACCAGCCCTCACCATGTTTCTGCTTGGAACCAGCAATAATCACTTAAGATTGTGAGTGACATGTGGATGAAATGGAAACTGCTAAGATACCTGGCTCTTTGGCCTAGTTTGGTCTCCCAGTGGGGTGGTTTCAAGGGTAAGGATGTGCCTCTCCCACCGTGGGATGAGCAGACCATCACCGCAGAGCAATCAGCCCTGCCCAAGGGCAGCAGCCCTTCTGAAAGTGGCCCTTCCTGCACACGCCCCCACTTTAGCAAACTCAGGCAGGAGGGTGTGAAAGGGCTGGAAATTCAGAGTGAGCAACTGGAAGGGGAGACAGATGGAGGGACAATTTCCCAAGAGGCCGACTTGGGGCAGAAGCCAGAGAGGGAAAAAGACAACCCCCAGGTCTGAGCCTAGGCCAGAGATGAACACAGGAGCAGGCGAGGCTCACGGTGTTCACGACACAATTTTCTAAGTCCTTTCACAGAGGTTTATGTTACAATTATTGTCATTCTTTGGGTACTGTGATGTGTGTCTTCTGGTAAGACGGACTGAATAATTTGAGAAACAGCTATTTCTGAGCACTTGGTAGGATTTGCTACCTAAACGCCCAGAAAGTTAAAACTTCATTATTTTAGGACACTAAATAAACAAATAAACATCCCAGCTTTCCCCATTAGACATTCTTACTCTTATCGTTCTGATGAATTCACAACCTGGCTGGTACTGACCCCGTACTTGGTTGAGTGTGGATTATAAAGCTATAAGCAGAGAGGGGTGACCAAATGGAATCAAACTACGTAGGCACGGCCTGTCTGGTTAGGAAGCTTGTCCACACAGAAAGCCAGGCAAAACTAAAGCATGTTATGGTTACACATATATAAACAAATGTGAAACATGTAGGTTTTCTACAGCTCCCACATGCAGAGTTCAAACTATTATGTAATATAAATATTGAGTCTCAGAAGTTCCAGTCCACCATGGATACCTAAGGAAAAGATCTGACATTTTACTTAAAAATTTCAGCAACTCTCCCCAAATCACAACACTATATTGTTCCTGAAATATCTCAGGCAGGCTTCCTTAATCACACTGTAAGTTGTAACAAAAGGGTTGTAATTATAGTGTCCATTAAAATGATGTAAACACAATATATATATATATACATTTCTCCTTCAGACTTCATTCCTTCGTTTTCCTCTTCTCTCCTATTTTTAAAAAGAGGAAATAACTGTATTTTCCTTTCCTGTACATCTTAACCCATTTATGCCTAGTGTTCCATTATTGGAACGCTAAGCTCATGGGAGTTATTTATATCCTACTGCTCAAGGTTGTCACCAAGGTCTGATTTTTCACTAAAAAAAGAAATTTGCAACCTCCGGCATAAATGGGTTAAGTTTTGTTCTTATAGTTCACCTTCAATTTATCTTTTTTTTTTTTTTTTTTGTGAACCAAAAAAAAGAATTTCAAGCCCCAATTGAACAATGCCTCAGACAAATCTCTGGAAAGCCCTAATTACTGCATTTATCTTCTCAACCACTCAGTCATATTTCTATTTTGAGAAGGAGTTACAAAATAATATCTCTGCAACTGTTTCGCAGGAGCTCGTTGACCAAGCTGGAGCCCTGGATCTATGAATTCAAAATTTTGAAAGCTAAGTAAGCTGTTTTCCATCAAGTACTACATCAAAAAGCTGGTCACAAGAGGCCAAGCCTAAGTCCGTCCCTCTCCGCCCACGGGCTTCTCCGAGGCCATCTCCGAAACGCCCTGCAGCTGCTGGCAGAGCCCGCATGGGCCCCTATGTGGCCCCTGGACAGACCGACGGCACTCCTGGGGCAAGGTGAGCCCGGAGCACAACCGGCCTCCCAGTCAGTTCCTTCCCGGGGCTCTCAGAGCCAACCACACCCCCGCGCCGCATCTCTCCACCACCAACCACACCCCCGCGCTCCATCTCTCCACCAACCACACCCCCGCGCCGCACCCCTCCACCACCAACCACACCCCCGCGCTCCATCTCTCCACCAACCACACCCCCGCGCCGCACCCCTCCACTACTGTTTATAGGCTCTCAAGAGGGACAGGGAAAACCAGTATTGTTTGAGTGCCAACTCTGCATAAACAATTTCCACAGAATGACTGCACATGCATGTGCGTGCCTATGTGCATGTGTGTACGCGCGTGTGTACACGTTTGTGTGTACACGTGCGCGCATGTGTGCACGTGAACGTGACCAGTGGTCTCTGCATCCCACAGGGAGGGGAGGGCTTCTCTGAAAAGAAATTGTATATGCACAAGCCTTAGCCCCGCGCCTTCTATTTGCTGAAGACATCGCCTCGGTCAACACCAATGAATTCATTTACTCTGTGAATACAAATCCCGCCAGTGGCCACAACAATCCCTCTTGCTGAGTTCAGCAGTGAACGAGGCACACACTGGGCTGTCCCGCGCAGCTGCCTCCAGAGAAGTCGAGAGTAAACCTGAAGAAAGGGTGCCCTCCCGTAACCTCCCAGAGCCACCACCCAGAGGACAGGAAGGGTCCCACAGGCCCCTTCAGCTTTACCATCCTAAGATGCCTAGGTCCGAGGACATTTCCTTTCATCCAAGCTACAGGCGTCCCACAGCTGAGAACCCGGACCTGTGTGACCTGTGACCCCCTCTGCCACCCACGTGACAGGACAGACCATGGACCAAGTGGCCCCTCAGGGACCCAGGCTGTCTGAGGCCCCTGCGGGGGACAGAGGAAGACGTTGCTTCTCCAAGAACACAACTTACACTCGGGCACTCACGGACAGTCGTGATTGCAAAACGGGAAGTGATCTGAAGAGTCGCAACAGATCTGAACGACTAAACTCCGCTCCTTAAACGAACTTCAGATCAGCGATGACTTGACAGGTCTGACTCTCACGTGATTTCTCCTCTCTGAACTAGAAGCGAGCTCCATCGGGCCGCTGCGCTTCTATCAGCTTGAGCTGATGCCCTCCGTGTTCCCACACTGGCAGCTGCCGTCTGCGCTCGCAGGACCACAAGTGATGAACTGATGCCCTCCGTGTTCCCATGCTGGCAGCTGCTGTCTGCGCTCGCAGGACAACAAGTGATCCACTGGTTGTGCCACAGAGTCGAAGCTAGTCGAAGCTACAGGGCTGAGAGCCAGAAGCCACCTGCAAAGGGAGACTGTGCTCACCTGCGCACCTTCCCAGTTGCTGCTGAGCCACCTGCCTGCCACCAGGCCAGAAACCACCAAAGGCGCCTGGCACTACTGTCATTTCCATTATCATCAATGGCTATGACTATTTCTCTGTAATTACCCATGTTTATCTACCCTGCGTTTACTATACATAGGAATAAAACACAACTGCTTAAACTATTCAAATCCACCTGGAAGTCCATACAACAGTACTATACTGGTGCACCCGTTAAGACACTTCCCTTGCCCAGGGCTGCCTGCACCTGTCTGCCTGACCTGGTTCATCTCTTCTCATACACATGCAGTCAGATGAGAAGCCACACACACAGGCACGCTGCAACGCACACCAACACAGGTACACATACAAAGCACAAGCATGTGGTCATGCATTCATGGACATACATACAACTGTACATGCACAGCCACACCTGGGGGGCACACACGGCACAGGCATGTGTGCAGTCACACACGCATTCGCACAACTCACAAGAGAATCGCAGTGTGGTCTGGGTTGGGAATCCAGGACTGCAGGGGTCAGCGACTGTACAATGAGATACAGAGCACCCAGCCCTGACCCTCACGTACCTCCTACAACCAAATACAAGATCTAGAGTTTCACACCCATGAATCCACCATTCTTTAAAGTGAGAAAACAGGCGCATGTTTGGAGGTAATTCTTAAAGCTGAGAGCATCCAATCTATATCCTTAATAACCTGAGTGAGAAATCACACACATACCACGAGCGAAACACATTACAAGGGCCTCACCTTCTCCTATTGACAGATTTCCATCAATTTCATGATCTATATGATGTATTCACATCAAAACTAAAAGATGCAGCTGCCAGTAATGAAATACTTATGATTTTTAAAATCTGGGGAACATGCATACCCCTGCAACAGTCTCGATGTCTACAAAAAGCACAGGTCCAAGGACTAAGCATCCTGCGGACAACGAGCACCGACCACCACTCCCTGTGGCCCCCACGTGGGTACCAGAGCAGCAGCGGACAGGCTGGCAGCCTGGGGCTCCTGTCCACTGGGCAGGGCTGGGGCAGAACTGGCCTCCCCACTCCACTCTGTGGCTCTCCAACACCCCTGGGGACTTAGCAGTCTCCAGTGACAAATGTTGCTGAAAAGTCACCAATCTCAAGCCCTGGGCAAAGGGAAGACCCTCGGAAGCAGGTGGTCCCACATGGTATCGCCCTCTTCCATGAACCCCAGAGCCAGGGGGGTCCCCAAGGACCTCACATGCAGCTCCACACACGCCTGGGGGAGACGACGTGATCCCACTCGCCCCACTCCAGCACTTCGTGCATGTGGACCGTGTGTATGTGTGAGTGCATATACTACGTGTAATGTGCATGTGTGTGAACGGCAGTTTTAGAGTATCTGTGTGAGTGTGGGGGTGAGTGAGCATGTGTGCACGTGTAAGAGTGTGCATGTGTGTGAGCAAGTTTGTGTTTGTGCATGTGAGCATGTAAGCATGTGTGCATGTGTGTGCATGTGACTGCACAAGTAATGTGTGTGAACATGTGTGAACGTGTGCATGTGTTTGTATGTTTGTGAGTATGTAATGAGTAAGCATGTGTGCATACTAGTGTATGTTTGTAAGTATGAGTGCACCTGTGTGAGGATGCATGTGCATGTGTACATGGGTGAGCGTGAGTTTGTGCCTGTGAGCATGAGTGTGAGCATGAGCATATGCACGTGTGCATGTGATCAGCATGTGCGTTGTGTGTGCATGAGCATATGAGCATCTTTGAGCATGAGTACATGTGTGAGCATATGTGTGCATGTTAGCATGTGTGCACGAGTTTGCATGTGTATCACTGTAACTGTGTGCATGTGTGAGCATCTGTCCATGTATGGTGAGCATGACTGTGAGTAGGAGCGTGTGTGTGTGGGGCCGTCCCTGCAGACAGGAGAGTCCTAAGCCACGGTCGATGGTCCCCCTACCCTCCTTGGTCCCCTCCCCACACATGCAGCAACCCAGGTATAAGCAGTACCCTGCCCTTTGCTCCCAGCAAAGACCTCAGGTGCTGGGCCCATTGCAGGCACAAGCTAGGCAGATACTCGCTTTCCTCAGCACCTGATGAACCAGCCTCCCGAGGCCAAGATAAGGACACACCCTGGAGGTCATCGGGAACACGGTTTCCAGGGAACAGGGTCTGCACTGGCACCACAAACCCAAGGGCCCCCCGAACTGTGCAGCCTCCCATCAGACAGACTGTGTCTTTTTTGAGACAGGGGTTTGACTCTTGCCCAGGCTGGAGTGCAGTGGTGCAATCATAGCTCACTGCGGGTGTCCTCGACTTCCTGGGCTCAAGCGATCCTCCCGCCTCAGCCTCCACCCCACACTGCACACACCCACCAGTGCTACCCGCATAGGACAGGACACTCAGGAAGGGCTCAGTGAGGCACCGACAGGGCGTGGGCAACGGCAGGAGACTCCGCAGTGCATCAGCATGAAGCAGCTGAGCACAGCCAGCAGGCAGCAGGCCCCAGCCCGGGAGGGGCGGCGTGGAGCTTGAAGGGCCTCCTTTCCTGGTTCCTGTCTTCCCTTCTACCCCTTTCACTTTCGGGGCACCCGGTTCTGTTGTGTTCTCATTGCGGTTCTGCTTGCGGTTCATTTAAGCACCACGGTGAAACATTCATCCCTTCAGAGACATCCACGGTCATCAGGCCTGCAGTATTTTTACCAAACGCCCCCGGTTGGTGACTCCGCTGACACACGCGTGATGAATGCGTGTGTTGTCCGAGACACAGAGCCACACCGTCACACTCAGCCTGATGACGGCTGCCCCTCCCCATACTTCAGTCAGGGTCAAAGGCGACTCACCTTCCTTTGGAATCCCGCCGCCCCGTCCCATGGGTGATGAGTCCATGCCAACCCCATCCGTCAGGGACCCACCTTGCATGGCGGCTTCTGCACGGACTGATCAGATCCACCTCTGATACACTGAACAACTCAGTCATGCCTGGCCCTCACACCAACATCCACACGGGAGGCGTGCTCAAGCGTCCTCAGCAGGCCCAGCTGTCATCAGACGACAGCGCACGCAGGTGAGGGGCCTCCTTCAGGGCAGATGGCACACGGGACACCCTGCAGCCCCTCCTCCGGAGGCACCGCCCGGCCTGCAACTCGCCCGCGCTGCCCAGACCCCAAACCTCTCTTTTACCCTGACTTCTTCACCACCAGGTGGCGCCTGTGCTGGATTTCTACTCTGAAGCCTCGTCCATCTACTTAGCCAATCTTCCTCTTAACAACAAAAACAAGGCCGGGCGCGGTGGCTCACGCCTGTAATCTCAGAACTCTGGGAGGCCGAGACAGGAGGATCACGAGATCAGGAGTTCAAGACCAGCCTGACCAACATGGTGAAACCCCGTCTCTACTAAAAATACAAAAATTAGCCGAGCATGGTGGTGCACGCCTGTAATCCCAGCTACTCAGGAGGCTGAGGCAGGAGAATCGCTTGAACCCGGGAGACGGAGGTTGCAGTGAGCCAGGATGGCATCACTGCACTCCAGCCTGGGTGACAGAGCGAGACTCTGTCTAAAAAGAAAAACAAAACAAAACAAACAAGAAACCATAAAGCCAGCGACAGCCGCGCTCCACATCTCCCCTAAATCTCCCCTTTCCTAAGCCTTCCTGGCTCTGCTGGCCTGTCTGCACGTTATCATGGGTTCCAGGCTTTCGCCAACACGTTCCTGTAGACCTAAGAGATGTCAAAGTTCCCAATAGTCAATAAAATTACCCTCTTTCTCACCATCACAGCAGGAAGTCCCCACAGAATCCACTGACGGCCCAGGAGTGCAGAGTCTTATCCTTCTCAGAGACAGACCCACACGAGCACCGCCTCTTTGAGAGTGGGAGACAGCAGCCGAGTGGCCGCATCTCAGTGTCCCCTGCCAGGCCGGAGTCCCCGTGCTCCTGCCTGGGGCTATCTTAGATTTGCTAACCCGGGGCACACAGTGCGTCTCCGTCCACTGTTGGGTGAGACCTCGCCCAGACAGAATCCAGGTTCTCTCGTGCACAGGCTGGGTGGACAGGTTAGAACGGCTCTGGATTCCTCCGCTACAAAATGAGTTAATTCTACTTTGTGAGGTGGATTCAAGGACACCCAGGGCAGGCATGGTGGCTGACACCTATCATCTCAACACTCTGGAAGGCCAAGGCAGCCTTCCAAAGGCCAAGGAGGATCACTTGAGTGCAAGAGTTCGAGAACAACCTGGGCAACAGAGACCCCATCTCCACAAAAATAAAATAATTAGCCAGGCATGGTGGTGTGCACCTGTTGTTTCAGCTACTCGAACAGCTGAGGTGAGAGGAACCCTTGAGCCCAGGAGATCAAGGTTGCAGTGAGCCAAGATCGTGCCACTGCACTCCAGCCTGAGCGACAGAGACCCTGTCTCATAACAAAGAAGAGGGGGGGAGTGGAGAGGAGGAAACCCAGTAGCGCAGGTTCAATGTCGGGACAGGGGCTCGGGCGGCAGCATCCATAATTACGAGGAGACGGGGCCATGTGATTGGAACCCCAGCCTTCCTGGCACAGACAACACCGCCCTCTGAACACAAGCCATGCCAATCCACTCGTCCACCACCAAGCATCATTCTAGCAACACTGCCATTTCCCCCTTAACTCTTTCATCCTTTCTGATGGTAAAACATGGATACAGAAAATACCCAACACGACATGCAGTTTAATCAGTTATTCGAAGGTGAACACCCTTATAGCTACAGCCCGCAAGAAACAGTCGTTGCCAGCCACCCAGACACCCCTCATGGGGCCCATGGGCTCAGAGCCCCGCCCAAGTTTCCACAGTGTTCACTTCCCTGCATTCCTCTATGCAGTTCAAACACGCAGCCCTCTGAGCTGCAGCCCAGCCAGGTCCTTCCCTGATGTGTCTGAGGGTCCCCGGTCCACAGGCTGGCCCACTGCCGGCTTCCCACCACCTGGATGATGCCAACTGCACCCTCTTGGTGCAGCCCGCGCTGCTTCTGTCCTCTGTAGTTTTGGCACGCTAGACATGCACCATTTTAAAAGGACCAGAAGGCTTTTTCCCATATGGTTCATGGGATGGCAAGGGAGGCAACAGTCTCCTCAAAAAATGAGATGAGGCTGCTACATTTGGGGAGGTGAGGAAGGACCCAGAGCCTTGGAGGGACAGAACTGGCAGGACCAGGAAAGTAGACCTTGCATGAACGTTTTTAATCGCACGTCACTATGACCTCCCCGCTGTTATTGGAAGGCTGAGTTCCTAGTGACACAATGACTGTTTCCAAGGTGGGTGAACTGATCCTCATCCAAGAGGTGCTGCAGGCTGGTGTGGACAGCAAGCTCCGAGGGGCTGCGGCGTGCGTCTCTCCTGACAGCGACACACTTGAGACCCTCCGGGAGTTCCAGCCGGGGTGAAACCAGTCACAAGGGAAAATAGCAAAAATTAAGAAGAAGTGCATGGCTCTGGTATAGCTCGGAAAGTACACTGTGAGGTTTAAGGGATGGTTTAAAAGGAACCAGGAGGTGAAAAACGTCTAAAGGCGGAAGGTGTCAATGTTTGTCATCCAACTAGGAAACTGAGGGCACATGGCTCCCAAGACTGTGTGAGACACTGGCACCCTAACACCAAGAAGAACATGACCGCTAACGACAGAAAGAGGCGTAAAAAGAGGCCTTTCCAAACTGACCCACGTGAATGTTTGCATAGTGACACGTTTGTGTTCGCTCGCTAATTCACAGAAAACAACTTCCACAAAGCTGTCCTTAGATTTCCAGTAATGTATCACCCTCAGTCGACAAACATTTTCCTATGAAATACTTAGCACCCACTTCTAGTCCTGTCTCCTGACACTGTGAAGTGAAGCTACCATGAAGCTGGGCTCAGGACACTGACGAGAGCGCTGCTAAATTGAGGCTCAGACTGAGGTTCCGCCCCCACTCAGAAGCCAAGCCAAAGATACGAAAAGTTAAATATATTCTTATCTATCTAACCTTCAGAAAACAAAGAAGCTATAAAAAAAATCATAAAAGTTTTACACTTGCAGAGAAACATACAGCAAATAACTAGACATAATCATTTATATATAAAATCTCCCTAATATAAGCAAATAAAAAATATTTACATAGCTAAAGTGGAAGAGCAGCAAGAGAACGATTCCAGGGAAATTGAGACTTTGCTTAAATGTGGTTGTGGATTCCACTTCCTCTGCACAGATATGTTTTGTACATTTATAGAAACTCTATTTTTATACAAATCAGGAACACCAGAGTTCTCTGATGACCAAATTTTCATTATCAAATTTAATCACAAAATATTCATTATTGAAATTAATTAAAATGTATTATCAAAATTAATCAAATTCGATTTCTTAACCTGACCTCCAAGAACACTGCAGGAAATGCTACCATTGTCACAACTAATTTGCCAATGGAAATTAAAAAGAAAAAATTCTAAGAAGCTGATTTTGAAGTTACAGTAAAAATTAGTGTTGCAAAAAAAGAAAACAAGCACTTACATTTCATTGAACTAGAGACTGAAGAACAATCACATGGTGGGCCAGACTGTTCTTCTGGTAGGAACGATATTAAAGTATACCAACTATTACACCAAAAATATGCTCAGTGGCCAGTCTGGATAACTCTTCACATCTGTGCTGGGCTCTCTGGATTTGCTACTTCACCATGAGCCCACCCTCCCTGTAGCTGGAGATGGTGGAAAACCGAGAGAGCTGCATTTCCCAGACTGCCTTGCAGCTAGGCTTTGCTACAAATTACATGTCCCCAAATTGGAGGCACCAGTGAGATCCAGACATTAGAGGTGGTATGGTTTGGCTGTGTCCCCACCCAAATCTCACCTTGAATTGTAGTAATCCCCATGTGTCAAGGGTGGGGCCAGGTGGAGATAACTGAATCATGGGGGCAGTTTCCCCCACACTGTTCTCATGGTAGTAAGTTTCACGAGATCTGATGGTTTTTATGAAGGGGAGTTCCCTTGCACACACTCTCTTGCCCACCGCCATGTAAGATGTGCCTTTGCTCTTCCTTCATCTTCCACCATCATTGTGAGGCCTCCCCAGCCATGGGGAGCTATGAGTCCACTAAGCCTCTTTCCTTTATAAATCACCCAGTCTTGGGTATGTCTTTGTTAGCAGCGTTAAAAACGGACTAATACAGGAGGCTCCCAGCTGCCAGTGCTGGCTGGCAAGGACAGGGAAGTATGAGGGCTCGCCACAGCTGGGTTCCTTCTCCAGGCCCCTGGTTGTCACAAAATAGTGGCAAAAGTGAGAGCTTCTTGATAGAGCTTCCTGATTCTCGGGTCAGGGCTTCAGGTATCCATTCTCTGGCTTCCAAGGTCTCAAGAAGCGGTTTTGACTGTGGCTTCTTCCTTTCAGCACAAAGAAAACAGCTCCTGAGATGGGTTGATTCTGTCATTCTGTCACTTTCTGGAGCCACTGGAGGAGGCCTTGCCTCGAACAGGTCCCGAAGCTCGCGCAGTGGTTCCGCAGTTCCCTACACAGCCTGCATTCCTGCTTCAGGTACCGAGACGCTTTTCTAACTACACTGAACTCTGACAGGTAAAATTTGCTTTTGGGGAGGAAAAACCCTATGATTTTTAAAAATTTCAATTTGTTTTGGTAGAATGGAAATCTTCCCCTTGCAAATTTATTTTGGGAATCAAAGAAAATAAACCATTCACTTGTGGGAGACTTGAGAGTCGGCTGGAGGAGAAAAAGAGAAATTTTACCACAGGATTCTTCCTCACCTCCTAGTGTTCACCATGCAGCCACAACACGCAACACACATCCAATCAGCAGCAATCTCCCGGGGGAGTTTTTCAAGATCTCAGGTTATAGCCAATTAAACACATCAAAGAGCAAACACCTACACACTCAACTTTCTAAATGAATACACAACAGTGTGCTCAGTCTGCCTTTCAATATATCAATGAGAAGAACTTGCATGTCCTAAAAGCAGATAAAACTTTCAGATTAAAGAAATAAAAGACCAGCTAGAATTCTAACACAGCTTTGCTGCTATGAAATGCTTCCATTTTCAGAAGCTGTGTTCTTAAGACAACTGAAAAGCACATGGAATCCCTGAGGTCAGGACTGTCTAACAGGTCCTCCTCCGGGATGGAAACGGTCTCTAAATCTGCCCTGTTCAACACGTAGCCTCTCATGGCCAGGGGCTACTCACGAAGGACTGTGCAGCCTTGAGTGTCACAATCCTGTCATTCTGGATGAAATGGGTGTCGTGTACCTTTCGCAATACCCCAGAGACAAAATGCCTCACTGCACCCCAGCTACACACAGTGCAGATTCTACATCAACAGCCTCCAAAATACACTCAGTTCCACTGAACATCCTGCACTGGAGACAAGAACATTTCCAAGCATTTCAGCAAGTCGCGGCTTCAACAAAAATATTTCTTAACCACAGGTAATTCTAAGGTTGGATTCTTCACTTAGGATCACTGACATCAGAGTTAATAGACAAGACACTATTCCATGGCATTCAGAGGAGAGCAGCAAAGGTGGGGAACAAAGCAAAATTAAAACTATAAAATACTTAAAAGTTACAAAATACGCCAAAAGCATGGAAGGATGTGTTGAAAACACCACAAAAAACTTCTGAAACACAAAAGCCCAAAGCATCAAACTCAACAAGTCCTAAAATTACCGCTTGACTACGGAGAGGGCTCAGAAGGCTCCAAAGACCTGAAACCTCATCTTGACCTTCCTTTTTCATCCACAAAATGAGGAGGTGGATGGGACAGTCTCTGCCAGGAGCCCTCTGCACTCAGGCAGTGGGGAGACAGTGCCTGAAAACGTGTACCACCCCTCCAGCATAAAGCAGTTTTTAAAATATTTAAAATACCACTTTTTATTATCACATACTTAGATAAGAAAACTAGCAAAGCACATAGGTCATCTTAACCTTAAAATACTCTTAAAATAAAAACATCTGAACATTCAAAGGAGTCAACCCGAGATGATCCCAGATCATAAAACGTATCCTCTCCAAGACCGTGTGGGTGTGTATTCCAGATTTTTTAATGACCTCGGCAAAATGCAAGAGCAGCCCAGAGACCACCATGTAGATGGTAAATAGTGGCATTGTTGCAGCTGAATGTCAAAAACTATTTTCAGAGGAAGCGGCACTAATGATTCACAGCTCCCTGATGAGGCTGCATTCCTAAGTCCGGGACCAAGACCAGCGAAGGTCGCCGTGCTGACTGCTGCTGCACTTCCAGGGGAGAACACCCTGGCGATGCTCTCCTTCCTCACTGGGGACAGAGGGGACGTACACGGCACCCAAAGGGACGGCCTGAAACAGGAAAACCTGAAAACAGCCCTGACTCTGGGTGGGCCACTCCAGCCCAAGGCTCTCCTCCCCTCCTGGGAGGGCCATTCCTACTCTTAGCTTAGTCCTACTGCACACAGGCGTGACCCCAAACACTGCCTCCACTCACCTGGGGACCGACGGGAGCCCACACACTCTACGAACCCACCTGGCGATCAGCAGGGCCAGCCTTAGGAAGACAATGGCCATGGAGACTGACCTCATTTCTTCCTCAAGGACTGCAATGCACTGGGTAATAGAGGAAGGGAGGGGAGGCCGGAGGATAAGGACACACCGTGCCTCCTGATGTGGAAGCAGGAAGTCAAGTCGTTGCCAAGATGTGGCCCCACGTGACAAAGTGACCAACAGCAACTGAGGCAGCTCCTGGACTCTTTTCCTCTCAAGATTTTGTCTGGACACAGTTTTGGGCAACCAGGGATTCCATGGTCCCACTGAGTCCTCTCCTCTCCCAAAGAACTCCGGGTCTTCTTTCTAGTCTTTCTTCCCTCAATGTCCCGGGACACCGGGCTGAGTGTGGCATCCTCCCTCCACCTCGCCCACCTCTGAGTCCCGCCATAACCTACCCGGAACCTACCAGAACCTAGCATCACTGCACGCCACCGCGGCCCACAGTGAGCCCTGCTCAGAGGCCCACTTCTCCTTAGACATGAGACACTGCACCTGCCAAGGTAATGCTGAAACCAAGGCCTCTGTGAGGAAGCGGGAAGCGGAGGCAGAAACGAAGTGCTATTATTTGGAAACAGGACGTACTGCTGAAAATGCCATACGGTTTATTCCCATTTTTTAAAAAAGATTTTCTGTGGCTTTAAAGTTGACCACACTCTCTCTCTCCTTAGTGACTAATTCAATCCTGCAAACCTTGCCAAAACAATAAAAATGTAGTGGAAGAACTTTAAGTAGAATTTAGCAGTTAAATTCTACTACTACATGACTTTAAAATTATATATAAATTACACATATCTAAAATCCTTCTCTGGCGGACGCCAGGCTCCTAGGCAGCAGGGAGAGGGTATCGTTCATCTTGCCTAGCAGCACCACACCCAACAGACGTCTGTTCAATCAATCAATCGATAGAAAGATGCTAGGACTAAGGAAGAGAAAAGGATCCAGGTTTCCCATGCAATCCCATTATCAATCAACCAACTACATTCACTTTATATGACTATATTAATAAGATAAAGTACATTTTTTGTTTCAAAAAAAAAATTATGTCATGACTGGTTCAATTTCATCCCCTCGAATACCTCAGCACACCTTAACGCCCACCCCCAAATATCTGGGCTGCCACGGTTTCCTCCCACCGGAACTGATTTTATGCTAAGATATATGTTTTCTTCATCTAACCCACTTTGGGCAGGGGTTCAATGTGACTGTATAAAACTAAAATTGAAACAGGTCTTTAAATGATGACGTAAAAGCCAATAATATTGGTGAACAAGAAAAATCTTCACGAAACCTCATGAACAAAAATGTCCCAAGTCTTCACACAGTTCTTATGTATTCAAGACTAGTGAACATCTGCTTATTTAAAAGGTTTCGTTAAATGTTTTTTCAAACTGATACAATATTTAAGCAGTTTGTCTGATTACTAAACAGTTCAAGAAATTTCATGTCACTTTTTTTAAACAAACATTGGAACAAAAAGTTTTATTCTTGAGAAATTCTTAGGCCATCAAAACATTATCTTTTACCCTTACTCAAAAACTTCACTTTAAAACTGTATTTCTTACAGAATTTTAAAGACTAACATGTACATATATAGATTCCTATGTATTTACATTAAATTAGTGAAATCCTTCATTGTTGTTTGGCTTTCAGCATTACCAATTGTTTACAATCCAGTTGTTTAAAAAAGCCTACTTATTCTGAAACAAGCCATTTTCCTACTTTCTTGAACAGCATACTAGCATATCCTGAAGTACGATTTCACTGAAAAATAATCTTATTTAAAGTTGGGATACCAGTTCCACGTGTTATTTTCCTCAGCTGGGTTTCAGTTTATTTTAAGGGTTTTCATCCCTAAAATGTAATATAATGTCTTACAATTTAGCTGATCACAGAACAAATGCCCTCTGTCACTATGTATACCAGCTGGCAATACAGGCAATGCTGAATGTACACAGTTTTCGTGTCTCTGGTGATTTTCAAGAGTTACACAGTAAACCACAAACTGCTATTTGAATCTACATACTACTGTCGATCAAAATTCTCTTTTCAGGTTTTCTTTAACTTTCTTCACCCGAAGAAGGTTACCTACTTCATTAGCACTGTAGTTGTTTAAAGGCTCAATTAAGAATAATTATGTGAAAGATAAACCAATAAATTCTAAAATTTGGTCTTAAATTTCTTAAAATGACATAAGTCATGAGAAGAATGGGCCAATCATGTTCGCACCAACTATGTGATATTAAACACATAGAGAATCTGGCTTTTAATCTATTTTTCAAATCAAGTGATACGTGTGTGCACACACAGACACCACACATTCTTAAATGTCTCACCACAATGGATCAGCTCTGGGTTCTAATACAAAAAAATAGTAGTTTACACTGGATGCGGTGGCTCACGCCTGTAATCTCAGCACTTTGGGAGGCCGAGGTGGGCAGATCACCTGAGGTCAGGAGTTCAAGAGCAGCCTGGCCAACCTGGTGAAACCCCATTTCTACTAAAAATACAAAAATTAGCCAAGTGTAGTGGTACATGCCTGCAGTCCCAGCCACTGGAGAGGCTGAGGCAGCAGAATTGTACGAACCCAAGAAGTGAAGGTTGCAGTGAGCCAGGATCGCCCCATTGCACTCCAGCAGCGTGGGCAACAGAGCAAGACTCCGTCTCAAAAAAAGAAAAAGAAAAGAGGAAAAAAGAAAAGAAAAAGAAAATAGTAGTTTAGAGCTAGCTGAGAAGAGCTCTTAACAGAACAGAACTGATAAGGCGTGAGTGTTCCCAGAGCACTTATTCTCTGGCCAGCTCATGTGTGTGACAATGGCCTGGCACTGACGGTTGTCACGGCAAGCCCGGCTGTGGCTTTGACACCCATCTAACTTTACTAGATGTGAATTTTCCAACCACTAAGTGCACGCCTCTGAGCCATCGCCTTAGACTGTAAGTAAGTGGATGTATATTCCATGATCAAGGGGGTGCAAAGAGGGCACAGCCAGCTCTCAGCGGTGGCCATGCAGAACCTGCCTCTCCGTTGGATTCTGCGGAGGTGGGTTCTGAAGTGCAACGGCTGCAGTGGAGGAGTCGGGGTTCTCGGGGAAACAGCCGTGGAAAGAGCCTGTTTTGCTGTTTGAACCAAGTTACCTCCTGCCCAGGAAAGAATGCTTCTAAATACAAGCTTACTGCAAATTGCATCTCTCTCACTTCAACTGCATAGAGAAACCGGCTCAAAATGCAGCATGTCCTCAACAGAGTTCAGGGTTTCTGATTCAGGATAAGTCTGCACCACTCAGGTTCCGTGAGGCATAAATGAGGCCCTGGGTCCCTTAACAATGTGTATCTTCGAAAGTTAGCATCTCTCTTACTGTAAAAGCTACAGGTTTAAATACTTGCTTCAGTTCCAACTACCAATTACCTCAGTTTGCAAATGAGTCAATATACTGTTAGCAACTGTTTTCAATAGCTGGAAATGAAGTTCATTAATTTATACTAACAGAGTAAGCTGTTTCTAACAATACATCCTCCTGTACTAAGTGTGCAACTGTTTTGGAATAAAAGGTCAACTTGTAGCACACAGAATCACTAAATCTTACTGAAAGTGAAGGAAAAACTCTCAGGAAACACAAATGTTCACTTAGTAATGAAAACCACTTTGCAGTAAGACATTTTAAGAAAATCATGTTTGGAAACCACACTTTGGTCCTCCTTGGAAGAGGCGGCCGGTTCCCCAGGCAGGACTGCCCCTTTTCGTATCGCACACCAGGAATGAAGCGCCCTGGCCTTCACCACCTTTAGACAAAGCTAGTGATGCTCCCCAAGTCTGTGAGAATGCTGTGATGTTCTTGGGCAGAGCCTACGCTGAAATGTCGCCCATGCTTTACACCATGTCAAAGGTCATGAGATTTTTCCATTAATAACCAAGGAGGTATAAGTTATCCAAACTTACTGTTTGGGGGTTTGGGGATTTTAGTCAAATATTTAATCCTGTTTCAAATAAAACTTTAATCCAAGCACAAATATTAGTTCAGGAAATTGTGATTTGGATTTTCTGCAGGCCTTCAAGAGCCAGAAACCAATAGTTCCTAGTTTAGAATTCATCAGAAACATCTCTGAATAGTCAATGTGAGGACCATCGCCTACACACCTAAGCCTTTACAATAGTTGAAGCTAAGGTTTAAAAGTCTCATATAAAATAAAACCTTGAGAAACTTCAGTAATGGCGAAAAGCAAATTGAAAATACCCATTTAAAACACATTCTCCCCCTTCTTAAATTCTGCCTCCTTCCTCATTGATTTTAGATAAAAGAACATATCCTTCTTTCATTTCTCCATTGTCCCTCCTCAAATTAAAGGGGGGAGGGACTTTAATCTCAAATTACCGCTGTTGTTAATAAGCAAACAAAAAAGAAAAAAAAACGAATGCAGAAATATTTAGCTGTTCTCATGCCTGGGAAACATAACCCAAAGACCTCCATAAATAACTTGGAGAATACAGGGTCAGGGCGATCTGGGATATTGAGAAATAAACAGATTTTCACAATGCTTCTCAGCTTGCAACCATTTGATGGTTGCTGTGAAGTTCTGAAATGAAACTTGGCAAATGGTCTCAGTGAGATGCCTTTGAACTCCGAATGCCTCGATGCCGCAGCGGCTACTGAACGGCTCATCTGGTCCCTTATTCTCAACTTCAAAGAACAGGCTCTCCCTGTCCCAGGCAAGGGCAGAAAGCTGGGTGCACGATTTTAGCTTTAAATGTTTTACTCTACACTCCTCCCGGCTCTTTCAACATTTTATTAACCCATGAAAGCGTGGAAACCAAAGCTGTAAGAACACCGCCAGGAATCTTGAGAAACTTTTAAAATCTCAAAAGTCTTCTGCCTTCAATAACGGGGAAACATCAATGACTTTTGGTTTTTAACCAAAGATATTTACAAGTAATTTACCAATTTTTCTAGCACATGCTTTGTAAACATATTTAAATAGGTATATAATCCAAGCACGGATTTTTACCTTAATGTATCATATTAAGTAATCTTCCATAAAAACCTATTTCAGAATTTACATCTGATACTGCTTTGTTACTGAAAGCCAAGAAGTAATAAAACTTCAAAGGATTTTTCTCCCTTTTTGATGTAATTAACTATATTAACTTGGTAGCTTTCAATTAGAGAAAATACCACACTCAACATTTTCTTACTATTCCTACAAATATATGTATCATTTCCTTTATGGAATTACGACTACCATTGAGTTTCTGCATAAGTTTCAGAAAGCCCTAAGTTAAGAAATATTTAAATCATCTAAACCTCTGAAAAATGATATTTAAATATACAAAATGCAAAAGAGTGTCACTTATTAAATGTGAGATTCCACAATTTTGCTAGTTATCTTACAAAGGATTCTCGGCCAGAGGGTCAAGTATAGCAGTGACGTTTTAAAATTGAATTATAAGTAGCTTTTTCGGTAAAAATAAACGTCAGTTGAATATGAGGATTCTACGTTTCTCCTTCTCACTGCCTGTGGCAGCCCCACAACTGTGTTTCCCCACCACATCCATTCACTGTCAACACACACTGTAACAGACTGTAACATACTGTAACACATGCTACAACATACACAGTAACATACACAGTAACACACTGTAACACACGCTGCAACACATGCTATAACACACTGTAACACACGCTATAACACACTGTAACACACGCTATCACACTATAACACACTAACATACACCGTAACACACTAACATACACTGTAACGCACTATAACACACACGCTGTAACATGCTGTAACACACTAACACACTATAACACGCTGTGACATATGCTGTAACACACTGTAACACTAACACACACTGTAACACTATAACAAACTATAACATACACGGTAACATGCTGTCACACACTAACACTAACACATGCTGTAACATGCTGTAACACGCTACAACATGCTGTAACACACTAACATACGCTGTAACACGCACTGTAACACACTATAACACGCACTGTAACACACACTATGACACGCACTGTAACATACGCTGCATCCTAACTCCCCGGGTCACTGATGCAAACATACAGGCTTAAAATATGAAAAAAAAACCATTAAGAAATAGAAGATTGTGCTTCTGGGTTACCTCTAAATGTGAAAAAAAGAAAGTGGAAACAATCCTTTAACAATAACTTTATTTTAAATGTAATTATAATCTCAATTTCCTTTTTCAAACGCTATAATGCAATGCAAAGCCGGGGAAAATGAATTTAGTTTTAAAGCCAAAATTGAACAAATGATGTTAAATCCCATTTGCTAGTAAGTAGAAATTAAAAAGCCTTGTGACCTAGGATAAGCAAAGGAATGGAAGCCTGAAGGGCAGAGGGTCTGCAGGGCAGATGGGTGCCCACTTCCTCCAGCCCAAACACCTCATTCCGCAGACGAAAAATGTGAGACACAGAGCAAGCTGGTGCCCAGCTGGGGCTGGACCCTGACAGGATAGGGGTCCACTTCCATTTCACACCATCTCACCAATAAAACACATCCGTTAGGCACAGACACTGTGGGTCGCAGCCACTCCTACTCTGGAAACCTGAGCCTCTAAATGCCAGAAATGGGTTACATCCCCACTTTCTGAGACCCTGGGGGAATTCAGGATTGTCCAGGATTATACACGAGGCTGTATACACGTGGACAACAAAAGCTCAAATGTATTAAGTTGAAACAATGGGATAGAGACAAGTATCTTCCAGATGTGTTAGGTGTATGTGTGTACACTCAAGAGAAAAACATACTAAAGGGACACGTGTATCAAATGTGTATACACAAAGGATATTCGTAGGAAGGTGCAGCCAGACCAAAATATCGTTACCTATGAGCAGTGATACCTTCTTTTTCTTTTCCCTTATCTGCATTTTCTACAACGATTAAATTGCACGTAATATAACAATACATAAATAAAATACTTCAATTTCACAACAGTTGGATATGATCCGGCTGCGTCCCCACCCAAATCTCATCTTGAACTGTAGCTCCATAATTCCATCATGTACTGAGAGGGACCTGATGGGAGGTAACTGAATCATTCCTGTGCTGTTCTCGTGACAGCGAATAAGTCTCACAAGACCTGACGGTTTGATAAAGGGCAGTTCCCCTGCACAAGCCCTCTTGCCTGCTGCCATTAAGACATGCCTTTGCTTCTCCTTCACCTTCTACCATGATTGTGAGGCCTCCCCAGACACATGGAACTGTGATCCATTAAACCTCTTTCCTTTATAACTTACCCAATCTCAGGTATGTCTTTATTAGCAGCATGAGAAGAGACTAATACAAGTTCATGAGAACATATACAATAAAAATACTACTTGTCTCATAAACACTGCTCCTTTTATATTCATTCCCAGCCTGGAAGCCAGGAGTCCCCACTGTGTGTGAGGCCCACGCATGTGGAGCGAGAGGCAGCCCTGGTATTTCTACTGACCTCACACAGGTGATCATGAGGGAGCGACTCCAGGTACCTGGGGATCCCATGGCTCCCACAACAGCCCCAGGTGCTGAGGTGCTTTTGTTTAGTAGGCATTTAATACCTGCATTTCTGTAGGTTTTCACTGTTGGTAGTCAATTATCACTGCTCTTACATCTGCAGTAAGCTTAAGATCTAAGTCAGCTGCTGGAGATGGTGTAAATAAGCTTAAGATCTAAGTAAGCAGCTGGAGATGGTGTAAAAGGTGTAGCACTGCAGATGCTCATTGTCCAAATCTATGATGTCTACTTGACCATCCAAACTCCTCCAGTGTCCTTCTCACCCTCTGGCCCAAAATCTGCTCTCTACCCCCGGCCCTCATTGCTGTCTCTATTTTTTGCTTATTTCTGTAAAGGTCATCTTACCATACACTGAATTCCAGGGAGGTCATTTGTCAAACTGCTAAAATCAGTAAAGTACTAGACTATAAGGAGTAAAGTCAACCACGCTGCTCATTTTAGGTATATATACACTATTCTCAGGACTATTTGTATGTGGAAATTGGGGAGTGGGGCATGTTATTTCGTGGAAAACAGTGGATACTTAAAAAAATATTCTAAGTAGGACAGATGATCAAAAAAACTTGCAGGTAAAAGCAATTCCTGTGGCTGTAAAAGTTTATGCTTCCCAAGCCTCTATTTCACCTTGCCATGCTGGGCTGGGGAGGGGTTACACCTCCTGAATGTGTCATATTCTATATATATAAAAAAAAACAAACAGTATTTATAAACTTGCTGTTCAAAAGTAAAAATGTACTTTCATCAGGAAAGTTTATGCTTAGTAGTGAAATTCCCAGATTAGTCCATGAATGGGTACTTCATCCACAATATCAATAAGTGTAACTGAATTTCCTTAGTGATGTCTTTTGAAAACACCAACAGACCAAAAAATGGATTTGCTTTATAAATCATGAATTTTGGTGGTGCCCAAAAGGAGAGAAATGGAAGAGAACAAACAAGGAGATGTCCCATGATGACTGTGATTCTGAGTTGAGCACCTGGGCGTGGACAATTTCTAACAGCTCCTGCCCTAGAATGCAGTGTGCGCCTCCTGCTCAAAGATCAACATGCATCCCAAACACCACTCTTATGCACAATATGTATGTTCAGGGTCAACTACTGACACGTTTACAAAGCAAGATGAATTACACTTAGGAAGTCATTCTGCGTTTAGGCTGGTGCATATTGGAAAAGGGCTCTAGAGACAGGGTGTGAAGTCAAGTTCAGAAGTCATAAACCTCCCAAGAGGAGCAGGGCAGCTGAGGCTCCGAGGCTGCTGTCCTGGCTGCCAGAGGTATGGCGGGCTAGGCCTTAGGTGATGGAGACGCTGTGCTGGCAGTTGCTCCAGGGCTTCGAGCTTTAAGGAACAAGTCCCACGTCCTAACTGGTATCCTGGTCCAGTCCGTGAGGCCAGACTTTGTCTCAGAGCTGGAAAGCAGAGCCCGGGCTGAGCCCCCGTGAGTTCTGTGTTTGCAAAGCTGCCACCGGGTCCCTCCCCCTGCTCTCCACAGAACCTGCTAGACAACTCAAGGGTTTGCTTGAAGGGGAAATGGGGCATAAGAATTCCACACTAAGTTCCTGGAGTCTTTTCAAAACATCCAAGCCACAGGGAGCAGGTCCTATGGGTGAACAACATCCCAAAATAAACCTCATGTTTCACTATTACAGAGGGCACTACTTTACACTAAGTATCACCTATGTTTTGCCAACACCTCACATTTCTTTGATTTTACCTACAGTAAGAAAGTGTACAAAGTGCCACAACATAAGTATTTTCAAAGCAAAGACAAGTTTCTGAAAAAGTTTCCACAGATCTGAATCACACAGCGGGCCGGGTCTGGTGCCCAAGTCATCAGGAATTTCTCTGCCTCACACATGGATCAAACTGTATGACTCTGGCCATTTTAAGGCAAGTGTTTTGTTTTGTTTTGTTTTTTGTTTTTAATCTTAGAAATTAAATAATGCACCAGACTACCAGTGAGTATTATCGTTATTTTAAATATCTCCATGGCTACATGAGCAAGTGAAGGTAAATCCCAGAAAAATTCAGCCAGGGTATCTATGCTAGTATCACCCAATTGGAATTTGGTAGAGTTGCCTAGAATTCAGGAAGACACTACCATCAGCTAGAGATGTGGAGGACAAGCACTAAATAAGACACAGTAAACTGTTCCTGGAAAGGGCCCTGACCCAGCAAACCAGGAGACAGCTCCTGCCACAGCCACGCAGAAGAGCCTGCGGAGAGCGGGCCGGTCCCTCGGCACTCCCTGCACTGCGGCAGTAAGAAGCAGACCACGGTCTCCAGGGGCCTGACGGATGATGACCATGTACTCATACACTCAGGCTATGGAGCAGAGCTGCACCTGCAAACACGTGACTGCCCTAACTTTCCGGAAGCTAAATGTAGGATTCAGAAATATAGGTCAAAAGACAGTTAAAACAACAAGCACAACCTCAGAATTAAATCGACTAATTATGAGGCAGTTCTAAGGCTATAAGAGAAGTAGGACTCTGTATTTATGGAGAGATAGAGAATTAAAAGATACCCAGAAACCACCACTTAAACAGAAAGGGGTTATGAAGCAGACATACCCTAGCACAGAGCAAATAAATGGAGGGCTCCAGCCAAGGGGCAAGAAGCAGGGACGGGATGATGGGGGGCAGACATGGGGCACTGGGGAGGCATGGGAGGAGAAGATATGAATTCCATATATCTGGAGGATAGGACAAGCAGAAACTGCATATATTGTGGGCAGAACAGGTTAGAAAGAAATCTCCAATCGTAAACAATGACAAACTGGAATAGATAAGAAAAACCACCTAAATTAATTCTCCTCCATACAAATCCTTAAGAAAAGCAAAGATAATTTATTTCTGTCACCGGTTCATTTTTACCTGATAAAGGAAGACAAGATGTACTCTCAATATCACACTGAGCTCCGCAACTCTAAATCTTAATGCGTCTGGCCACCTGGAGTTTGCATGGAGACCCTGGGCTGTGCACACCGCAGGACTCTCACCTGGAACACTCGGAGACCCCAGGATTCAAGCACTCTGCAGCTGGCAGCACAATCTAACAGAGACCCATTAAAACGGATGTCCACAACACAATTTACACGCATTCTTTACAAGGGAAGGGATGCATATATGTTCCCAAAAGGAAAACAGCCACAAGTTTTACAAGCTAGGAAAGGAAAAGCTGCACAGATCAAATGCTAGGGTTCATGAAGTTCCTGTGTGGAGAGAAACAACACAAAGCCCTTCTTGCGTGTTCTCGTTAATAAGTCCGCAATGTGAACTGACAGTACCTTGCCTCAAACACCATTTAAGCAACAAGACGTGACAAAACATATGCTGGCAGGAGATAAGGCTCATCCCTGAAACACACGCAGGTGAAAAGGTTCCTCCTGAAACACACACATGCAGGCGAAAAGGTTCCCCCCTGAAACACACACATGCCAGTGAAAAGGTTCCCCCGAAACACACGCAGGTGAAAAGGCTTCCCCGAAACACACGCAGGTGAAAAGGCTCCCCCGAAACACACACAGGTAAAAAGGCTTCACCCCTGAAACACCCACACGCAGGTGAAAGGGTCCCCCCGAAACACACGCAGGTGAAAAGGCTCCCTCCTGAAACATACACACGCAGGTGAAAAGGCTCCCCCGAAACACACGCAGGTGAAAAGGCTCCCTCCTGAAACATACACACGCAGGTGAAAAGGCTCCCCCGAAACACACGCAGGTGAAAAGGTTCCCCCATGAAACACACGCAGGTGAAAAGGTTCCCCCATGAAACACATGCAGGTGAAAAGGCTCCCCCAAAACACACACGCAGGTGAAAAGGTTCCCCCGAAACACACGCAGGTGAAAAGGCTCCCTCCTGAAACACACATGCAGGTGAAAAGGCTCCCCCGAAACACACGCAGGTGAAAAGGCTCCCCCGAAACACACACAGGTAAAAAGGCTTCACCCCTGAAACACCCACACGCAGGTGAAAGGGTCCCCCCCGAAACACACGCAGGTGAAAAGGCTCCCTCCTGAAACATACACACGCAGGTGAAAAGGCTCCCCCGAAACACACGCAGGTGAAAAGTTTCCCCCATGAAACACACGCAGGTGAAAAGGTTACCCCATGAAACACATGCAGGTGAAAAGGCTCCCCCGAAACACACACTCAGGTGAAAAGGTTCCCCCGAAACACACGCACGTGAAAAGGCTCCCTCCTGAAACACACATGCAGGTGAAAAGGCTCCCCCGAAACACATGCAGGTGAAAAGGCTCCCCCGAAACACACACAGGTAAAAAGGCTTCACCCCTGAAACACCCACACGCAGGTGAAAGGGTCCCCCCCGAAACACACGCAGGTGAAAAGGCTCCCTCCTGAAACATACACACGCAGGTGAAAAGGCTCCCTCGAGACACACGCAGGTGAAAAGGTTCCCACATGAAACACACGCAGGTGAAAAGGTTCCCCCATGAAACACATGCAGGTGAAAAGGCTCCCCCCGAAACACACACGCAGGTGAAAAGGTTCCCCCGAAACACACGCAGGTGAAAAGGCTCCCCCGAAACACACGCAGGTGAAAAGGCTCCCCCGAAACACACGCAGGTGAAAAGGTTCCCCCATGAAACACACGCAGGTGAAAAGGCTCCCCCGAAACACACGCAGGTGAAAAGGCTCCCTCCTGAAACACACATGCAGGTGAAAAGGCTCCCCCAAAACACACGCAGGTGAAAAGGTTCCCCCGAAACACACGCAGGTGAAAAGGCTCCCCCGAAACACACGCAGGTGAAAAGGCTCCCCCATGAAACACACGCAGGTGAAAAGGTTCCATGAAACACACATGCAGGTGAAAAGGTTCCCCCATGAAACACACATGCAGGTGAAAAGGTTCCCCCATGAAACACATGCAGGTGAAAAGGCTCCCCCCGAAACACACACGCAGGTGAAAAGGCTCCCCCTGAAACACACACACAGGTGAAAAGGTTCCCCCGAAACACACACACGCAGGTGAAAAGGTTCCCCCTGAAAAACAGGCAGGTGAAGTCACAACCTCCCCTGACTCGGAAGGGCCTTATCTCGGAGCCACACCAGGTTCCAGAACCTTCTACATCAATTATACACCCATCTCTCAAAAAAAAGAAAAAAAAAAAGTGAGAGATCGCTTTGCAAGTGGAGGCATGGGAAGAGCCCACTGTTTTACGCCTTTTCCATTTGCCCCGTGGAATCTACAACTAATACGCCAGTAATTCTTCAACAGTGCAAGCACAGGACACAGAATTCCCAAAAGAATGGTGATTGGCCACGGATTTTTTCCACACATATTCACTTAGCATTTTTTAATCAAAACTAAATAAGGCTAGCTCATGCACAGACAAAATCAAGTTACAGCCAGAGGAAATGTGTTCACCAAAGGAACCACATCACAGTGAGGGCTGATACACTCACACACTGTGCGATCCTGACCACTGATTCCCCATCTCTTGTGAAAATCACAGGCCACAGATCACATGCCACTGACAGGGCTAAACATTTCTCCACATCTGGGAAGCCCATGTCTCAGGAAGACCGAAGGAATTCTTGGGGCTGTTTCGATTTTGAATTCAGGAGGTATGCTCATGCAGATGACCTAATGCCCCGTGGTCGGAGCTGTGTCTTTTGTCAACACCTGAACTCTTACCAGACCTTGTCCTGCATTTTTCAGGGTCCCACAAAGCAAATGAAATGTGATGGACCCATGCGGCACTCAAGTCACTGACAACCCACGAGGGGTCGAGGTCCAGGTAAGAGACACAAGCAGAGCCTCGACACAGAAATTCACGTGCAAAAATACCCAGGCCCAACCAAGCTTCCTGCTCTGACAGCTGACGTCGACACCCAAGCAGGCAAACCCCCCAGCGCTGCTCTTCGCGGCACAGGGAATTTCAGACGTCAAATTAACATAAGACTGCCTTCATGTTGCATAGCAAACTCAAGTACGTTCCTTCATCCTAATTCAAGTAACTTTTAGAGAGCTATGTTAGAAAATGCCAGCAGTCACTTTTTTAATTCAAATGAAACAGAATGAAGGTGATTTCTGTTTTCTGTTAAATCTCTATTTCCACAAGCATTGTTCTGACCCTCGATAGAGCTAATCCACGTGTTTAAAGTATTAACAAATGTAAACTGCAGAAAGAAAGCAAACTCTGAAGGGTCTCCCCTCCTCTCCCTCAGCTAATTATTCTTCTAGCCTTTGCTGATATGAGGTAGCCAACATCTCCCATCTAGTAATAAACAAAAGGAGTGTGCTCAACAGGCTTTAATCAGCCAACAAGACCAGACATTTCCCCCATGCATTAAAAGAACATAACCTACCAGAAAAGGTTTACTCACAAGACACTCACCAGCTCAAATACGGCATGTCCAGTTATCTAAAATACAGATTTTCAGATAAATAACAAATGAATCTTCAGTGTAAGTATATCCCAAATATTGCATGGGACATACATAAACTTTTTTTTTAAAGTATTTATTGTTTATCTAAAATCCACAGTTAACCAGGAATAATGTATTTTTATGTACTAAATTTGGCATCCCTAACTTCTAAAACAAACACATTATTTGAATGAATTAAAGAAAGCCGCAAGAGTCCAAAAAAAACTGTGTAAAGGCCGATGTCAACACATACGCATGGATAAAGGGAACATTATTTCTCATCTATGTGCAGCATCATTAGTTCACTGGAAGGAGTGGAAATTATGCACAGGAAATGAAGAAAAAGCTAGGGAGCACCGGCATCATCTCCCAAAAACCCAATCCTCCAGGGCCTCAGTGGCCCATCATCAGTACAGGACAGGGCCTCTGGATGGACAACACTGACCCCTAGCGGCTCCTCCCAGGCAAGCAAGGATCCTGGAACCGAGGCGGGGTCCTTTCCTTTCCGTATGGACAGGTTATGGAGACATCCCACCTCCAAGTCCCAGCCCATGGGTCCTGCTATCTGGGCCCTGAGTAGGGACTGCAAAGGTGAGGATCAGGGTGGAGACAAGAGCCTGAGAGAGAGAACGGGCACAATGCCGGGAACACAGGGCAAGTTCCTAGCCTTCATTTCTCCATCTTCCTGCCCTTCTTCCCTTCACACTCTGGTGGCATGTCATAATACATTATTATATATTATTGGTTTCAACACTTACGACTGGAACCATCTTGAGAAAGTTTACTTAACCCTCTAAACTTCAGATTTCCTATCTGTGTTTTGAGACAAGTGGTACCTTCACCTCATGGGGCTATGCTGGAGGTTTATATGAAATACAGATAAAGCACACAAAGATTGAGTCTATGACAAAGTTACTACTTCAAATCAGTGGAGAAAACATAACATAACCTACCAGAAAACATTCACTCAACTGACTGTTGAATAAATTTTGTTGGAAAAACCAGATCAATATGGGAAAATGTTTAAAGTACCTCACAGAATATATACGAGGTTTTACATGGGTTAACACAATGTGGAATAAAGCAAATGTAATGAAGCAAACTAGATTGAATCAATGAGAATAGTTTAATGGTAGGGTAGAGAATGTCTAAAGTATATGTAAAATCCAAAAACCATAAAGACAATTCTGATGTTTCAGAACCTCTACAATAAAAGACTTCATAAAGTAAAACACAAATGAGAAACCAACAGAACGTATTCAAAACATGAGAATCAAATCCACGATATATAAACAGTTCCTATAAATTAACAAGAAAAGGACAACACATTTTTTAAATGTGCAAAGTTCATGGACAAGTACATCAGGGAAGAAATACAAATGGCCAGTAAACATGAAAACACTCTTATGCTCACAAAAAAAAATGAGAAAATGGAAATTAAAGCAATAAAAATATACCACTTTTTTTGTTTCATAAAGGCAATTTTAGAAAATTTATAATACTAAGAATTATTGAGGGCATGGAGAAACACACACACTCATAAGCTTTTGGTGGACATGAGGATTATTACATTCAAACAGGCAGCACCTATCAAAATATAAAATGTGCAAATTCCTGAAACTACCAATTTCACTTAAAGAAATCCATCATGGTCCGGGCGCAGTGGCTCAGGCCTGTAATCCCAGCACTTTGGGAGGCCAAGGCGGGGGATCACCTGAGGTCAGGAGTTTGAGACCAGCCTGGTCAACACAGTGAAACCCTGTCTGTACTAAAAATGCAAAAAAAAAAAATTAGCCGGGCATGGTGGCACGCACCTGTAGTCCCAGCTAATTGGGAGGCTGAGGCAGGAGAATCGCTTGAACCTGACAGACAGAGGTTGCAGTGAGCCGAGATCGCACCACTGTACTCCACCCTAGACAACAGAGTGAGATTCTGTCTCAAAAAAAAAAAAAAAAAGAAAGAAATCCATCATGAAATCCTCCTAAGTGTTGTCAGCATGTTTACTGCAGCATGTTTACTGCAGCAGTGTTTGTAATGAAATTTGGAAAGGACCTGAACAATGATCAACAGGCAAATAGAACAAGATCACCCTGAACTCCCAAAGAGTCCAAGAGAGGAGAGTCCTCCGCCCACACAGGGAGATTCCCAAGACATACTGTCACGTGGGGAAGCAGGCTGAGGAACAAGACACATCAAATGCGCTTACTACGTACCAAAACAAGAAAAAAATCTACACATACGCTTACACAAGCAAATACATTTTAAAGACCTAGGAGGGTCAGAAGTAAACTCTCAGGAAGAGGTGAGGCCGGTAAGGACAGTCAACAGAGGAGGATCGCTCCTTTCCAAGCACTTCCTCACCATCGGGATTTCTTTGCAATGTGCAGGTGTTCACAAAAGATGTGTGGATGTTCTAAAGGATGAGCAGAACTCTAAAACCAGGAGCCTAGCATGGGTCTAGCCCAGGAAATGGGAGCTCCTCCTGCCATAGCTAGCCCTGAAGCCCACGCAGAGGCCAGGAGGCCGCTCAGGAGGAGGGCGAGCGGGCAGGGCAGGGAGGTCAGCACGAGATGCAGGCTGACCCCGGGGAAGTTGGGCCTTGCCTCCCCCTCTCCCTCCCGGGGACAAGATCAGCAGCACCTGGTAGGGGATGAGGAGTCCTGAGCCAAGAAGATGGGTCTGGGGTCTCAGGTCTTGTCTTGGAAGCCCCTCCCCCAGCACAGGGCATCAGAAAGAGCTGAGAAGTGAAAGATGCAGATGGCACCCAGGGCCAAGGGCCTGAGGGTCCCAGGAGGAAACAGGTGTGTGGGGAGCAACAATGGCACATGCAGGCACATGGAGACTCCTCCTGGCCTGGGATTTTGTCCATGGCCTTGGGACAGATAAAAGACAACAAGCTCAGGCATCCTCTGAGACTGGACCTAGAGCCGTGGCCTCCAGATGCAGCAATCCACGCTCCCCAGCCTCTGGGCTCACTGAGGTGTTTTGTGCTAAGATGCCCCCTGGGCTCCTGACTCTGCCCATTCTAGTAAGAAGAGGAGTAGGGGGAGGAACAGAGGTGCCCACAGTGAAGGAAGACGATGACCAAGGCCAGCAGTGCACAAAGGAGGGTGTGGGTGACCCTGGACACCCTGTGACCAGGGAAAGGTCAGCTTCTTGTCCCCATTCCAGACACGCCCTGCTGGGCTGACAGCTGCACACTGCCCAGGAAACTTCCACAACCACCAGCAGCAGCATCCCCCAAATCAAGACATCTTTAAACTCAAAGAAAAAGATCTTCCACTCGAGAAAGAATAACCAGGAAATTCTGACCCAGAATGGAAAATGATGCGCCGAGCAGTGGCTACGGAAAAGGTATCAAGGAATCCAATGTCTGCCAGACACCGCACGGCTACCAGGCTGTTCTGCAAAAGCAAACACGGTGCCCTTTTGTTACTGAGGTTTCAAAACAACATCAAGAATTTGTTTCTAAGTGGAGTGTAGGCTATCACCATAGAAACCGCAGAGACTCTGTCTTGCTGGTGTGACGCACAACCTGTCCAGAACCTTCTGTTCAGAGCTTCTGAAAATTCCCGAGCCAGTATCTTCCAATTGCTTTTTTCATACCTGAACTTCAGGAACTTCCTGGGCCACCTTCTGGGGGCACCTTTAACTGCATTTCAAGGTTCTTACCAACACATCCCTATCTGTCCATGATGCTTCCGAAGGTTTAGGCCTTGATTTCAGTCTCATGGCCCTGGACCTACCATCTTCCATCATTTTTGAAAAAGTAGAACCCAGTAATATTTCTTAAAAATGAAAAAATTTCAATCCATTCCACTCCTATCATGTCCTAGTCTAATACCGAAATAATCTATAAAAATCACATTCTCATGAGTCACGTAGTAATCAATTTTTAAAAACCAGTGACATCACAGATTAATTTTAAATCAAAGGAAACACAATTTAACTAGTCAGACTGGAAACCTGGCCATCATTTCAATATCAAAAATGTTCTCTAATTGTCCAGTCCAATGAACAAACTATCCCAATAATGTCTATATTGGAATCAATCACTGGATTATCATAGGTACCAACAACCTAATTTCATGACTTTGAAGGCAGCTGCCATTCTCCATCAGGTTTCAGATATGAGATTCAAGCATGTATGTAAGTTTTCTATAGGATGGCCAGCTCAACAAATGGCACCGTGGAATTATCATTTTAAGTGATACATTTCAGTAACCAAGTAGGTTATTAAATAAAACAGTAATTGTATTAAATTTGGAAGAGAATTTATTCATAGTGCTGAACGTAACTATTCTGGAGTTAAGAGAAAGAACATGAGTAACACTCAGATTTGGCACATCTATACAGGAACATATTTGGCAGCTAACAGTTCGCCCAAATGTCTTACTAATCTGTGAAAATACTTCTTTCAAATCAATGGCTTCCTTTGTAAAGAAAGCAGGAGACAAGGCCTCCTGTAAATGGATATCGCTATGTGAACCATGCATACAGAATCAGGTAAAATCTCAGTAACTGGAGTCTTACTTTCTAACCTTTAATCCAGAGACAAATATCCCTAGCTTTTTAAAATTCTAGTAAAATACAGACCTAAAATGGCAATCCATTTTAATATGCAAAGGCTTATGCAAATTATATATGCAAATACTGGATCCTATCAATAGCCGACAAATCCCTCATGAAAAACTAGCCTCAGATTAGGTCCAGCACACAGAAAATTATCTAAGAACCACAAAAAGAAAAACCACATACACACAAATGAAAAATTACGAACTTGTGCCAGAGACGAGGACACACACACACACACACAAAAACACTTATCAAATAAAACTTAAATGCTTCAAGCATTTAAAAGAAAGTCTAAACTTATGAAATAATTCAGTGTGCCCATGATGAAAATGCAGACTAAGAATGATGCAAATCAAATGGCAAGCCACAGATTCCTTTAAGAACTGACTGAGCCTAAGTCATACCAGGAAGTCAATCCTGAAAGCAGCGAGAGAGGGGCTGCTCTGGAAGGTCCTGTGCCCGGCATGACGGGGCTTGGACATCTGCTGCCTCCAAACCTCATGTTGCGACCGATTCCCTTTGTTGGAGGTGGGGCCCGAGGGGCGGTGTCTGGGCCATGGGGATGGGTCCCTTACGAATGGCTTGGTGCTCATTGCAACGAGTGAGTTCTCGCTGAGTTCACGCGAGATCTGGCGGTTTCAGAGTGCGTGGCACCTTCCCTTCTCTCTCTTGCTCCCGCTCTTGCCATGTGACACATGGGCTCCCCTTGATCTTCCACCATGATCCTAAGCTTCTTAAGGCTTCACTGAAAGCAGATGCTGGCACCATGCTCCCTATACAGTCTGCAGAACCGTGGGCCAAAATCAATCTCTTTTCTTTATACATTGCCCAAGTCTCGGGTATTCCTTTACAGAAACACAAGAATGGACTAACACGCAGTGCACCAGCAGTGCCCCATGCATTCCGCCTCCAGGTGTGTTCAGGCGGCCCCGCCCACCACTGCCCTGGCGGGAACAGGACAGGGTCTGCTATTCTAAGCAGCCACCAATGCCAGGGCCAATGGCAAAGTTCCCGTGGATGAGACGCTTTGGAGATAGTCTCTGCAGATGTCACCAGTTGAACAAGGAAGGACTCCTTAAGGAAAGGACAGGCTTTGGGATCTATCTAGAGATCCTCAAAATGTGGCGCCCACAGCACTCCTCAAGCAATGGGATGGCCAGTCCTCCAGCACCTGCCCTCCTCCGCAGCCTCTGCCTTCGGCACCAACACCGTGCAAAGCACCAGCACCATCGATACCTGCTCACCCCATAGGCCTCTGCCTTGAGTGCTCATGCTGTGGAAAGCCTCAGTACTGTCATTACCTGCTCTCCCCACAGGTCTCTGCCTTCCGTGCCAACACCGTGCAAAGCACCAGCACCACCGCTACGTTCTCACCCCATCGGCCTCTGCCTTCAATGCCAGTGTTGTGCAAAGGGCCAGCACCGTCACTACCTGCTTACCAGGCCCATCACCTCACCTGAGCTGAAACAGAGACCATGCACTCAACTGTGTCCTTGACAGCTCACTCTTCCGTGTCACCTGAGCCCTGTGTGCTGGAGCTCAGTGGAGAGCAGCCCCAGATGGGACTCCAGAGCCTACAGCCCCACTCTCTGGGCCCCAGCGCCAATGAAACTCATGGATCTTCCCACATCCTCTGGCCTCCAAAGGCCATCAGGCCCACGGCCCTCTGTACTGAGGTGGGAAACCATCCAGTGGCCTGACCAACCTCTCTCTAGGAAGCCTGCCGTGACAGTCTGGGGCCCAGGCAGGACCCCATGCCCAGGGTCACTCGATGTTAGCATCACTCTCTACTGGGAAAGGGCTTAGCCAACTTCTGCTCCTCATCCACAGTAACAACAGATCAGTAACAAAGGCCCCAGACACAGCAACTCCAAGCCATGGCTCTAACACGAGGCGTGTAGGGCCAGAAGAAGGGAAGAAGGCGACCTCCCCAAATCCTCACTCCATTGAGTCCAACAACACCAAAAGCGAGACCTGGCCGCACATCCTGAGTCCACACATCCTGAGTGGCAACGACACTGAAATCCACACATGCGGCACTTTCCATTGAAGACTCTGTAGGCTTCTGAGATGCTCCCATTAAATACTAACTGTAAGGCCAGCCTCTGCTGCGACTGCTGTTCATCGCTGTTTCTGTTATCAGACAGGAAGATCTCTAGAGTCTAGACATCCAGTAAAAAGCACCACTGACCGCTGAGTACTCCCGTGCAAAACTACCCACTCCCGAATACAACATTTCTCCATGGAGTTCGCTGTCAACTCTGAAGAACAGAATTCATCAAGGTGCAGCTCCAGCCACTGTTCTCAGCGTGAGTCCTGCGGGGCCCTCAAGAAAAAGCAGGTCTGGCCCCTGTCTTCAATGAGATGGCAATTTGAGGATGCCTGACGCAAGGCGGATGCTGGGGACAGAGAGGGTCATCCTGCCTGAAAAGAATGTGTCCACGCAACAGGGAGGAATGGGGCCAGCCTGAGGCCCAGGTTTGCATTCCACCCTGGGTGCCGTACCGCGGCTGCACGCTCAGGCCTTGTGGAGGAGACATGGGAGCCTTGAGTCTGGGCATAGCATCCGGGTCACAGCAAGGTGGAGAGGGGAGAAGACGGGCAGGTGCCAGAGCTGAAATGCATATGGAGCTGGGAGCCACCTCAGCTTGCAAGGAGGAACACCAAAGGGCTGGGCAGAAGGGTGGGAATCCGTGCGTTAAGCAAACGCCTAGTGAAGAATCGAGAAAGGATGGGCTTAGTCGCAGCACATCACGGATACAGGAGGGCGACAACACAACCAACACAGGCAGGTGCAGAATCATCAGTCGGAATGACTAGAATCTCCCAAAAAGCTCAGCAGCAAGGCATCATCTCACAGTGCCACGTCCCCAGCTCCACAGGGGTGCACACCGCTCCATGGCATCACACCTCTCCTGGCCGGGAAACCCCACCGCGACCGCCAGCACCTTTTCTCACAGGTGCACCAAGCCCTCGGCAACGCCTTACCCAACCCAGCACCTGCTGCTCTGGCCGTTGCTGTCCGTTCTTCCAGCTGGTCAGGAACTGACGGCTCGGAGTGGAATCAGACCTCCCTCTTTACCAGGAGCGATCCTGCCTGGTCCATGAGATGCCCTATCTCACGGGAACGGGGTGCAAGAACCAAATTCAGGCATTTCTGCTCACTATTGATAGATGAAATCTACAAAAAGGAACCCTTCCATTTCAAGCCAGAGAAACAAGTTCAAGTCACACCTGGGAGGACCGAGCGCCACTTCTTCACGACACAGCAACAATGACATTCACCCAACAGGTTCGGGGCTGAAAGTCGTATCCAGCACTACCCCTCCTGCAGACTGGAAAATGCCAAATCTAGCAGGGAAAGGAGAATTAAAGTAAAGAAGTTTAGCATATGAGGCAAAGAGAAAAGGCTGAAAACTGTTCCATCCAATAAGAATCTGTAAACGCATCCACTGGCTCTGGAGTCCGAGAATATCACGAACTTCTCTTTCAGTGAACATCACTGAATGTCTATCCTAAGTAACTTCCTACGTGGCAGGAAGGAAACTCGGCACACCCCACAGGACTTCTGCACAGAGTACCACGGCTGTGGCTGTGGGACATCCCGGCCTGCGTACAACATGGGCACAAGTGCAGATGCAGAATCTGAGCCGTCCTGGGACTACGCATTCCTGCCCCTCGCGGACACACCAGGAAGGGGACCCTTTCCCAGGCTGGAAGCTGGACACTAACAGGAAGAGTGCGTGTGCAGGATACCCACAGTGTGCCAGGAACACACAGGAAACAGAGCAAGGACAGCAGCTTCGGTGGAAATCACAGCCTCCCCACTGCAACGCAGGACACTGCAAATTCCCAGGGGCTGAAGAACTTCTAATACCACACTGTGACTTGGTGACTAAAAGAGAATTAAAATCCACACTTCTGAGTCCAAGCTCATGTGCCCTCCACCAATGATGCCGTGTTTGAGCAATGCACACACCATTCGGCATGGGGCAAAAGCCAACCCTGCCCTGTGCCCTGGTTTCCTTACCAATAAAACGGGAGGATAGAATGGATACCTCTTAGTTCCCTCCCACCTCGAAAATTCTATGATCCTATCTTGAGTTAAAAGAGAGAGAGAAGATAAGTGTTTGAATTTTCCTGGCAAACCAAAATGTCTGCCTGATGTTTGTTTCACGGTACCAAGTACGTACATCCCACATGTATTTCTCAGTGGCGGGAAGAAAGCCCCGGAGTATAATCTCTGAAGTCTAACGCTTTTCACAGTCTAATAAATTCATTCTGGAAGGTCAGAAAATGTAGCACTCTGTTCAAGCAAATATCAGCATGCATGCCATGCATAGATTATCAACGCTGAAAGAATCAGAATACAATAAAACGTATTTAGGAGACACTATTCTCCTCATAATTTAATCTTCCTCTGATAACTCGGAAAGCACATGAGGACACCCAGGGCCCTGTGAACAATCACCGTCGTGTTCATGTGTGCGGGAGCGCGGATTAAGAGTGGGCTCCGGTTGCTAAGATGCTGACTACATCACAAGGCATTCTGCATGTGACTGTCAACTACATCTGAATATTTTTCTGGAAGAACACTGCTGCATTTTTATACTAAACAAGAATTTAATATCAGGGTTTTCCAACTCATACTTTACTCCCAACGAAAGGAACTCCTCAGAACTCCGTACAGGGTAAAGTCACGGAGGATGTCTTCTCTCCAGGTAGAGCCCTGGAGAGCCCTCTGCAGGGCACACCGTGCCAGCTCTTCCAAAGCCTGCAATCGGCCTGCAGCTTCCTGACCTCGGTCTCCGTTCTTCTGAATTTCTGTCTCACCAGATCCCACTCTGGTTTTGTTCTCTGGATGTTCTATGGCTCCTTTTGGTTAGGGAAAACACCCCAGGGAGCCCTGTCAGGCCTGGCATGGGCCACATGGCGGACAGTAGCTCTCACTTTTTGGGGGCACCTGACTTCAGGACAGCCTGTCACCCCTGCACTTCAGGAGCACCAGAGCAGTCTATGTGTGAACATTTATTAGATATTATGCAAGATGAGCCTGGGGCTGTGGCACGACGAAGGAACTGGGCAGAGCCCGGCCGAATGAACCTGTCTGGATACTAAGGGGGGCTGGCCTTCTGCTTTTTACCTTTACCCATTCTGCAAGCTCCTGTTTAATAGAGGGCCCCAATGCCACCAAGACCCCCTCAGAATGAGGACATCCCACAGCTCCAGGCCATGGAGTGGCGTTTGCCATGAAATTGTTCCCAGCCGTGTGTGCTTTCCTTCCCCAGCTGAACTGGATGCTATTTCCTGCCTACACTTGGAACTTCCCTTGATGAACGCACTTCACTCGTTTTCTCTCCTCCTTGGTCCACAACCTCTTTCTTTGAATCGTTTTGAGCCTCTCGTGGGACCCATGATGAACACTGTGTGAGGACAAGCGCTCCTCCCAACCCATGACTTGGCTTCAGAGAGAGCTTTGCCCGTGTTGCGTCCAAGCCAGGACACCGCTGAGTCCCCGAGAGACTCAGCATCGCGAGTGGATTCAGCTGCAAGGTCAGTGCGCGAAGGTATTGTGAGAGCTCCTCCTGCTCTACCTTGAAGAAACGCTTAGAAGAAGTACCATATAAAGGTTGCCCACACCCAGCAGGCTTGGCCGCACAGGCAGACACCCCTCCCAGCTCACCCCCTCATTCCATTCTCCCTTCCGCTGGCCAAATTCACCCTCAATCCTGTTTCAACGGGTAAACACATCCTCCAGGCCAGGTGCAGTGGCTCACACCTGGAATCCCAGCACTCTGGGAGGCTGAGGCGGGTGGATTGCTTGAGACCAGGAGTTCAAGATCACCCTGGACAACATGGCAAAACCCCATGTCTACCAAAAAAATACGAAAATTAGCCACGTGTGGTGACCGCCTGTAGTCCTAGCTGCTCTGGAGGCTGAGGTGAAAGGATGGCTTGAGCCCGGGAGGCGGAGGTTGCAGGGAGCTGAGATTGTGCCACTGCACTCCAGCCTGGGTGACAGAGCAAGACCTGTCTAAAACACACACACACACACACACACACACACACACATACCGTCTCTCACCCTCCCTAAGCTATTCTAATTGCTGTCTGTGTTCTATCAGAAAGAAAGAAGGACAGTTGTTGAACCTCTGTGCCCAGCCGCATGACTGCAGCCTGGCCTTCCTCACAGCCAGCGCACCAGCACGGACAGCCAGCCAGCCTCCAAGCACGTGCTCAGCAAACACCTTACAGCAAAAGCCTCAGTGCGCCTGGTGACAGTGGAAAGAAGATGGGCTCTGAGGACGGGGCTGCTGGGCGGCAGGGAGGCAGCCAGCGAGGGGACGGGAAACGTGAGACACTCTGAAGGTAGAGCCATTTCCTCCTTTAATTACCTTTCCTTCCCTTGACCATATTTTTTTTTTCTTTGAAGACTCTTTCCTTGATTCTTCAAATTGCATATAATACCAAGGCACTTGTTCCAAGCACTTTTTTTATTCTATTGAGTCATACAATTTGCCATTATGTTGATCAAAAACAGTTGAACACAATGGTCCTTTGTGGGACAGGGGTGACTGATTCCAGGACTCCCCGATACCAAAATCCAGGATGCTCAAGTCCCTGGTGTAAATGCCTGCGTGTAACCCACGCACATCCTCCCGTACACTGTAAATCATCTCTAGATTACTTATAATAATGCAATGTAAATGCTCTATAAATTCTGCTGTGTTGTTTAGGGAATAACAAAAAAAAGCCTGTATATGTTCAGTACAGATATAAACATCTATTTTTCTTTAATATTTTCAGGCTGTGGTTGCTTGAATCCAAAGATGTGGAATCCACGGATACACAGGGCCAACTGTACTTGTAACTTCCCACAACATCCTCTAAAACTTGAGGGTGTCCCATCTATTGAGTCGCAGTGAGTATCTAAAAAGTGAGGGTGGGTTCAACAGGATGGAGTATGGATTTTACATGACAGATATTAGCACGACAAGAAATGGTGAAAAGCGGGAGTAGTGAAATTAGTCTTGAATGATATGCAGCTCAACGGGGCACCGCTTGTGCATTATGAGCACCTCAGAGCATCCGCCATGGCCTGGGCACCAGGCATCCCAGTCCAGGCACTTCTCAGGATGGCACGAACTCTGACAGCAAATCTTCCAGAGATGTGCAGCCTCTCTGCATGCTTCTGTTATTCCTAAGTCGCCTAAATGCTTTCTGAGCAGAATTCTATTTTGGCCCATACACTGAAGGTTTGTATGTCTCCTTGCAAAGCAATATTCGTTTTTCCTTAGTGATGGTTTCTAAGCTCCCTGAGCCTACTTGTGTTTGGGAATGTTGGAAATGTTGATTTTTACAAACTCCAATTAGATGCCCTTTCACCCCTCTTTCTTACTAAAAATATTAACTTTTTATGAAGTCCAAAAGTAGACTTTCTGTCCATGCCACGTCTCTTTCTCAGTGGAGGATTTAAATCTAGTAACATATTCCCAATGACTGACTTTTTTTCCATAATTTTGCACTTCTACTATTTTAAGTCAATAACGAGAGCTGCTGTGACCAAGTCTTATGTGGGGATAAAAGTAACATGAATATCAGAACACTTTCCAGAGGAATAGATGGCAACATTCAACTGACGAAACATGTTCCATAAAAAAAAAGGAGAGGAGTTTCTTTCACTTAATCTAATAATGCAAATTATTTCCAGATCCAGAAACAGCATTCAAATCAATTCCCAGATGTCAAAGAAAATGTTCGGGCAAAATTATGGCACAACTGGGTATTACTGGAATGGTCGCATAGATCTGAATTCTAATTTCAACTGTGCTCCCACAGGCAGGCTGGCTGCTGCTTGTAAGAACCACTGTGATCTTTCGTTCCTCAATTCCCACACAGACACTCTAACAGTGTTAACCAATCATCCCATCAGAGTTCCATGAGAATTTAAAATAACCTAACACTTAAAGAACTAAGTAATCTTTTTAGTAACAGGAAAGGCAAGCATTTCCCAAAGTTGCGTGTATTTTTTCAGAAAAAGAAAGGAATGCTGCAGATTTAAATATGAGATTCAAAATACCCAGTTTCTTTTCCAAGCTAGCCCTGTGAAAGACCTGGGCCAAATCCCACAAATCACAGTGTTTTGAGAGTAGTTAAATCAATGGAACACGGTCTCTCTCTCCTTAAAGAATATCCATGAATTAGTAATTTGTTGCTACACTAGACCATTAAAGGCAGCTGTTGTGAGTGAAAAGTTGGTGTTTTTAGATAGAAAGATACTGTCCTTTGGGATTACGGAAAGTGACCCACATACACCTACAGGGCTCTTCCATGTTTCATGCCTCTGTCGAGCCATAAATTTCTGTCCTCTCTCAATAAGCTGAAATATCCTATTTATTCTATCACCAACTGTTTGTTACATTCAACTATGATACATGTCTTGTTATAGAATCAGCTGAGGTCTGTATTAACTTTCTCAAAAAGTTACACATAGAGAAAAATATATATAATGTCTTTAAGACATAAACAGTAGTCTCTAAAATTTAATGAGCCTGAAAAAAGAGTACCTTCCAATTTATGATGGGAATCATTTGATCTTTCCAACTTCTTGATTTCTAAAAGCACTACTGGATTAGCTTACTATGAATCAGGTGACCACCATCATAATCAATGGGGTGAGTGAGGCCCAAGAGCTTTTCCAAATATTAAGAATATTTCTCTTAAAAGTGAAAAGAAAAAAAACCCATAGTCCTAGCCCAATATTTTGTCCAGCATGTGCTCCAAAAAGTAGACAGAGTATTACTGGAACATAACCAGTAAAATCTGTATTTATAAAAATAAAAAAAGAACACCGAGAATTAAACTTAAAAGAAGTCAACCAGGGGTCACGATGGGGTCAACCCGGTTTCACATGACAAATTATTCAAAAAATCCAAAAGTGTTCATTGAATGAGCACAGCATTTTCAGAGAAGACCATGTCCCCCTGCTCCTCCCACGGGGACCAATGACTAAAACGCGAAGTTAAAATACGCATTACTGAAAAGTCATTTATCTATGTATACACTCATAACCTGTGCGTGGATTCAACACAAGTTTTGCTACAGGAGAAAAGACTTGCCTTCTACATCTTTGTTGACTCAATATGCATTTCAGTGTAACAGACCCTCACATAACACACTGTGTAAGACGCTAATAAACTCTGTCCAGGTTTGGCCAAATCTCTAATAAGGAAAAATGACACGGTCTTCTGTTTTGTTGTGAAATAATACAGCACAGCAGTCATCTTCTTCACCACAGAATATAAACAGCCCTGCCCCGGGCTTGGATTTCTATCACTCTTAACAGTCCAGGTAAAAAGCAACAGTCAGTAACGGCGTTGCAGAGAAGGGAAAAACATCTTTGGCTTTGTGGAGAAACATGCAAGTTCTCTAACTGAAACATCACTTTCCACTTAAAACAATTATGCAAAGCAAAAAATAATAAAAGAAATATCAAAATGTTTAAAATTTATAGAAAGTAGGAGAATTATGAAAACAAAGTTGGCCAAGCATCTTTAAATATTTACATGGCTATGTGAAAAGTAATCTGTTCCAATTAACTGTCTCTAAACCCACAGGGTTACTTGAATCCAAGAAGATTAATTATAACTGCACACCAATTTGAAGATAGTCTTCTACCCAGCTGGAGTGGAGGAAAGTGTGTGTGTGTGTGTTTGTGTGTGTGTGTGTGTGTGCGCGCACGCGCGCATGCATCGTATGGTGAGAACTGGGTCTGAAGCAGAAAAAGAAGGGGGTGAATGTCTCAGAAGGGATCCATGATGGTGTTCTTTGCTCAGAAATTAGGATTACAGATGCTCAGGTGAGACCATCAACCCTAGAGGTCAAAGGTGTGAGTATATGCAAACACTGAAAGGGGCTCCAAGGGGAGCTGATGGGTGTCTGTGTCTGCACTCCAAAGTGCCAGTTCCAGATCCATACTGGGGACAGATTCCTGGGTGTGGGGGACCCTGGGCACAGGGACCCTGGGCAAGGGCACAAGGCCACCCGGGTGTGGAGTCCTGAGTCCCAGGGTTACCTGAGCATAGGCCTAGCTGAGTAAAGGGCCACCGGGTAAGGGGCTAATGAGCGAGCCTACTTGAGTATACGTTTACCTGGAAGCAGGAACCCCCTGAGCCTGGGATCCCAGGACCCAGGCCACCTGGGTACACTTGCTCACCTGGTGCAGGTTCAGGGGCGCCCTCCTCACCACTGTCTTCGGCAGCCTCGTCGGCCAGGCCAGAGCCCGGGGAGTCAGCAGCGGCACAGGCGGAGCCAGGGCTGCTGGGCTGGGAGGCCGAGTCACCCTCACTGAGTGATCCGCAGCGGGCCCGCGCCGCCCTGTCCCCGTCACTGTCCCTCTCGCGGCGCGCGCGGCGATGCACGCGTGAGTGCAGCACCATCTGATGATAGGTGCGGAAGATCTTGCCGCACTCGAAGCACTCGGAGGACTTGCCCTGGCCGGTGGTGGCTGCGGCCCTGCGGTTGGGGCGCGCGGCCGAGCGGGGATCGAGGTGGCCGGCGGGCGCGGGGTCCCCAGGCCCGCTCGCGCGCTTCCGCGGGGGCCCCTGCGCGGCTGGTGCATCCTGCTCACGCTTGCGCTTCTCCTGGCTCACCAGGACGTACTCGCGCCTGTCCTTGTCGAAGGCCACGTCCCCGGCCAGCGCCTCGTCCCAGGCCCCGTACTTGAGGTACTCGGCCGGCTCGGCCACCTTACCCCGCGTGGCCAGCTGCCAGGCCTGGTAGCTGTTGACCGGGTCCAGCTCAGCCACCCGCCGTCCGGCCTGCGTGCCAGGGCACGAGTCGCCGGCCGCCGACGGCCTCAGGTTCAGGCACTGGAGGAAGAACTGCTTGGTGTCCGAGGGCCCCTCCGCCCCCTCCTCGGCCGGGGCGCGCGTGCGGCTGGCCTCGACTCTGCGGTGGATGGCATTGTGGGCGTTCAAGCTGTCCAGGTTTGTAAACAGGTTCCCGCACTTGGCGCAGACCTCGTAGAGGCTCAGGCCGGCGACGATCACCTCCTCCTGGACCACGTTGTTGATGGTGGCGATGGGGTCCAGCTCACTCTTGGGCCTGTTCTTGCTGCCCGTCTTGGGGCCGTGCGCCTTCATGTGGTTCTTGAGGAACCAGGGCTCCTTGAACCTACGGCCGCAGATGTGGCAGCCGTGGTCGAAGGAGCCCCGGTGCTTCTTCATGTGCGCCTTCAGGAACCAGGTCTGGCTGAAGGCCTGGCCACACACCTCGCACGGGAACTCCCCGGGGCTCAGCTCGGGCTTGCCGTTCTCCACGCAGGCCTCGCCGCTGCCGGGCCCCTGCGCGGTGATGTGGTCCCTCTCGATGTGGCTCAGCAGCGACTCCTCCCGCAGCGTCGCGTAGCTGCACAGCCTGCACTTGAACGGCTTGTGCGCCTGGTGCACGTGCAGCTCCAGGTCCTTCTTACGCTCGAACTGGCTCTTGCAGAAGGAGCACTGGACCGCTGCCTTGGCCTCCCCCGGGGCGCATGCGGACCCCTCTGCCCCCTTCTTGCTGCTCCGCAGCAGGACTCTGCCGCTGTCGGCCTGCGAGGCCCCGTTCAGGACCCTGGCGCCGTCGGCCTGCGAGGCCCCGTTCAGCAGCCGGTTGCAGGCCGAGGCGCTCTTGGTGGGGCTGGCGCAGGCGTCCAGGCCCTCGGAGGCGCGCATCTCACCCAGCGGCGCCTCGCCCGCCTCCGGCTCGTGTCCCTGAATCAGAGTCCCCGTGCGGTGGCTCCGGATGTGAATCTTCAGGTTGCCCTTCTGGGAAGCCCGGTGGTCGCAGTAGGGACACTTGTAGGGCTTCTCGCCCGTGTGCTTGCGCATGTGCTGCGAAAGCGAGCTCTGGAAGGGGAAGCTCTTGCCGCAGATGCAGCAGGTGTGGCAGGTAGCCTTGTCCCCATCCACCTCGTGGCCCCGGCCGGCCCTGGTGGGGCTGGGGCCTCGCCTCAGCTCCATCTCGGCCTCTCTGTTGCGATCCATCCGAAGGACGGGCGCGGCCGGTGGTGGCGGCACAGCTTTCTGTCGCGCGGGCTGCAGGGACCGTCCTATCTCTCCATGGTCAGAAGAGCCAAAAGACGTGCCTGCTCCCAGGAGGTGCACCTTCTACATGGGGGGCGCAGCAGCTGGCAGCCAGCACCTGAAACAGAGATGGAACATCATCAGCAAAGCTCCTGGCTAAGAGGGCACAGGCATGGCTGCGGGAACCCCCACATGCTCCCCAAAACATACCCATCCAACCCACATTAAGAAAAGCGGCACCAACAACACTTCACACACAGGCGAGAGCAGCTGCTTGCCTTAGTAAAAAATCAGTATCACTTAATTATCAATAATGAACTATGTTAAATGATTAACATAAATGTTAATGATTGTGCACCAAAATAATTTTCTTTTCCCAATAAGGTATCAAATCTTTAGGAGAGACTGTAGTACCAGAGTGTGTAGGAGTGTGAGGAATACCAGCTACTTAGCAAGACCATGTGGGAATTAGGGACAGAGGAAAGCAAGGTTTAGGAAAAGGGCAGGAATAAGAACAGGGGCCAAGTTCCTGGGCTGATGGAAGGTGAGCTGCACAGGTGGTGACAACAGTTGACGGCACTTCACACACACAGTCACGTGCCACTTAGCCAATGGGATACGAGCTGAGAAATGCATTGTTAGGCGATTTCGTCCCTGTGCAGACATCCTACAGTGGACACACACACCCGCAAGATGGCACAGCCCGCAACACACCTAGGCTGTATGGTGAAGCCACAGCATCCTCCTAGTGAGGCTGGGTCTGCTCCTAGAGATTGTGCCCAAGCCTGAAAACAGTGAGCATCAACCACCCTGCATGGCCGCCACCTACATGCCCATCCCACCCACCAGAGGGTGAGGAGGGCAGAGGCCCACTCCCTCCAGGCACACAGGCAAAGGGCAGCCTGCCAGAGAGTAGCTGTGTCCAGCACGGAACAGGCCCCCACCAAGGACGAGGGACGCATGAATCAAAATGCTTGTATCCAACCAAAGAGGCCTACATGGTGCAAGGAGAAAAGCAACTCTTCAGTAAAAACAGGAATCCCACCTGACACAGGGTAAGTAAGGTAAAGCAGCAGAACGATGAGCCAGTTAGAAAGGATGTGAGAGATGTCGAGTCTCTCAGGTCAGCGTCTGAGTGTTCAAGAGGGAGGGGCTGCACAGACAACTCCCCGGGGACAGGCTCTGCTCATCTGCTCATCTCTGCATAGAACAAATCCATTTCCTGCTTCCAAGGGTCCAGAGAGGGTCTCCCTTCTGGGGCCGGCTCCAGACCTGCACAGAGAGGCACCCAGATGGGCCATGTTCTGAAAACCCAAGTGATTTCGCATAGAAAGGAAGCGTGTTTGTATAAGCCTACAATCTCACACACACTAAGAACTCCTGCTTAAACATCTATAAAACCCAAAGCAGCTCCATATTTCCGGCTGGGAAGCACACAACACATTAACACACAGCTTCCATGAAAGATGACAGGGCCACCCACGAAAAGACCTGGGGTGGCAGCTCCCTGTTTGCTCCGAGTTTTGCAGCCTCCCAGGTTTTCATGGAAGCAGATGGGACACAGAAAAGAATACTGATAATAGACCTGAGGGGGTGAAGGGGCATGAGCTAAAAAATCAGTGTCGGTGTCAAGAGTGTCCCCATACCTCCCCCACGGGGGTCGGGGATTCTGAGCATTTTGTATTAATACTTCAACTCCCGAGGGCCCAGATAACAGCAAGACAGGAGCCTTCTGAAAAGACAGACCCCATGCTGTGCCCTCTCACAGGCAAATACAGCGCCAGGTAGAAACCTTATCAAGAATTATAGGCTTCACAATGTCTTTCCAGAAAGCCCCGCTTTGGAGGCGCCTAAGGAAACACGAGCAGCCTCAGCAGCAAATGAAAAGCAGCAACACAGAGGTTCTGCTCCTTCCTCCAGGAACGCACCCAGCAGAGCCATGCAACAGAGCGGGCATGAGAGAGATGCCCACCCAGAGGAGCCAAAACCCACTTGCTCCAATAAAAAACAACAATTAGCCAGGCATGATGGTGTGCACCTGTAGTCCCACCTACTCGGGAGGCTGAGGCAGGAGCATCGCTTGAACCCGGGAGAGGGAGGTTGCAGTGAGCTGAGATCATGCCACTGCACCCCAGCCTGGGTGACAGAGCAAGACTCCATCTCCAAAAAAAAAAAAACAACAACAACATTAAAACTTCCCCCAAAACTGGAGAAGTAAATAAGCTTACCAGGAAGATTTCTTAATGACCTTTTACTCCAAGCTAATTTAAATGATTTTGGTCTTGGCACTCATTGTGGATGGCTGTGTAATGATTTATGATGATTTTACAAGGCAAGTGATTCACAGGAAAGCCTCGTCCTTCCCCAGGCCCCAGTTCACTCCCCCACAAAAATGCTGAATCTGATATTCAAAGTATGAATGAAACACACTATTTATATCTAACTTAGTGACTGGATGTGGTATAAAAACCTTACAAGTGCGAACAATCATATAGAAAATACGTTTACAGGGAAGAAAAGAAAAACAACTAAAATCCTGGAAATTGGTGGCTCTGAAATAATTGTACAGACTCCCCTGGACCTCCAACGTTTGTCTATAAAGGATGTTAAATGTCAAGACACTTCTCCAGTTCGAGAGAATTCAACTGCCAGAAGCCAGCTCCAGAGACAGGATTCACCCAGGAGGAGCCCAGGCCTGGTCAGGGCCGTTAGAGACAGCCCTCGAGTGCAGCATGAAGCAAAAGGAGATTTGTTCTGTGCAAAGACTCACACCAATCACCAAAACCCTGTGCTCTAGGGCTATCAGCTCCTGCCTTCTTTCAGAGCAGCAGCTCCTGGGGTCTGCGCCCAGAGAAGCGGCCTCTGTGCCAGCCAGCTGTGTGCCAGCAGCTGTGCACCCGTCAGCGTGCAGGTCACAGGGTCATGGCCAACACAGGGCATTCAGCACAAAGTGCACACGTGCAGTTGGGAACCCTGGTCCCAGCCCTCATGCTCCCAGTCACCAGCCACATGCCTTTCTAGGCGTGTCCTTCACGCCCTCAACTCGTCCCCTCCTCTGTCAGGCACAGAGAAACAATAAGAAGAAGCCACATGTCACCGAAGCCCCTTGCAAATGCCTCCTTCTATAAAATCCAGTGACCCCCTCAGAGCCCACAGCATCCAGACCCCAGGGACATCCAGGCAAACACACACCTGGCACTTAGGCCCCTCTTCTCATCCCAGGCAGCTTCCTACCCTGCAGGTACCCTTCCAGGAGTGCTGGGGAAATACAGACACTCTCGCTCGTGGATCACCAGAGCCCCCAAATACAGCCCCATCTAGCCCAGCTCAGCAGCACAGCCTCGGCATCCTGGGCCATGACCACGGCTGAGCGGAAGATGGCACAGTATCAAGGAGCATGGCCCTTGTACATCTGAAAGGCCTTTGTGCCAGCATCGGACCCATCCAATCCTTGCACAGCCTTGACTCCCCGGTACCCCCGCCCTAGCTAGAGCCTGAACCCTGGCCCTCAGGCACCCGGTGACTAGAGAATGCAGTCTCCATTTCCTTAAACTCACTTAAAAGCTTTCCCCGAAACTTGCAGAGCCCTGCAATTTACAGGCAGACGTTCAAGGAGCAGCATCCACGATGCTCTGCGATCAACAAAGCAAGCTCTTCCTTCTTTCCTATTTCCTGCTCACTACCTCTCCGCCTGTCCCATCTTTCAAAAATAAGACCTGCTGTAAATCCCTGTGAGAACTGCACAGGATGTGTTTTTAGACTTAAGAACATTGTGAAGGGAAAGATACATAAATGTAGAAATAGAAAAAGTGCTGAGACAGTAACCAAGTTAAGCCCAAACCGCCATTATCTGAAGGACACGTGAGCAAAGCTGCCTCTGCCCAGGGGTTGATTAAGTGATCCCCTCCTGATGTCCACAGTTGACTAGCAAAGTTTCTCAAACCTTAAAGAAACAGTCAAAAATTAATTCCCTGCAACGAACTCTCCTAAGGGGTTACTCAGTGGCCAAATCAAAAGATCTCTGTAATCATTCTTTTTAGCTGCAGGCAAAAATTGCTATTTAAGACAAGGGCATCCCTTCCAAAAAAAGAACAAGAATGCTGTCCTCAGAGCTTCCAACTTCAAAACACGCCATGGGCGGCCGCCCCAATTAGGAGGATTATTGGGACGTCAGCGGCCCTGCTGGCACGACGGGCTGTGCTTTAAATCCCGCCAACCCCTGTAAGCCAGGAGGGTTTCGATGGGATGCCTCCTCCACCTTTATCCTGGTCCCTAGTGGGGCGTGCCTCACGTAGGAGCAGCGCCGTGTGATAAAGTGCTACCTACCTCAGTTCCAGCCGCAGACATTTCCGTCCTGGGCTGCTCTATTCCACTTTCTCAAACGCACGCCAAATACAAGTTGTTCCAACTCTCCCTGTAACACACGGGCCTGGAGATAACCAGCCTTATAAAACTTGTGCATGTGAGCCTGCCACCCAAACCACAGGGAATACGGAAAGGTTCTGCAACAACACAGATGCTCAGAGCCAAGGTGGAGGGTACAGCATGTGTCCAGCTGACATGCAATATGGCGCCCACGCACCTCGGACGGCAGGGACCCATCTGAACACATGGTGTGCCTGTGTGTTCAATCACAGATTTGTTGTTCTGGTAAGATGTATTACAAACTTTTTCCAAGGCTGGAACTGGGAACATGCCAGACAAAACCGTAATTTAATTGTTTAGGCATAAATATGACTTGCTGACTAGGGTTTTAAAGCAGATTTCCAATGGATCTCTTGCTGTATGTGAGTGTGTGTGAGTGTGTGTGTATGTGTGTGTGTTTCTCCAGAGATGTAATCAACAGTTCAAGGCCACTTTTTTTAAATGCCTTATATAATTTTTGAAATAAATTTTTTTATTTCATTTTGAAAAACTTAGGTAACAATCACATTTATTAAAAAACAGGAAGTAAAATGTTTGAAAAAACTGTTTACTCATAACATAAAAATACATTGTAACGGAGAAGGGGAGAGTCTGAAGAAAGGACAAAATATAAAGTAGAAAATATGTAGCTACATTTTAAAACTAACCATGTAAACATCAAAAACATCTAAAGACATATATATTAAGGCTGCTGCCATACCTTTGGATATTTTTCTTTTTCTTTTCCTTGTCTTTCTTTTTTTGCCTATATCATACAATTGAAATTAAATGACTTTCTCCAGATTACTTACATTTGCTAAATTTGGGATACATTTACTCTGTAGGCCAGTATTTCAACTAATCAATCCCTTCTGTAAGTGAGGAAGAACTGCCTTTTTGACCTAATAATACAGAGCAGAAAAGTCACTTCCTGACACACGCCCCGGTAAGCTGCTGAAACACTTCCCGGTGTGAAGAAATGTGTACCCAGGGTTAACCCCACTGACACTACAGAAACTTCTTTAGAAACAAGCACTGCAAAGCCTTGATACAACACATACAGCCAGAAAGAAAACCATGTTCACAAAGCCAGGGGGTATGTACAGCGCAAACATAGCGGAAGCAGTCTCTGTCCACATCCCCGAGGAACTTCAGGTGACGGCAGGCTCCTTAGAGGTGTTCCAGTCCTAGGGCGGTGCGGTCAGGGGCTAACGAGGGTATCCCTGCAACAAGCACTTCCTGAGCACCTACCAAGTGCAAGGCCTCGTATCAGGAGCCAGAGAATCTAAGATGACTCAAAAAAAGCACCCGGCTTCAAGGAACTCAAAGTCAGACAGGGAAGCATACTATTATCAAAGCGTGCTGGCAGCGCACCAGTAAGACAAGGAGAAGTTTCCAGAAGGCCAGGAGGGAAGCGATTCACTATATTTGCAAGGATTGGCCAGGTTTTCCCCTGGGAACCTGAGGCTCACCTGGGAACCACACTGGTGTGGCTTGAATTCTAAGTACTTTTCATGACCCAAGCACAAAACACCAGGTCCTCCCTGGCTCCTCCCTCCCCATCTCAGCAGTGCCCAGTAATAACCCCACATCCTGTCGGCTGCACCTCCCAACTCACTCTTGAATCCATGTGCCCAAGTCAAGCCAAAGCCATCGTTCCAGAGCACAGATGGGGCCGGTCTCCACCAGTCTCCCAGCCCTTCAGAGGCTCCCCAAGTCTGCAAGATGAAGCCAAACTCTTCACCTTGGCTTCTCAGGGTCTGAACCCCATAGCTGCCCTGGACCCCGGTGTCTAGAGCCCTGAGCCCTACTCCGGCCCAACAGCCTCCCAAGTACCCATGCTCATGCTCTCCTCTGGCCCTCAGGCCTGCGTCCCTGCCCCACCTGTCATGAGGCTGACCAACCACCACCCAGGTACAGTACAGCCTTCCTGACCTCCTTCAGCCAATGATAAGAGTCTGGTGACCCAACAAGTTGTGAGAGGCAGCCAGACTACCTGGGATTAAAACCCAGTTCTGCCACTACCTGAGGTCAGCTGTGTGACCCTGAGCAAGTGTCTTAGCCTCTCTATTCCTCAGTCCATTTCTTCATCTTTAAAATGTAAATGATAGCAATGATATCTATTTTATCATACTCCAGTAAAATTTAAATTAATGCATACAAGCCACAATGTTTACTACACTGTAAATCTTCAATCCATCTTAGACGGGATTAATAAGTAATTGTTCAATAAGTGAATGAAATATCAGTGCAAAGGTACTTGGTCACTGGCAATGACAATACATGGTTTAATAAATGCAAAAGGACAAAATAGCAGCTAGAAAGCTGGATTCAAAATAGCTAAATAGGAACACCTCTATATTCACTGGGCCCTTATGGTTTATACAACAACAGGTTATTTAACACAATTAAAAAGTCTTTGACCAACACCTATAATCATCTACAACGAGCACATTCAAACATATTGTAGCTCCAGAACTCTTCGTAGAAATTAAACCTCAATATGGACTGGATATTACAGGATATTTGAGAACTACTGTTACTTGTGTTAAGCTGGTAATATAGGAGAGTGGTCTTATTCTTTGGAGATGTGTAATGAAATATTTAGAGTTGGTTTTTACCAAAGAGAAAGAGAGAGACGGAGAGAAGGCAAATGTACCAGAATGTTAACAACTCATGAAACTAAAGGGGGGGGGGTGTTTATTTCTAACTCTTTCCATTTTTCCAAATTTGGCAAACTTTTCCTAAAAGTTAAAAAAATAAATCCTACTTGCCACTCCAGTAACACAAAAGCAAAGCAGCTCTGAGGGACCTGGTAGGCCTCTTCCCCTATCTGCCCCTCCCCCTCCCCCACTCCCCACCCTCCCCAGGCCCCACAGAAGCTCCAGGGCTGTAATAAATGCAGGTTGGGAAACTACCTTTAGTTAACTCAAGTTTTCCAAAGAAAGTCAAAGAAAAATCGTCTGAATAATAGGAACCTGGTTCAATTGAAAAGCAGTGTTTTATTTTAAAAGATCGCTTTCTGATGTTTTAGAGGCTTGCCCAAAGCCATTAAAGAAACCCACCCACGGGCTCCAGTTGCAAAGCCTTCTGTGGCCAACACGAACTCTCCCGAACATCAGCCAAAATTCAGTGTATTCTGGCATTCTGAGTGTATTCTGGCATTCCTAACTATCCTTCCCAGCACTTGACGAAGTAAAAAATCAGCAACGCGGTGCAGGTTTCCTCTTCCTTATTTTCAACAATAATGTTCTGACCAGTTAAATATGGCGTTATCAGGGAAAAACTGTAAAACATCTTACATTTTAAAATAATAACTATGTCTCTGAATCGACAGGAAATCTTGCCATTTTCTGCCTGTGAATTAAACCAGTACAAAACAAAAGCTGAATGGTTGTGTACTGATTTCCCTACAACTACCGAAGTTGACCTTATTAAAACCTTATCCCGAAAAAGGCACCGGAAGGCTAACCAAATATGCTCTCGTATTTAGAGTCATTTCCTCAACAATCGAACGCTTAAAGTTGCGGAAACCAAGCAAAGCTGACTGGGAGACACCAGGGAGGAACAAAGGAGCGAGAGGAAAACTGAAAGTCCCGTTTCCTGCACCAAGTCCCCACAAGCAGCATGTGTCAGGGGAGGGAAGCAAAGCTGAAGTGGGTGCTGCTTTCCAAATGCCTATCTAGCTTGGCATTTTTTTCAGTTCTGGTTCATGAATTAACCTTATCGCGGTCCCGAAACAGCCCTGGCTCCCCCGACGCCATGTGGCTTTACTTATCCCCGTCTGCGTCCTCTCTGACCACCTTCCGGGGGCGGGGGGGGCACCGATGTCAGCCCGGGATGGATGTCCGCGGGTGCAGGGGGGTGACAGCCCGGTCCTGCGCACATCTCCGCTGACAGGGCATTCCTCAGGAGGGGCTGGAGTGAACGGGAGGAATTGGGGAGGGAGGGAAAACGCCAAAAAGCTCAAAGCAGACAGAATGCTTCCGATATTTACAGGGCTGTCTGCAAAGGCGTATGATGGCTCCAAAAGGCAAATCATAAAATCTAAAAGAGCAACTACGCTGGTGCGTTTCTGAAGGACGACTCTCAGACACGGTTGGTCCCGGCCACAGCTACTACGGGGTCGGCGCAGAAGCCCGTGCGTGTGCTGAGTGGGTGCAAGGCCCAGTTGGTGTTTGAGTATACTGTGTGTGTTTGTTCTCCGGGAAACAATGAGACGGGCTTCACTAGTTACACTGTAGTATTATGAACCATGAATTAAAATACATCATTAACATCCTGGACAAGCTTATCTTACTACTGAGACAAAAAGCCTATTCTCTCAACAAATGGGGGAAAATTCCATCACAACAATGAAGAGTTCCTCTCCCTACAAACCATTCTGTACACCAGTAACAATTACAGGCTTATAGTCCCCAGACTGGGGTCCCGAAGAGCCCCATAAAGTGATGCATTCACTATTGGGAGAGTAAGTACGGCCGATGACAGGCCTGGAGGCGGCTGCTGTTCTCAGACCAATCAATAATCCATTATGAACCAGCTACATTTCCACTCTAAGAAGAAGAAATGAATAAAAGGCGACCAGAATCGGCAGCATTCACAAGAAACTCCACCCACCTCCCCCACTAGGGGAAAAAGGACACAAAACGCCACTATCCCAGGGAGCAGCCGCCAGCAGCAACGCGGCCCCCTGACCACAACAGACCTGATGTGGGGGCAGCCAGAGAACAATGTGCTTAGGTCTTTCTGCTCAAAACATTTATTCTAGAGGTAAGTCTCCAGCCGGCTTTGTTCAGAAAACGAGGTAGAGTGAAGGAGAATGACAAAGCCCCATTTTCTAAAACAAAGGTTGTCTTTACATTACTTAGCACCCCCCAAATAAATCAAAGCAAGTGCCAGCATGCTAGTCCCCAAATGTAAGGAACTGTCCGTAATAAGGCTTTAGTACGCGAACTCTGATCCTTTAAGCACAGCCTTCTCCGGCTCTGCACCTCAGACCACGGGCTGGAGTCATCATGCTATTTATAGCCAAAATGCATATATGACCTAAATGTTATTCTTCCGCAAGTAGGTTACCTTTTATGCAGTTGTTTACCACAAACTGTCAAAAAACCCAAATTAATTCCTGGTCCAAGAGGAAAGAGAGAACTCCATCTTCCACCTAAGTTCAAATAGAAGAACATTTGCTAAGAGTAAAGACAGTATCACAATATATTCTCGAAGTCCCTTGAACATCACCAGTATGAAGCTGCCCGTGTGTCCTTTTACTGAAATATGACCTGGGGGAGGAGGGGCAGCTGAATACACAATCTAATTATGGATTACATTCAGAAAAGTCCAAGAAAAAATGAGGAAGGATACGGAAATTTTCTTTCCACAGTCCTTACCATATCCTGGGAAATTCAAGATAGTTCTAGAGACTTTTTAATAAAGGAGTGTCCGTGTGAAAATGAAGAACAGGGGGTGGCTATTTTTATATCAGAAGGGAAGGAGCCTCGTTCCCTTTCTTTTGCTCTCCAAAATTATTGCATTACTGTTACTTGTCATTTACTATTTACTATTTTCCAAGTCTTAATACTAAGTAGTTGCTTTGCCAATCACTAAAAAAGTAAACTTCACAGAACTAAAAAATAACAGGATCCAGAGCCTGCTCCATAATTTTCTGCAGATAAATGTGCTGTTTAGAGCCCCTTCGTCTGCCACAAAGAGCTGGCGTTAGGGATTTGGAGGTAAATCCAGGCTTCTGGAGCAGCCAGCATTGCTAGTATAGTTAATGATCTTGTCAACATTTCCATTAAGAGCCCCATTTCCAGAAGCTTAGAATTGCATCTCCCCCAAACCCACGGCTCAGATGAAGTCCTGTGGTCACTGAGGGGCCGCTCTCCTTCCCACAAAAACAGAACAGATCACTCGCTATTCATTACAAAAGCCATGGAAGCACTGGGTTTTCACTTTGACTCCGTCTACATCTTACACTACAATAGTTAAAGCTAAAGTTGCGCATAACTCAGAAACACTGAAAACCTAGGGAACACCAGAGAAAATGAAAACTCATCAATTTCTATCTTTAAAACAAATATGGAAAATCAGAAGGCCTTCGATGAACTGCAGCAAGAACCCAATTTAGAAGTGGCTTAAAGATTTTACGGAGCCTAAACTCAAAACTGTGGAAACTGTTAACTAATTCAGTGTCTTAATATAAAATTTCTTAAAATTTTTCTTAGAAATGATCAGCAGTGAAAACAAAACAATGGTGCAGAAACTCGTATTTTTTAACTGGGTGACACTTCCTAGTCATTACTAAACATGCTTTTTCGAAATTTCTATGAGTTATCATAAAATATATTTTAACTGAAATTTGTTTCTACAAATAAGCTGTATATACTATGCCATGTAAACCAGCAGCAAAGAACAATGTTCGCCTCCCAAACACACAGTCCTATTTTCCAACCACTTGATTAAAACCAACATTTCTCTCCCAGTATAAGAATACAGATTGCAATTAATACCTATCTGACATTCTCTTGTCCCTCTGTGCTTTTTGTGAAAGACCCTAGAAGTCCCCACCATCAAATGAAAGAAAGAACTGTGCCCAAGAATACAAAGAGAGATAATTGTATGCAGTAAGCCATAAGGCATTCTGTTAAACATTACCTTCCGATGTAGTGCTGTTTAGCACAGAAGTCAGCGCCCAAAAAAATCCCTTCATTAAGAGCTCATAGAGGAAAAACAAACACGTCAATAATCAATTTTACCAAATTCTAAGCAATTGCTTACGCATTTTTTGTTAAAAGAAAAAAACAGATACGCTGAAACTAAGAAGATTTTGATAGGATAGCTGAAAGGCGTATTGTGCAAGGAATTACTTAAGATTTTGTTTATCATTGTACAAACACCAATCAATACTTTAAGATGATCAAAATTACAAAAGGACAAATCTTTCCCAAATGCTTTACTATATATAGCACATGTACTATAACCAGTTTAAATTTTCCAGCTCCATTACTGCCAATAACGACTGTAACATGACCTAGTTTATCACTAACATACACAGCACCTTTGAAAGCAGTTGGCTATTTCAGCTGCTTAAGGAGAGTGATCTATCAGAGAATGTTTACAAAGAGCAATTCCTGACAAAAACATGATGTCACATTTCCATAGGATTTACCCTGCACTGCCTGTCTAAAAATATTTTTTCAAACACACTTAATGACACATTACTGCAAGTTCCAGGCTTTGAAGATAAAAGAAGATCTATTCTTTCCTTGCAGGAAACAAAAAAGGATAAACAAGCAAAATTCCACTACAACTCCCTGTAACAATGTTGTTACATTATTCAGCTACAAAAGTTAAGAAAACTTTGCACCTGAAGTGATCATAAACAACCTTGCAGAAATGAGGGTGGGCACATTTTTCTAAGCCAAAACATCTTGCCCAGCAACAGCTTCTGGTAAAAATAAATTTAAAACGTAACAAGGCATAATGTTTAACTTCAGAATTGCCAACCCCCGCCCCATCCCCTTGGTCCCCAAAGAGGACAGTTATCTACCCTTTATCCCAGCCTGGGTTATATGGGAATAAACTGTCACACTTTAATGGGGGAAAGCTGTCCTAAGTCAAACAGAAAGACAAACAGCAGTCACACAGTTGCTTTGCGAACATTTTCCAAGAACTCGAAGACCATGACACTAATTCAGTGACTACATCTGGATAGTCCGTTTGGTCACAGAAGGTCCATGTTTGAAATTAAGGTCAGAACAGTCACGGGTTTACGCAGTGGAAGAATGCATTCATTCTACAACCACGGTCATTTTTCCTCTCTCTTTTCCTGCAACTTCTCTCCTACCCCAACCTGGAGGCACACAGCAACACACACAACCCTAGACTCCTTTTCTCTGATTTGTCCAATGCAAATGTTGTGAACAGTTGTGCAAGGCACTGCTCAGGGACAGATGGAGGCTGGAAAGGATCACTGCCGGCACAGGTGGGGGACTTCAAGGACTCAGGCCCACCTAGGCCTCCCTGCTCCCATTCAGCAGGGTGTAAGCACAGCCAAGGGCAGACAGGAGAGCCAGGAGAAGCCCCTGGCAGCCCAGGCTTGTGTTTCCAGATACTATCACATCTGATTCAAGAAAATTACATTCACCTTCATGAAAACAAACCACAGAAACAAGTACCTGGTGAAAGAAGAGACTACTTATAAACTTACTCTCAACAGGCACGTGAGATGCGCCAATGCAAGTCTGTGTCACAAAGAGTCTGCACTTACACACGTGACACGCTACACAGAGCTCTCCATGCACAAACCTCTGTGGGAGAGAAAGAAAATGAGCATGTGTGTGCAGCTTGCCCACCGAACCAAGGTACTGAAAAATGACTCCAAAGTGTGCTTCCACCTCGATTATCTAAATGAGCTGCTATTCCATTATTCTTTAATAAACACAATTGACAGCCAGAGAGACCATTGTTACCTCCCTGTTCCCCTCCCAGAGACTGGGCTCGGCATCCTCAAACAGTCAGGTATCGTCTGTAACTCAAGGAGGATGGTAGGACCCATCAATAATGAGATGCCACCAAACTCACTCCTTCCTTTGTCACTCCAGATAAAGACAGCATCAGTGCTCGCCCCTCTTCTCAGGAGCCCTGGCGAACGTGAAACAATAGATGCTCACTTTAGCTCACGCTCCTGGCCTGACTTCTTTGGCAGCTTAAACTGCTCAAGCAGAACCTTTTTCTGCCTTGCTAACTCTGGGGCGATGAGCAGTAGTGCCTATTCAGGGACCTTGCTGCAAAACAAAATCTGGATGACTAAGAATTGGAGGCAAGAGAGATAAGCACGCTGGAGACCTTGCTCAACTAAAGGCCCCAAAATCTTGCTTCCATTTTATCCATCAATAACTAAGGAGACTGTCATCCACTTAGCTGGTGTTAAGTCACATAAACTAGTGTGTTAAAAGTCGGCTCAGGGATTAGCCTATCCCGGCCAGCCTTCTGGGACCCACAGCTTCAAGCTAAGGAGTCCACCCAAGTCCAGAGCATCAGGACGCCCTCAATGTGCTTTGTAACTTTAGCCTGCCATCCACAGCCCAGGCTTCCTCCCGGGAATGTGTGTGTGGCTCATCCTCACTGGGCCACACAGTCAACCCCGACGGTCAGAATGAAGGCGCAGGTCGAGACTCTGCTGCTGCATCTTTATCTGGGTAACGTAACTCAGAAGGCAAAACTCACTGATTCACATGGGGGCTGGGGGGTGGGGGGGGGCCAGTGGCTCCATCCTAAACACAAATACTTTCTCAGCTTTACACTTAAAATCCTTTTTCCAAGCTATTCATGCAAACATATAATACTGCTTTCAATTTCTTGTTTTACGTTTACTCTGAGTTTTGTTGTTTTCCAAAATCACTTTGCTGCATTAAATATGCATCTGTTATATTGTGCTGTGAGGCTGGGTAAATCACGCACAGGTACCACCTGTTTTATCTGCAACAGTGGAAGCCACAGAAAGGGAAGACCACAGGCTTCAGATTTGTCATCAGGCTAAATTAAGCTGACAGCACAGGAGAAGGGTTATGCAGCCTGCCAGTAAGACAACACGCAGTGAACAAAAAGACATTCCCTTTTAAGCGTGTGTAGGTATATGTTTATTACACCACATGTATGTGGCAAAGAAAATGATCTACAAATGCTCCTTGCATGTAAGATTCCTTTCTGGAAAGTTCTCAACAAGGAGCTTCAGGATTTATAAACAATTTTAAGCTTTCTCTCCTTCTTAAACTGAACATATCTCCACTTTTGATAAGCAGAGCCATATTTGTTTTCTTTGAGAAGGGCAGTTATCTCAAACTAGTTCTTAAATCCCTTAAGGGAAACTACGTTAACTAAATAAGAAATCTTCCAAAACTAAATCCAAATGCAAAATCATGCTTTAAAGAGGGATGTGGGCGGCGTCTGTAATGCCAGCTCTTTGGGAGGCTGAGGCGGAAGGATCACCTGAGCCCAGGAGTTCAAGACCAGCCTGGGCAAAAATAACAAGATCCCATCTCTATATAAAGATTAAAAAATACAAATTAGCCGAGCGTGGCAGCGCATGCCTGTGGTCCCAGCTACTCAAGAGGCTGAGGCGGGAAGATCCCTGACGCCGGGGAGGTCGAGGCTGCAGTGAGCCATGATCATGCCACTGCACTCCATCCTAGGTGACTGACTCACATCCTGTCTCAAAATAAAAATAAAAAAGAGTGATATGGGGGCAACTCCCACCACTGACTTGGGTCTCAGGGACAGAAGGGTGCCAGAAATAATCAACATTTTTTTAAACCCAAGGAGGTTCCCTTTGTAAGAACATGTCGATCCAGTCTTGGAATCTAGCAGGAAAATTCCTTTCCATGCCACTCTCTGAAAGACAGCTCACTAGGACACAAATGGAAAATACTCTTTTACTTCTGCAGAGATAAGCTTCTTCTCACCTTCAAGGCCCAATGTACTTTGCAGCTACTTATTTGCAATGATATCCACCTCGGCTGGATACGTTTGCCTCACACATCAGGCGCACCATGGTTTTAAATACGCAGAGGGCCATTTTTCTCCTGACACTTCAATGCCATCATTTACTTAGCTAATAAGTGCCACGGTAGGTCCTCAGTTAACATCATCTATAGCTTCTTGGAAACTGTAACTTGATGCGAAATGACAAACAGAAATCCTTGATAAAGTCTTTTTGTTTTAAAGCTGATGTGGAAAGGAAACATGAGTTTCATTTTACGTCCTTTCACTTAAAGTTGCAGTTTCCAAAACCCTACAGACAGCACTGTGGACCCGCAGTGCATGGAGCTCCAATTCCTGACGGGCCCAAGTCCTCACAAAAAGGTGCTTTGCAAGGAAAATTATGAAAAAGAAAACGTCAGTGGGGTGGAGTTAAAAGGTTCCTATTTTCAAATACTCTTGCGCTTCTCTCCCAAGCAAGCATCCTGCACAAGGCTCGCTCTCCCTCCCAACACAGATGTTTCGGGGGGCATTTTCTAGACAGGTACGAAGGGAATCCCGTCCCTGAGAGGACCAAGGGCACAGGAGTAGTGCTCGGGACCCTCAGGACGGGGCATGCACTGTGGGCAACGCCAGGCCTCACCGTCGTGCGTGTGCATGCCTCACCGTCGTGCGTGTGCGTGCCTCACCGTCGTGTGTGCGTGCCTCACCGTCGTGTGTGCGTGCCTCACCGTCGTGCGTGTGCATGCCTGTAGGCAATGCCAGGCCTCACCGTCGTGCGTGTGTGTGCCTCGTGTGCGTGCCTCACCGTCGTGCGTGTGCGTGCCTCACCGTCGTGCGTGTGCGTGCCTCACCGTTGTGTGTGTGCATGCCTGTAGGCAATGCCAGGCCTCACCGTCGTGTGTGTGCGTGCCTGTGTGTAAAGGTTAGAGTGTGTGACAGTGAGTGTGGAAGCAGCTGGGTGAACATGAGAGAGACTGAGTGTCATGTGTGAGCATGTGCTAGTGTGCCCGAGGGTGTGTGTGTGTGTCTGAGAGAGCACATGTGTGTGATCTCTTAACCTACATAAAAGCACTCATTCAAATACCCTACCTGGAGGCAAACACGCATGTCCACTTCCAACAATCTACCAGCAACACTCGTGCCCATGTGCCTGGATTACCAGCTTCGCACAGAGCCAGACGCTGCAGCAGTAACGGGGCGCCGGGCCCACCTGCTGCCCCTCTCCTGTGCATAGGGCGCTCTCTCCCTGCCCCGAGCTTCGGCTTCTCCTCCATGCACGGTCACTGCTGGAGGCACACTGGACCCAGTGCCAGCTCGGGAAATCCTGGGCCGGTGACAGCCCTGACCCGTGGCCACCATCCACTCAACATCATTGAGCCCTCCCACAGGCACCCAAGCTCTCTGAGGACAGCCGTCCTAGCTTCCTTCGTGGGAGAAAACTCTGGCCCTCCACTGCCGGCCAGGGAGGCCTCGCGTGCCAAGCTGGCCCTGAGCTCAGCCCAGGATTTGTGCCATTCAGGACGTGGCGGCCGTGTGCACCCCATCGGGCACCGCGTCGCCTCCCTCGGAATGTATTCCAGCACTGTCTGCCATGATGCCAACAGCAACACTTCTCAACACCAAGCCTTTAAATGTCCAGCAGCTCCACAGCCCGAGTCAGAGTGGCCCAGCCTCCCCTGGACCTGATGCGGGGCTTCAGGAAGTGGCAGGGCAGGAGGTAGAACCGGAAGCCTCACGCTACACCAGGCACTGCTCCTGGAGCACAGTGGGTATCCCATCACAACGCGGGAGGATTCAGGGCCAACTGCAGGCCCCCGGAGACGAGGTTAGACGGTGGCAGGCAGGCTAAGAACAGGCGATCCGGCAGGCACAAGAAGGAACATACTGATGATAAGGAAACGCCGGGTGGGGTCTTTACGTAGGCAGCCTCCTTGGCATCGGGCAGGTCTGTCTCACCAGTCCCAAATAATGAATCATGTCCACTGCACTAGAATGCAGTCTTTTAACCACTATCAACATACGCCAAGGAATGCTTCCACTAACAAATGGGAAGAATGCCCAGAAAACACCGCACTGCATTTCTGGACCAGGACTCGTTCTGTTGGAATGTGCCTACCAAACACAGCAAGGGGCGACACTCACCCGAAGGTTGAAACATGCGGAACTCCGATGACTCCTAGTGCTGTTAGCAATCATAAATCCTCATCCTGGCACAGAGCACAGGAGGCACCTCTGCCTGCACTCACCGTCCAGGGCCCTCCTCCGTCTCTGCGATGCCACCCTCATTTCACAGACGAGGACGCTGAGGGTCAAAGCTGTGAGCCACATCCCTCGACAAGGCTGTGAGCCCATTCCCTGTCTTCCTGCCTCCCTGTTACCACCTTCCAGGCCCCCGCTCTCTGGTGCCTGGAATGAGCATTCTGGAGTTGTCAGAACATTCCTTGACCTTCCAATAAAAGGGGTACAATCTAAATACAAAGTAACATCCGGGGCTACAAAAGCGACCACTGTGGCCATCACCTATGAACCTCTAAGACCCCAAATCAACACAAAGCAAGAGGCCACACCATCCTGAGCAGCTGGCAAGTCGGCCACTGACCAGTAAAAAAACTGGGAGGAAGGTGGCTGATCGATCCTGTTTTCCTCCCTTTTTCAACGAGCCCAGTTGCTCATGAAAGACAAGTAGACAGCTCTACTCTGCTTCTGTTCAGGGCTAGAGAGGTTCTGGAATTGTGCAAGTCATGTCAGAGCACACCCCGAGAGAGAGATCACTTGCAAAAAGCTACAGTGAAAATAAGAATCAAAACTCCCAAACCGGAGAAGCCATGCCACATGATCGCCTCGCTTGTTCATGGCGGGTAATTACTTAACCCTTTGTTTTTCCAGAAGTAATAGAAGGGCCTTTTTAAACAACATACTGCCCGCCACGGTGGCTCACGCCTGTAATCCCAGGACTTTAGGAACCCGAGGCAAGTGGATCAATTGAGGTCAGGGAGACCAGCCTGGCCAACACGGTGAAACCTCATCTCTACTAAAACTACAAAAAAAAATTAGCCGGGCGTGGTGGCGCATGCCTGTAATCCCAGCTACTTGGGAGGCTGAGGCAGGACAATCGCTTGAACCCGGGAGCCGGAGGTTGCAGTGAGCTGAGATCATGCCACTGCACTCCAACCTGGGCGACAGAGCCTGACTCCATCTCAAAAAATAAATAAATAAATAAAAATAACAACATACTGAACGGGGCTGACTTATCTGCCTAAACCAAGCTCCTCCTGGACACTCCGTCATCACTGCACACTGACCATGTAATGGTGAGGCCAGTGTCTCGTCTAACAGAACACCGATCACCATGGCCGCAACAGGCACTGTGAAAAACATGTTGGCTTCCTCCGAGCCCTGTGGCACATGCCACTTCCCCACCCTCTGCTGCCTCCCTGACCAAGAGGGCCCAGGGGACCAGCGTCTCCACACACCTGGGACCAACCTGTTGGGCTACACCACTTGAGAAGCCCTGGATCACCCTATTTAATGTGGCCTTTAGAGGAAATTTGGGGGTGGAAGGAGTCATTTGTCACCTATAACTTCTGCAATTGTCAGAAATTCATTTATAGGACACAAACGTTTTGCAATCTTGCCATCCAAACGTAAAATCAGAAAACATACATCGGGTGCTTAAAATGGGCGCCTGGCACACAGTGGGCGCTTGACAAATTCAAGATCCCTTCCTCTTCAGGTCTCCATCCAAGATTCAGCAGTACCGAAAATATGCAGGGACCGCACGGGAACCAGCTTGAGGCTTGTCGCCAACAGGCGAGGGGCCCAGGTCTCATCAGATGGTCAACAGGTATCCCCCGAGTGCCCGCCATGGGCCGGACCAGCTAGCAGGCGAGAAACCCTGGGCAGCCTCACCTGGATGGGAAGGGTGCGGCGTCCAGCCCTGCAGGCGTGTGGTATGTGGGGAAACCGCTCCGCCCTCCTCCTGTGACTCTGTGGGGATGATCTTGCCCAAGCCCGGATATCAAGCGTGCGGGCCCTGGCTCCCACCCTTCCCACATCCGGTTACCTTTTAAATTAATATGACATTTTGTATATTCTTCCAGCATCTACCTTTTTTTCAAAGTGTTTCTGCCACAGAAGCGTGTTTCCAGCCTCCGCCGATGAGCGCTGGTGACCATGCCCACGGGACACACTTCCACGCCAGAGGCCACCCCATCACAGTGGGGAGCGGGCAGGACTTGCACCAGCAGCTCCAGATTTGCAAAACTCAGAGACGGCTTTGTAGGAATCCCAAGAAAACCACTTCACTACTTTAATCAAATGATGACCCAATCGATTACTGAAGAACAACACAAGACAGTTCACACCACATCTTCCTGTTCCCACAAGGGACCTACAGTCCAACACAGGCACTCCTCCAACGCCCCTTTAGTTTAGAAACATCGCCGTCAGGGCAGGTCTCAGCAGAGAGATTAGCGGTCCACCTCATTAAAGACCTGCCTGGTAACAACCGAAACCTGCCCCCGTGCGGACGCAGATGAAGCCTGCACCACACAATTCCATCACTGCGTTAGGCAGCTCTGCTCCGGCACCTCCCAGAAGAGAAGAGAGCTGTCTGCCCAAAAACATCGCCCAACTGTAATAAGCTGTGCAAACTTGGGCAAGAAAAGAAAGTGGGTCTTACTCATATGCAAGCTAATATCCTCGAGCCAATAGTTTTCCAGATCATAAAAAGGAATGGACCCCCCACCCCAGGAGCACCAAGTTCTACGATCAGCTTACACTGGCTGTTTTTCAGCAGAAAACCTCATTCACACTGTGATCCCTATGTCCTCATCAAAGTAGCCCACAGAGGCGGCTTCCCAGTTATGTGCTCTGGTTTAATTATTTTTCTTCTATTTACCATCATTTTACATTTTTCTAGCTATGCCAAGAAAAGCGACCCTACACCATAAAGTAATAACTGTTGTTTTAAGCTTGATTGAAATTCCAGGTTTGTGAAACAGAAGTCAGACGGATTGACAGGAAGGTGATCCAACTGCACCTACCTGGGCTTTCCTGGGAATGTGGAAATGCAATGACAACGCTCCCAGTTGGATGCTGGTACTCTCAGCTAAAAGTGTTCAGAGAAGGACCGAACTCCACTCGGCCTCTCTCAGATTCTGAAATGAGGAAAAGTTTAGTATTCATCTAATTATGTTTTTAAGAACCATTTGCCACTGCTTCTCTTTAAGAAAAATTAAAACAATGCCCAAGGACGTTTTGGGGCTACCGTAGGTATTTTCAGAATGAATTAAATCACCCCAAGTGGGGCTGCTGGGAAAATCCCACACAGTGTGGTTTCTAATAGGACTTCCCACATCTGTGAGGGGCAGCCAGGAGCAGGAGAAGCATTCAACAGTCACAGCACAAACGCAGCAGCGAAGGTAACCAGGACGCCGCCTAACTGTAGCAGCGGAACAATCTGCATTTAGTTGTCAATCCAGCCTATCAAAATGTCACCAGGGAACACCTGCTATGCATATGCCCTGAGCTCCTGGCATGGACTGCGCTTGGTGTGCGCATCACACTGCCGACCGCCAGAAATGCCAGGCCCCTGGGTGGCTCTCGCTCTTCTTGGGGATGGGTCTGTGGGGCGCCACCTACTCACCTCCTCCGCAGCATCTGCGTTTACAAAACACACTAGGGTACTAGGGAGCCAGTCTGTGACCGCAACGCAGACGTGCCCACTGAAATCGGTGTCCCACTTATACCTGGGACCACGGAATCCCCAGATGTTTCAGGGTGTGGCACAGCTCTCACTAGACTTGAAAGTCATTCCAAAGCGATTTGACAGCAAGCTTTAAAACAGACACTAGCAAAGTATTCATAATAAACTATTCCCACTGCCTGAGCAATAAGCAGTGCTCGAAAGCTTATGTTCTCAGTCCTGAACTACACACACTTTTCAAAAGGAAAAAAGACAGAAGAAGATCCACCGAAACAAGATCTCCCCATCACTTCCCGTTCTTTACGGCACCACGCCATGTTTCTCCATCTACAGTCTCAGAAGTGGGACTCAAGGCCGGGCGCGGGTGCTCACACCTGTCATCCCGGCACTTTGGGAGGCTGAGGTGGGTGGATCACTTGAGGTCAGGAGTTCAAGACCAGCCTGGCCAACATGGTAAAACCCCGTCTGTACTAAAAATACAAAAAAAAATTTTAGTACTTTAAAAATTTTTAATGTACTAAAGGTACATTAAAAACGTGGCACGTGGTGGCGTGTGCCTGTAGTCCCAGTCACTCGGGAGGCTGAGGTAGAAGAATCGCTTGAACCCAGGAGGTGCAGGTTGCAGTGAGTCGAGATCATACCACTGCACTCCAGGCTGGGCGACAGAGTGAGACTCAGTCTCAAAAACAGAAAGTGGGACTCACACATAGCTTGGCATGACTGGGGCCTTTGCTGTCTCAAGCTGGCATTCAGAAATCTCAGAACCATCACTGGGAAACCCCAAGAGTCATGGAGACAAAGGTGCAGAGCCCCCAGACCTATGTGGAAAGGCAGGGTGATGCGCAGTGATAGGGGACAGTGGCTCCTGGACTTGCAGGGCCTCCCTGGCACCCCCAGCCTGGCCATTTCAGATGGGGACAGTGGCCTCCTGGACTTGCAGGGCCTCTCTGGCACCCCCAGCCTTGTCATTTCAGACGGGGACAGTGGCCTCCTGGACTTGCAAGGCCTCCCTGGCACCCCCAGCCTGGCCATTTCAGATGGGGACAGTGGCCTCCTGGACTTGCAGGGCCTCTCTGGCACCCCAGCCTGGCCATCTCACTTATGGAAAGGTTAAAAAGTCTCCTTTTTTTCATGATTTAGTCAAGGCATCTTTTGAAGGGTGGGGGATGTATCATGGGAGCCTTACGCAGTTGGAGGAGCCCAAGTGGGAATGGATGCTAGAGCCCCAGTATCTTTAGTGATGCGGAGAAACTACTGGAATGCGACCCCAGGGATACAGCCGTGCATCCGATGAGGGCAGCTGCACCCTCCTCACCTTCAGGCAACCTCGAGGGGAGCCGCCAGAGGAGAGAGGCTCCAGAGGTGCCAGGGCCCAGGGCTCGCCACGCAGCTCAAGGCTGGCATGCATCGTACACCAAAATGGCGTGGTCATCCACACTATCTGCTGGACATCGTGTCTTCAACATGTGTCAGTTTTTTAAACTAAGCACAAGCTATTTTCTGGCTTAGTTTCCCCTCTTCGACAGGCCACAGGGGTTGAGACCAAGGTTTCGGGTTATGCACATCCAGAGATGCTTTCCTGCCCCTGGACACCAGCTTCAGATTTGGCAGTTACAGGTGGAACAGGGCAGAAGAAACAGAAAAGATCTTACTCTTCGACAGCAGAAGAGGAGAGATTCTCTAGTCAAGGAAACTCAAAGGAGAAAGAGGCCTTTTTAAAAATCTATTTCCTTTGGGCCAAGGGGGCCAATCTGTGTCTGAGAAAGGCTGACCCTGCGGCGTCCTTGGACAGCACACGGGAGAAATGCTCCAGGATGGAGGGACAGACAGGGAAGAAACTTTATACCTTTACTTTCAGATGTATTAACCAGTAACAGACAAAGGCAGGGCTGGAAAGAGGCGAAAATACGAGTAAATGTTTACAAGACCAACCCCTGATGTGCTGCGATGAGAAGGGCCTCTCCCTGCGGGAGAAGGTTATCTTCCTCCCGGGAACGATAACCCTGGGCTAAACCAATCAGAAAACACGCAAGAACCCAAACTGAGGGCACAGAAGTCCCTGCACCAGGACGTCACCAGGACCTGGAGCTTATGGGTTCCACAAAACACCCGGCCAGTCCTCCTCAGAAGTGTGATGGTCACGAAAACAGAGATGGACCAAGGAGCCATCAGGGACCAGCAGGGACTTGGGAGAAGGACCCGAGCGCAGCACAGGCTCCCAGATGGGCTCCTGGGACAGCAAAGGCGAAATCCCAGGAACAGCTAGACTGCGCCCAAACCCTTCTGTTCAACACACTTCCCAGTTCAAACTTCTGCTGGGCAAAGACACACCATTTTCAATTTAAAGAGGCCCCAAGCAGTCCTCTCGATGCATTTTCTGATGATCAACTGTTTCTTCCCCCTACTTCTAATGTCCCTGGGTGACGGTCTAAGCCATACTGGAAACCATCACGTTCCCTTAGGAGTGACGTTAATTCAGGCTCCGGGAGAGATTTGATTTACGACACTAATTACTGGGTTTACTCCTAGGGTGCTTCTCACAGACGGACTCCATCCCACCCGGGCGGCCACCTCGCTCTCCACTGCTCCAGGCAGGCAGGGGCACAGGGAGGGCTCTTGCAACAGAGACTCCGTTCCCTTGGGAGTCTCAGGACCTCCTGCCCCTTGAGAACAGCATTCAGGTCTCTCTGTCAGTTCCCCACTCCCATAATGGTGCACCCATGCTGCCACGTGGACGGGATGCTGGCACGGAGGCCGACGCTCTGCACGCTCACCAGGCTACCAGCATCTGTGAGGCCCACAAGGACCAAGCCAGGTGGGATGGCGGGGACACCAAAGAGGCTACTTGGCTGGCACGGCCGGACCCAAGTGCTCTATGCAGGTGCCGGGGCCGCGCATCTCCAGGAGATCTAGTCAAGGAGAAAGGCACTCTGTGGACAGGCTCTCTAGACAGCGTGGCACACAGGACGCAGTGGTGCCTGCCTGCCAAGCCTGGGATGGGTGTGAGGCAAGACACCCAGTGGGGACACGTGCCTACAGTGGGGGCTGGAAAAGTAGAGAAGGGACCCTGGACATGCACAGGGGCCACGAGGGCCATCCCTGCTGGGACACGCACAGCTGATGCAACAGGAGACAGGATGACACAGAAGTCCCTCCACCAGGGTATCACCAGGACCTGGAGTCTATGGTGGTGATGCCACGGGCGGTGAACGTGGGGAGCAAACATGGGAAGGGATGCCCTGGGGCAGGACCCTGGTTCTGCAGCCTCACAGGGAAGGACCACCCAGAGGTGCAGGCAAAGGGCCCTGGGAGGCAGGGGGGCCCCAGAGAGGCAAAACCCAGGAGACGCTGGCCTCTGGGAAGTAAAATCAGGCAGAGGCAGCCGTGGCCTCGCTGAACCTGCAGCTGACAGCCCCTCTGGGCTGGCAGGAAGTCCTGCGTGTCTCTCGGAACCTGCAGCTCACAGCCCTTCTGGGTTGGCAGGAAGTCCTGCGTGTCTCTCGGAACCTGCAGCTCACAGCCCCTCTGGGCTGGCAGGAAGTCCTGCGTGTCTCTCGGAACCTGCAGCTGACAGCCCCTCTGGGTTGGCAGGAAGTCCTGCGTGTCTCTCGGAACCTGCAGCTGACAGCCCCTCTGGGTTGGCAGGAAGTCCTGCGTGTCTCTCGGAACCTGCAGCTCACAGCCCCTCTGGGCTGGCAGGAAGTCCTGCGTGTCTCTTGTCCCAGAGAGGAAATGATTTGGGCAAACGCTCTGCCCTGAGATCTCTCTCGCCCTAACTAGATATTAAGCACACCTCGGGGGCAGTGCTGGAATTACAGCATCCACAGGTGCTGGGCTTTCCTGGAGGCTGCAAGTAAGTGCTCAGTCAAGGAGGGGACAAGGCTTCGGAGGCTGGTGGTGGGGAGGTCCAAACCAGAGGGGAGTCCCTGCTGCTCCTTCCTAACTGGGATCTTGAGAAAGACAACAGCCCCAGCCCACTCAAAGGCTACACCTCAAAAACATGTTGCAATCTACATGGGCTGCCTCATTTTCAAAGCAGAAGTTTAGCAATTTCCTGCATTTGCAGGCATGTTCAAACTGTAAGCCCGTTCGATTCCTGAGTTATTTTTACCAAATAAATTCAAGTCCAGTTATCGAATAACTACATGCATCCCATCCCGCTCAGGGCAGCTACATATAAGTAATAAACGAAGGACAGAAATGAGTGCTTCAACTATCTGCTGACTGCTAACTCCCACTGTCATCCCAGGCAGCCTTGCAAGCAAAGAGTAGCTGCGGCGCATTCCAGACCTCCCTACGGACAGCACGCGACGGACGGCCTTGCGGGACTCCCTGCAGCAGCCAACACACCCCAGCCAGCCCGTGCCTATTCTGTGAACTGACCACTTCAGGCCACTCAAGGCATCCCAGGAGATTCTCTGGCTCTGATGGATCAAAAAGGTTCAGAAATAGAGAACTTCTGCTCTCTATGTATACAGAAATGTGTTTTTTATGTTTATCTGAAATTAGAGATATCAAAATTAGGATTGGCAGTGTCCTACAATACTTGTGATTTGGAGCAGCCCCGTGCTCTTTTAGTAAGAAAAACAATCACACTCGCTCTCTGGACAATTTAAAGTCCAAGCTTGTCCAACCCGCGGCAGCCCAACACAAATTCATAACCTTTCTTAAACATTATGAGGTTTTTTGCTGTTTTTTGTTTTTTGTTTTAGGCTCATCATTAGTGTCTTTTTTTTTTTTTTTTTTTGAGACAGGGTCTCACTGTCGCCCAGGCTGGAGTGCAGTGGTGCAACCTTGGCTCACTGCAACCTCGGCCTTCCGGGCTCAAGCGATCCTCCCACCTTGGCCTCCCTAGTAGCTGGGACTACAGGTGTGCACCACCACACTCAGCTAATTTTTTTTCTATTTTTTGTAGAGACGAGGTTTCGCCATGTCAGCCAGGCTGGTCTCAAACTCCTGAGCTCAAGTGATCTACCCACCTCGGCCTCCCAAAGTGTTGTGATTACAGGTATGAGCCAACGCGCCCGGCCGTGTTAGCATCTTTTATGTGTAGTCCAAGACAGTTCCTCTTCTTCCAATGTGGCCGAGGGAAGCCAAAAAATTGACACCCCTGAAAACTGTCACTTGAGAAGAGTAACTTAAAATGCTGAGCCATCTTCCCCATCAGTTCCTTGTTTAGTCCTCAAAGAGTGTTTGTTGCCAGGACTTTATTTATCACTCCATTGTATATTATATGTCCTTCAACAATGGAAGGTCCTGAACCACTAAACCACACTGCTACAAAGAAGCACTTGGGGAGAGCCTCCAGGTCTGAAGAGTTCTAATGTCTCCAACTTCCCAGCCCGATTTTAAAGGCATTTAATGTTCATTCTTGAATAGTTTTGGATTTTGTAATGAAGTCATGATGTTTCTACATGTTTAGCTCTGTACGCCTGAATATAAATAACCGAGGTAGTCAAATCAGGGTGTGCGAATGTTCCCTTTACTGGAAGAAAGTTTTTGCCTTCTCCCAGCAAAATATAAAATTAGTCAACTGTGCAGTGTGGTGAAATCACCAGTCCAAAATTACACCCCAAACATATGATTATTAAGGATTTGCAGTCCTATTTTTTATATTACTAAAAAAGCCACACTCATTATATCTTTATATTTAGAGGGCTTTTTAAAAATAAGTTTTAATAAATATCTCTGAATGTATACATTCCACAAAATGGACAGTTAAAAGAAGGCACTCATGATTTTAGGTTACATATTTTCCTTTCTACATTGAAATAACCAAAGACCTAATAATAGTTTCCACTACTGCATTCAAGATAAAAGAGCTTTCTTTCAGTGTAAGAAGAAATTAAAAATTACCGGGTTGGGATAAGGGAGGAGACTCACTTTTTAGATTAAAGAAAGTATGGTAACTTTAGTCTTCTGACCAAAAAGTTTAATATTTTTAAAAATATAATTTAATGTTGGGATTAAATCAAAACTTCATTTTCTATTTTTATCTTCTTCCGTTAGAAAGTCCTGGAATCTGAAAGGTTAAACCACTGTACTCAGAAAAGCAGACAGAGCTGCCTCATGTGTCTTTCAACTAATATTCATTAATTATAAAAAACCAATACAGGCACTGAACTGTACACTTAAAAAATAGCTAAAATGGTAAACTTTATGTTACATATATTTTATCACAATAAAAAACACAAAACAAAAAGTATAGGTTTTAAATGCTCAAAATCATTTGAAATGCTTTAAAATTGTACTCAGGAAATCATTACAAAATACAAATGAGATAATATTTATAAGGCATTGTTAAGTAAATAATCTACTGTTAAAACTGCATGAAATATGTTCATCTTTAAATGGTATTATCCCAAATAAGGATGTCAGAGGTCATCACCAGAATCCATAAACTGTTTAAAAACAAAACAAACCAAAACACATTTTTCTAGATGAGAGAGCCAGTTTTCACGTTCTCAGATTTGGAACCGCCCATTGGTGGATTACCCGGCTTTGACAATTCACGTTAACTGCTGAGTTATCTGAGCCAACCAATGTGCAGTTTCCCTTTGCTTGGCGTTTTCCCCCCAACTTTTAACTTAGATCTGGAACAAATCACAAGTGGTCAGGATACAATTCTAATTCATATATATATAGAAAAGTTCCATGAAGGGAACATTTCTACCCAACACAAGTATGCTTTAACAGAGCTACTCTTTCTGCACTAACTGCTTAAGAAATTCCAAGCTGAAGTGATCTTACATGCAACATTTAGCGGACACTGCACTGTTCTGATCCAAGGAGCCCTTATATCAATGAGCTTTGGAATGGTCTGCTTCTTCCTGACTGGAAATTCCATACGAACCCTCTTCTGTGCTCTCTGGTTTATTCTGAGAATTTTACTCCATTTGATTTTTGTTACAAACATTTAACGACCACCCTTGGCCAAAAGCACTGAAGTTCTACCCTAATTCATTAAGGACTTCTTATCTATGATTTTCTATAAATCCCTACATACTGTAAGGCTTGCCCTGCACTTAAAAACAGTGCCACAAGGCTGGGCGCGGTGGCTACCGCCTGTAATCCCAGCACTTTGGGAGGTCGAGGCGGGCGGATCACCAGGTCAGGAGATCAAGACCATCCTGGCTAACACAGGGAAACCCCGTCTCTACTAAAAAATGCAACAAAAGTTAGCCTGGCATGGTGGCAGGCGCCCGTAGTCCCAGCTACTCGGGAGCCTGAGAAAAAGAAAAAAGAAAAACAGTTCCACAAAAACCTGATTTTTTAAATTTCTTTTCTATTCCTTTCTCCTTCCTAGGCAGTTTTCTTTCTTCAAAGATATTTTTGTAAGTGGATTAATTTTTTAAAAACACCTTTCAGATACTTTCTTTTACCTACATCAAAAATATGATTTACAGTATTCCTCACCAATCTGTTGGGCAGAAGAAACAAGAAACACAGATAAAGATGGTATTATGAAAAACTTGTCAGGAATAATTCTAAAAGTATGCATATCTGGCATATCCGTTCAGATGATTACCATACTTACTGAGCAAACCCTCCACATCCTCCACACGGAAAAAAAAAAAAAGACATATTATTTCAGGGACTTTTCTGCCTTACTTTCTTCCCGAAAAAGGTGACAGAATGGATTGCTGCAGCTCTTGAATCACCTCTAACACCTGGCAAGAGAGGGCAGCGACCCCAGACACGGACTGATTCCTGGGCCAACTCTCATTTCTCTGGTCAGACATGTGGCCTTAGATGGGTCATTCTCTTCTTTGGCCCTCGTTTTTCCCATCTGTGAAATGTGTCATTTGTAATGGACAAATTGGGAGGCCTTTTCCAGTTCAGAAGTTCTCTGACCTGCGGTGGGCCCATGTGAACAGCATTTCTGGTGTCCAGAGGCCACCACTGGTGGAAACACTCCACACACGACAGCTGGGCCTCAGCCAGGCACCAGTCGGGGCCTCACTAGATCCCGTCACGCTAGATCCTGTCACATCGCTGAACGGGAGATCCCAGAATTGGAGCCGACTTCCCCCAGGAGCCGGGTCCAGCATGCAGTCATGCTGCCAGTCCGTGGAGGCTAAACACCCTAAGATCCCTATCTTACTGCAGGTGTCCCCAAGACACCCACAGCAGATGGAAGCTGTTCTGGGACTCCGGCCCCACCCAAACTGTCTACCCTGGATGTCTCATTCCAGGACATCACGCCCACTAGGACTGTGTCCCTGCAGGGTCCTACCCAGGATACAACAGCTGCCCTGCACCCTCCCTCCCTCTCAACGCATCCAGTGGATGGACCAAGTCTTACAGACTCTAGACCTTCCAGCATGAACCAAGTCAGAATCACGGCACTCTGCTCCAGTTTCTCAGTCACAAATCTAGCCCAGAGCTCCATCCTCTTCCTGTTCTGAACCATCAAACCATCTTCCCTTCAGAAACCTCCTGCCGGTCCCTTGGTCAGCGTCCCTGGCCTGTGACGCTTCCTCCCTGCTGCAGATTGGCTGAGGGACCCTCCACAACATCTCTTCCCATTGCCCTTGGGACGGAGTCCATATTCCTCAAGACAATTCACAGTCAAGATGATGTGGTCTTTAACGGCTTCTCAAACATCAGCTCTTGGCTACCACCCAGACACCCCTGCCATCCCTGACAGGCATGTGCACAGACACTTGCACATGTGTGTGTGCATTTGCATAGGCTCACTACACGGGCACACTTGCAAACGTGCACCTATACACAGGCGCACTTACACGTGTGTATATTCACATATGCATGTATGTGTGTATATACACGTACACTCAGGCACACTTACACACATATGCACTTGCGACACGTGCGCTCACACGCATGAACACACAGGTGTATGCACCTCTGGCTTCAGCAATATGAAATTTCCTTAGCTCTCCTGGGCTCTGACCCACTTTTCTGCTGCTTGGATTCTCACCTAGCTCAGGCTAGCTCCTCCATAAGGACGAGTGTCCTCACCAGAGTCCTTTAAGAGCAACCTGGAAAGGTCATCCGGTCAAACAGGATGGCTCCAAATGAAGGCCTCACAGGCAGAAAAAGCAATAATAAAATCCGGCAATGATCACTAAATCCAGTAAGCAAGGAAATAAATATAAATAGAATTACATCCAAATAACTGTGATCTACACATAAAATAAACATGCGATCCTTACCTGTCTTGAAATAAAAACTATGTCATGTAAAAATTAAAAATTAACACTAATAGACTAAAAAACAACAGCCAAAAAAGGAATGACAATAGCAATGTGGGGAGAGGGAGGAGATGGGGAAAGAAGAGGAAGGTAATAGAAGTGTTCTAACTTCTTTCCCAAAGGGGAAGTCAAATTGTATTACTACTGATGTTGATACATTAATACAGCTTTAAGAAAACATTATAAATACCGCCACTAGTGGAAGCAAAAGCATTATATGCTTTCTATATGCTTTCTGATTTTAATAATTAAAGGACAAGAAATATAATTCATATTCCAATAAAGAGAAAAGAAGAAAAAGCGAGGAAGCACAAAAGTTTTTTTTTTCTTTAATTAGGAAAGAAGACCAAGTAAGTCAGTTTCAGAAATAAATATTAATGGAATAAACTCACTTATTTAAAAAAAGACTCCATGATAGGGTTAAAAATTAAATTGACTATTTGCTCTCTGCAAAAAAAAAAAAAAAAAAAAAAAACACCTATGACTGAGGAACTCGGAAAAGCTGGACACGTAGAGAAAAATATATCAGAAAAGTACAAACAAAAGCAACATGGAAAAAATATACCATTAAAAGTTTAATGTGTGGTCAAAAAAGGCAATTAAACAAAAGTAGTTGGCTGGGTGCGGTGGCTCACGCCTGTAATCACAGCACTTTGGGAGGCCAAGGTGGGCGGATCACGAGGTCAGGAGATGGAGACCATCCTAGCTAACACGGTGAAACCCTGTCTCTACTAAAAATACAAAAAATTATCCAGGCTTGGTGGTGGGCGCCTGTAGTCCCAGCTACTTGGGAAGCTGAGGCAAGAGGACGGCGTGAACCCAGGAGGCGGAGCTTGCAGTGAGCTGAGATTGCACCACTGCACTCCAGCCTGAGCAACAGGGTGAGACTCCATCTCCAAAAAAAAAAAAAAGTAGCTATCTTATAATCATAAAGGGTAAAGTAGAACTCACAAAGAAGATGTAATTGTCCTAACACTGGGTTGTTGGTTGTTTTTGTGTGGGGGGGGGGGGGGCTTTCTTTTTGAGACAGGGTCTTACTCTGTGTTGCCCAGGCTGGCCTCAAACTCCTGGGCTCAAGCAATCCTCCTGCCTCAGCCTCCCAAGAAGTGGGATTACAGGAAAGCACCCCTCCCCCAGCTGTAGTTATATTACACTTTTAAGTCAAATAACACAGAATAACACAAACACAGAATAAAATGCATTTAGAAACAGCTACAGTGAATACCTGAAAAGACAAACAGAGAAAAATGATCTGGAAGAATTGGCAAATCTCTCGTAAGCATGGCAGATTAAGTAAGCAAAAGTAGTAAGAAACAGACAGCTTGAAAAATAAAGTAAGGCTTATCTAATATATGAGTATCACACTCCACAATTTGCTATTTTGCTAAATTGGCAATAGAACATCAAATGCCTCCATATTAACCACAAGGAAGGCTCTAAAAGTTCCATAAATTCAAAACAGTACAGGTCCCAGGAGCTCCATAATACAGTACCATGACACTAAAAATTAACAAGCAAAAACAAAAACAACACTCATAGAAGTTCAGCCATTTGGAAAATTCTAAACTCTCTGTAACAACTCCTGAAACAAAGAAGAAATCAAAGTGAAACTGCAAACTCTCTTCAAAGTACCAGTGTCAAAATTTATGGTACACAAGAAAGCTAAAATAAAATTCAATTACTTGCTACAATAATTAAAAATATTCAATTCAACCAGTAACAAAAATATAATAAAACCCTTAAATTTGAATTTTAAAGAGTAACAATAAATAAGAAAAACTACAGTAAAACTGATACACAAAATCAGTAATTGGCTCTATGATAACCCCAATGAATGAGATAAATAACTAGCTGGCCTAATCAAGAAGAAAAAAGAGGTTGGGAGGAATTAGGTCTAATAACCACAGACAGAAGGAAAATTTTAAAAAATCATACAATGTTTTTCAAACTCTAGGTTAATACACTTGTTAATATGGATGAAAAATATAATTTTCTAATAAAATCTAACTGTCCAAAATTCACTCAGGGACAAAAAAAGTAAACAGACCAATATTTAAGCAAGAAACCAGAGCTCTCTCCTCCACCTACCCAAATGTGAGAGATGAGTCAAGTCCACACCTGAAATCTTTCACACATTTTAAGAAACAACTCATATATAGGCTACCTGAATGTTTCTGTATCTGGAAAACATATGTGACGGAAGATACAAAACAAGTTACCCAAAGAGATATTTGTAACTCATCAGCAAAAGACTATTATCCCCAATAAACAAAATGTTCTTATAAATCAACAAATCATGAATAACTTCACTGGATAATGTGACGAAGTAACAGGTGATTCACAAGAGAGATAAAATGAGCAATAAACATTAAGAAATCCTCATAATCACTTACGATTTTTAAATGCAATGGTATTTTCCTCTATTAAGTTGGCCAAGACTTAAACGACTGATAATATCAAGCACTGACAAAGAGAAAGCACTGAGTTTTGCAGGGAACGTAAAATGGTACTTTATCTTTGTTGGTAAATTTGGCAGTATCTGTCAATTAAAATGCCCCTCCATCCCCAAAATTCCACCTCGGGGAACTTATCCTAGAGAAATATTCCCACAAGTGCACAAACTCGTATATTAGTAAAGTTCCCTGCACGCTAAGAGAAAGCTGATAGCAGCCCAAATGTCCAACAGGAGACAGGACAAAGAAAGGCGGCTCCACAGGGCAGCAGCCAGCTGGCACACACGGGCACCTCCTGCTGGCTGCTCACAGACCAAATCTGTGCCAGTGGGTCCATGCTCTGGCCACACTGGGCACTGGGCATCTGGAAATCACTGAGGGTGTGTACACACAACAGCACCCTACACATGCCTTAAAGCAAATACACTGAAATGTTACGCAAAATTAAAAAAAAATTAGTTGCAGAAAAACTCACAGAACATTGTACCATTTTAAATTCTTTAAAATGTATATATTTAAAGATCTTACTACATTCACCAAGCGAATGTATTTAAATGCCTAATACAGTGACTGGCATAGAGCAGGCGCTCAATAGTAGCTTCCATAAAATAAACTTACTCTCATGTTGTGAAACGTCTCACACACTTTTTCCTCAAAATGCAATTTCCTCTTTCGACTGTAAATATCTCGATGGCCAAGATGATGAAGACTTTGTCGTGTATAAACTATGCACTTTGTACTATTATCTGAAAAGAAATGGTTTAATTTGGGCAAGGAGAATGTTGCCCTAAGTATTTGGCTCTAACTAAATTACCCACACAAATTTGTGGCTGGAAAACCAAGTAATGAGTTATCTGCAGTGAGTTCCACAACCATCATCTCCTTTTATAGTATGAAAAGAAAGGTGCTAAATGTTCACACCATTTTGTGAAAAATCACCGTATATGTCTTAAAAGCAAAGTGTCTCTGTCTATCTTGATCCCCTTATACAAGATAAACAAAGAGTAAAGCCTTCAGTGCCAGTTGTCAATGTTTTATTCTGGTTCAGTAATTAAAATGGGTAGCTTCATATTAATTCCCTGGAAGAATGACATTCAGATCAATTCACTTCCCAGCAAAAAAAGTGTCCACATCCAGGAGTTGCAGGACAGGGAATAGGATTGGTCTTAGCTACTGGAATTCCTCTCATTTAAAAGTAGGACACAGTGTACATTCTAAGCTCCAACTTCAGACATCTTAAAGCATATTAAACAGTGGTCAAATGAATATGAAAGAAATTCTGCCAAGCGATTAAACGTAAGCTTGTAGTTTTGTGTCAGTTTTCCACTAACCTCCAAAACCAGTCATGGTTTGTCTAAGAAAGGGATGTTTTAATCAGAACACCTTCATTTATTGTAATACTGAGGTCCCACCTGACTAGGTGAACCGTAGGCAACTGAACAACTATAAATTTCACATGACTGGATAGAAACAGCCTAAGCTCTTGAGCCCCCCAGATGTATGCCGGTGCGGGGTGACTTGCTACGGAGGCTTAAATCACTTTCAAGAGAAGAACCCACAGATGAAATTGCACTTGTGGAGACTCAGGTGGATTTGCAAAACTCTGAAAAGAATTTTGGGCTGGTCCACTAACAAACAGTCGTCCTAAAAGTAAAGGTCTACATTTTCCCTTTATGCAGAAATATTCGTTTGCCTACATTTCCGTATGTCCAAAGCACTGTTTTTGCTGAGTCACTGGAACAGAAAAAAGATAAAACAGCACTTTTTATCCCAGCTGAGTCATATCGTTTGGACTTTGTAATTCTACTTGAATGCTAGTCGATCTTACGTTCAAAAGTCTGGTAAGTTTTCTGAACACTGATACTGCAATTCCACAAGTCAGACAGGAAACAGAATTCTAGTTTGTTTCAATATCATCTGACCTATCAAAAGAAGCATTTCAGTGACTAATATAGCAAGCACGAAAACTGACCCTCCGTGAAAGTAATAAACTTGCTGCTCTGAACATCAGATCCATAAGCAGGAGTAACAGGTAACCTGAAGTGTCACCTCCAAGAACGGGACCCAGCCCCACAATGAGGAAGCAATTTAACTCTGCCTTAGCCTTGAAAATGTGACAAAACTGAGTTGGACAGCAGTCTTGAGACACATGGGACAAAAGGCGAGATTCGTTCTGTCCGGGGAAAAACAAGGTCAGGTTTTTGTGCTTTCTTTGTGGCACTTTTAAATACACCAACAAAATGTGATTCTCTTGCAATTTTATACTTTAAATCCCCTACATTTTCCCTTCCACTTGGCTTCCAAACCACCCCACACATTCTCAAGCACTCACAAAATGACCCACTGTAAAGGGTTCCTTTTTATCTCACTGTAATTCCCAATAGCATGGGAATAAGACACAAACAACACAAAAAAACCTGCTGAAACGAAGGAATGCAAACTCATTACACTGCATTTAATTCTCATCTCCTTTAAGAAGATGCTTTAAGAAGCATCTTCTTAAAGGAGTTTGGTTTGCTTTGAGTTACTTCACTCTTCCTTCTGAGAAACAGCTTTTCTGAACCAGTATTGTTATCCATTTTTTAATTATTATATGTAAATGACCTACTTAAAAACAGCTGATGAAATACACTTTGTTCCAGATCTATTCTGAAGGGAAAAGGAGGTTATCTTTCCCACGAATGGATCTCCTAAGTGAAAAGCCCCTAACTTAAAGTGTTTTTGTAAACTCTGGTGGAGAGCAGAAAGTGTACTAACTTCTACTCCAACAACTATATTTCAGATTTTCAGGACAAATGAGAGAGTGACAGATTCATAAAGAGAGTGACAAATTCATCGATGAAGACTGCGGAGAGGAGAGGTATGTAAAACCATCATCTCAATAAAATATTCATTCTTCAACAGGAAGGGCATTTGTTGCTATTCTACCAGTACAATAATGATGTATGAAATAAATCAACTTTGTCTGGGGTTTTCACTCCAGGTATTCCTCAACCCTAAGCAAAGTTAAGAGTTTCTAGGTTTTGTAAACTTGTTTATATTGAGAGGTTGGCAAAACTAAAATGCAGCAAATTATGAAAAAAAAGGTTTAAGGTTTAATATACAATACAAATAACATCTACCTAAATGAATTATATCACAATTATCTCTTTTCTAAAATAAACAATTTTTTAATCTACAAAAAATAGGAATAACAAATCCCTTACAGTTTATAGGCTGAATGTAAAATTATTATTAGATGACATAGAGAATATATATACATTCATGATCCAAAACTTCAAAAGCAGAAAAACTTTTTCTAGCAAAGCAGAAAAATGAGTGCATTTCAAACACACTTTCAGTACACTCTCAGTTCTGTATCAAAGTTTATTAAAATGCTTACATTTGCAGCTTTTCACTTAAGAGATCCACTGTGGGGCTGGGCATGGTGGCTCAGACCTGTAATCCCGGCACTGTAAGAGGCCGAAACAGGCAGATCCCTTGAGGTCAGGAGTTCAAGACCAGCCTGGCCAACATGGCAAAACCCCATCTCCACTAAAAATACAAAAATTAGCTGGGCATGGTTGTGTGCGCCTGTAATCCCAGCTACTCGGGAGACTGAGGCACAAGAATCATTTGAACCTGGGAGGCGAAGGTTGCAGTGAGCCGAGATCATGCCACTGCACTCCAGCCTGGGTGACAAGAGTGAGATTCTGTCCAAAAAAAAAAAAGATCCACTGGGGAAGAGAAAACCTTTTTGTTCCTTCTCAGAACAGACCTGGAACAATCATCATCAGGATACCTCAGTCTGTCCACCAAGTCCATTGGTGCGATCTTAAGAGTCACATGACTTCGGGATGTTTGAATAAAAGGGGCCTTGACTTGGACCTACAGGGCAGGTAAAATGGTCAACAGTCGTTCCAGCTCTTGCTGCTAAAGAACAGAACGTCCCTGTGAACACGGGCCACATTCTCTCAGCAAACCACAACAGAAATTGTTCGGGAAAAGAATAAACTCAATCCATCATGATTTCCTTCTGTTTTCTGAAATTCTCCCGGCAAGTCAGTCTGCATCTGCAATTCTGCCTGCTCTGTGAGTGATCCTTTGCACAGGGTTCCAGCTCCCCATTGTCCAAAGGTGTCCCTGGGGCACGGTCCTCTCCTAACCCCTGGGGCAGGCTGGCTTCCCCTTTCATCCCACAGATGGAGGGAAGACGCACAGGCGTTCGTAACGGGCCAGAAGTCACACCACATGTGGAACTAGATTCACAGCCACACCAAGATTCCTTCCTGCAGACCCACAATGCTGAAGCTAATAAATCTGAGTTATCAAATGCTGCACCAGTGGAGACCTGGGTGCAGGGAACATGGGAAATACCAATACAGGGGCCCTCTGTTGCAAGAGTGTGCAGAGGGGCAGACATTGGCAGGGTCAGGCCCTTGGCCTCCTGGCTGCCCTGTGGTCTCCCGAAGAGACGCCTCCCCTCCACACCCAGGACCCTGACACTTCACCACTGTGGCACTTGGGACAGGGCCTGAGGTTATTAAAAAAGAGCCCTTTCCCCTTAAACTGCTGGGATCCCCCAGAGACAGTTTTAAAGCAATGTACCTTCCCCCTTAGTGTCCTGGTTTGAAAACAAATAGCAGAAATCAGAAACAGAGGAACCTGCCTGGAGATTTCTAACTCAACCCTGGCACCAGGCGGCGGTTTGTGGCGGGGCGCCCCTAGAGCTATGCCATCCTATAAGGCTGCCAAGTGGGGCTGGCCCAAACTGGGATGGGCTGGGAAGGTAAAATGCACATGGGGCACTGAAGATTTTGTGTAAAAAAAAAAAAAAAAAAAAAAAGAACAAAAAAAAACTTAGTAGTAATTCTTGTCATCTACACGTTTAACATTTTGGATTTTGGATATACTGGATTAAATAAAACTATCATTAACATTAATTTTACGTGTTTCCTTTTACCTCTCGATGTGATCACTAGAAAACGTAAAGTGATAGACATAGCGTGCATGGTACTTCTCTTGGGCAAAACTGCCCTTGAATGCTGGGTTAGCGAACTACAGGCCCGCGGGCCAAACTCTTCCCACCACCTGTTTTTGTACAGCCAGTGAGCTAAGGCTGGTTTTTACATATATATACACACACACATATACACATACACACACACACACACACACACACACACACATATATTTTTTTTTTTGAGACGGAGTCTTGCTCTGTCGCCCAGACTGGAGTGCAGTGGTGTGATCTCAGCTCACTACAACCTCCATCTCCCGGATTGAAGCAATTCTCCTGCCTCAGTCTCCCAAGTAGCTGGGATTACAGGCACCCGCCACCACGCTCAGTTAATTTTGTATTTTTAGTAGAGATGGGGTTTTGCCATGTTGGCCAGGCTGGTCTCAAACTCCTGACCTCAAGTGATCCGCCCACCTCGGCCTCCCAAAATGCTGGGATTACAGGTGTGGGCCACCGCACCCGGCTGGTTTTTACATTTTAAAATGGTTGGGATTAAAAACAAAATCAAAAGAAGAGTATTTTGTGACATGTGAATGGCATGGAACTCAAATGTCAAGTGCCCATGAAGTCCATCTCTTCCCTGCCAGGCTGCCTCGGGCTGCTCTCAAGCTGTGAGGCAGGTCTATCAAATACTATCTGGTCCTTTAGGGAAAACGTTTGCTGACCCCTGCCCTGGAGTTTTGCAAATACAGACCCAGGTTTCTGAGCTGAGGAGGGTGTGGCTCAAGCCCCCTCTGGGCTTCATGGGAACTGCACAGGAGCTGACCTAGGATCCAAGGCCACTGAGCCTGGTCAGAGGCAGGACGGGACCAAGTCCCACCAGCTCACTGGGATGGCTACAGCTGACCCAGAAATTTTTTTGGCATCAAATTCTCTTCAGATCACTCTCTTAAGTTTCTCATTTGTGATGGATGACTCAAAATTGTTGCTTATTTTCAGAACAGAGCAGGCCCATAGACAGGCTGGGGACCCCAAAGAGGCAGACAGCCTGTCCCAACCCCCTCTTGGATGATGCTTCAGAAACCCCAGCCATCTAGAAAGAGGAAGGGTGGAGGGACACTGGTCTCCCATAGTGTCATCTCTAAAGCTACATAATCCCAAATGGCTCGGACCAAAATGAAATGAACTCCACACAGGGTAACAAGCATGACCAGGGTCGGACACTCAAGGGAATGGCCCAAAAGGTGAGCTGCTTAATAACCTGGCTGTGGGACTTTGATGAAGTTACTCACCTGTGCAGGCCTCAGTGTCCTCTCGGGTAAAAGGGGATGGGAATTACTGCCTGTTTCCTAAGACCTGTGCATATTAAATAACACATATAAAGAACTCGGAATAATGCTCTGTTCATAGTAGGCACTTGATCAATGTTTGTTGAAAGAAAATGAGTACTGGTGGGCTATTTATTTAGGGAACTAGTTATTGAGGCATTTGCCCAATCTGATTCAAGTTCATAAGTCATTAGTAATGAAAATAAAATTTCTATTAATTTAATGGGAAACAGTAATGTTGATAACTTACATCTTACTGTCATAGTAATTCAAAAAGTAGCTCTCAATACCTTTTATTTTGTTTTTATGCCCTTGGCTTTTTGTATCAAAGTAGCTACAAGGAACTACTTTCCAAAAGCTACAATAGCTTTTGCCTTAAGAATGTTATTGAAGGCACTGTCTATGTAAGAATATACAGCCTGTATTAAAACAACCAGTATTAAAGTCAACGTTTAGAAGTTGACTTTAGCGCTAATGCTAAAAGAAGCTTTTCCTTCATGGGAGAACTGATGCCTTTTTTTCCTGAGAGTCAGTGCAACACATCAACGGCCATGTTTTGCTTTTTGTTTTAGGTGCCAGAAAGCTCACATCCTAAGTTTTGGTTCACATCTACCAACGGGAGGGAATCCTAAGACGTACATATGTGATCCAGCTTTTCCCTTCATCGCGACCTATTATTCCATTGCCCGTTCTTTATTTTTGTTTGTATTTTACTGTAGATGGTCCCCAACTTAGGAAAGTTTGACTTACACTTTTTCAACTTTACCAGGTGAGGAAGCCACAGGCAGTCAGCAGAAAGCAGTGAGCTGCTCCCTCCACAGGCCCGGCAGCGGCAGCCCCGCGATCTCCAGGGTGGACGTCGGTACTTCATGGCAACCTGCACTGCCAGGTGCTCCTGCCCAACTGTCGGCTAACATTTACCCATTCCAAGCGCACTTAAGGTAGGTGAGGCTATGTTACCATGTTCAGTAGACTGAAGGGTATTAAACGCATTTCCGACTTAAAAGTATCTTCAACTTAGGATGGGTTTCTGGGAAGGCAGCCCTGTCGTAAATTAGAGAGTATCTGTCTGTATCAAACGTGTGACCTTACGTGCACACTTCATTCTCTCATGCAATGAAATAGGCAGAAACAAGCAAACTATTATTACCAACATACAAATAGTGAGATTTCAATGACCAGATACTCAAACGAGCCTGCAAAAATCCTCACACCACGGCCTACAGGATGAAGTCCATAAATGACTACACTGATTAAATAAGTCTTTGCATTTCTTCATTTATATTGGTCCTATTTTGAGAAATGTCTAGAAAGGTAGCAAAATCACCTAGTATATAGGTTCGGGTAAATAATGAAGAGTACTCAGTACTATCTTCTTAAGAAAAGAAAAAAAATTCTGAATTTACTAATTTTTTTCCTCTTAAGAAAAGAAATCTAGGGTGTTGGCTACGTTTGCTCATGTTGAGAATGCAAAAGGCCACTGTTTCTTAAGCGGCTCTTGCACAACAAAGAAAAACTACCTGCTCCCTGGCCCAGCTGCCTGCTTTGCTGGAGAAGGCAGGCGGGGTGGAGACTCCTCCAGGAGGTGTTTAATAATCTGCAAAGGTCCAGACAGCAACCCGGGGCAGACACAGCTCAAGCCAGCCAACCTGACCATTGGAAAGAAAGGAGGAGAATGCACACTTTCCTGGGTTCAGCTCTCTGGGGTCCCCAACACCTCCTCTTTGTGGCCATCTTGTCCCCTGGCACCAAAGCTGAGCTCAGAGGAAAGCACCTGCCATGATCCACTCTGTCTCTGCCGCCTCCCTGCCCACTCCTGTGGGAAGCTCCCTCTCGGCATCTGTCCGTCATCAGCATCTGTCCGTCATCGGCATCTGTCTGTCACGGGTCATCTGCCGCACCACACTGAGAACCCATGAGTGCCAAATGTCCCCCGTCAGCTGGCCCACCCGCATTTCATCTTCCTGGCTTAAGAAGGTGAGTCTCAGGGCCCAGCCGTCTATCAGAACTGACCTGGTCTTCTCCGACCCCTTTCCCTATGATTTTTTGGTGGCTTTTTTCTTTTAGGATTTTCTATATCCCACGTTGGTCACTTACACTCTGTATTTACTCTCTTATAAAAATATGTTACTATTGGTGATAACCATTGGGTTTCGCAAGAAAACCTGTATCCTGGCACCCACTGCGGGGCTGGGAATCTGCGCAGATAGCTGCCTGGTCTTTGGTGACCAGATTTTCCACGTTCCTCCTTGAGCGCTGCCATGTGACAGCAGCCTCAGACAGCAACAACTGGTCCAGTGCCCAACTCGCACGACATCCCCGTGGAAAGACGCAAACATTTACTCAACATGTTTCTTCTCTGTGGAGCAAGCTCTAAGCATCCAAGCAAAGCTGAAGGGGGGCTCTCCCTACACTGCCCTAAACACCTGGTTATTTGCCAGGTCCACACTTGGCAGTGCTAACTCAGCATGACAACACGCTTACCAAGTTCCTTTTCAGAGTGGACTTTCACCTCCCCTTATTCTGTGCATTCAGCACAGCGTATGGAGAAAAAGGCTAAGCTGGGAATCAGGACGCCTGGATTTGAGCTCTGCACCATTCCTGTGGCCTTGGCTCAGTTATTAAATCTTTCTGCATTTCAGTACCTGTAAAATGTCAGGATTCACTCAAAAATCACCTCCAAGTTTCCTGCAGTTATAACACATATATGATTGTCTATATTAACCTTCTAAAACAAGCCCAAATACAAATAATGTAAGTTTACAAAGAAACATAAACAATCACGAAAGCAAATGCTTTCCTTCACGGTCATTACACCAAGTCAATGTAACACTCCTAACGATATAACACCGTGCTCTAAAATGGCGGCCGCCCTAACCCCGCTCGGGCCAAGAAGGTGCAGTTTCATCACCTACCACCTTGTAGGAATCTAAATGGAGTTTTCGTGGGTCCAAAACATGTAAAATGCTTTCCAAAATGGTCTACTATTCCCCTGGACGGGATTTAAGGATTGCCTAAAACACACACTCTCGACGGCCCCCTTAATGTTCACAGCTAAGCAAAAAACCTGGTTTGTAAATCATCTCCCACACACATATAAAATCCCAAATTCTAACTGTAATAACTTTCTTTTTAATCAATACCTATACTTTAAAATATGTAAATATTAGGAAAATCAACCTTACTTTCTAAAGTTCAAATTCTTAGCAGCCCATAATCTTTCATCAACCTAGAAAATAACTGATAAGCCAATCTTCCTGTGAAACCATTAACAGATTCTGCTTTTCTGTCACCAGGGTAATTTACCGAGGCTAATTTTAATCCTACCACTAAACCACTAATCGCATGACTCTACAGAATTGTCCCCAAGTTTACGTTGCTACGGCAAGCACTTTTACATTAGGAATTCACTTATTTATTAACACTTTTATTTTTTAAGTTGGTTTTAGGAATGAGATCGTCTTGCTTGCCTCTCATTTTAAAAAGTAAAAAGCCATTTTTGAAAAAAGGAAGCTACTTGAGCACCTGGGGTTGCACTGCACTCAACACAATAACGTTAATTTAAATTATGCTTGGTGTTACTCAAAGGGACAAATTATCATCATTATGCTAATGGTCATGCTAAAGACATGAAAAGCTTTGAAATGATTAATCTAAATCTGGGGGGAATATGATTATCAATGTGAATGATGGTATTTTCTCAAACTGGCATAAAAATGTTCTGTCTGTGTCACTGATAATGTCAATATAAATGATGCATCACCAAAGGCAACGTGCACTCACACGCTCTTCGCTCACGTTCTCGAAGCAAAGCCCCAGCCCACCTTTCAGTCCACATATGCCTTGCTTTGGGGACACACGTGTGGATGAATAGAAATTTGTTTACTTCTTTCGTAAAACAGAGAAAACAGGATGATTAAAGCCAACAAGACTGAGACAACGAGAGAGAGGTGTCTGGAGACACATTTGCTTTGGTGTCGACTCGACAGCCATACAGAATGTTAAAAATGGAGGTGGAATCTTCTGTGGGGTTCCATACTAATAAATTCCTGCAACATGGCATAAGAGCCACCCTGTGAATTCAACACAGGTCTACCCAAAAACCCAAACCAGCATGTGTAAACAAAACACAGCCTAAGTGAAAACATCTCAGTTCTGCCTGTAGATAATTCCAGGGCCGCACCACAGAAGCTCAGGGGAACTATTAAATAGGATTGTCCATTTGTTCATTAACTCATTTCTTTAAAAAAAAAAAAAAAAGATGGGGACAAAAGCTGAGTCTTTTTGACAAAAATAATAATAATAATAAACATACTTTTTTGCTCTAGGTTAAAATCACCAGAATAATCAGGAACTAAACAGTGAATCTTCTCTTTCTGACCTGCCCAACTCTTAGCCTTATTTGTGACCCCCAGAAGTCTTAACTACTTATATTCAAGTCTGTGTTTTCCTGAATTAACAGTCACTCAGCATTGAATGGCAAACTATTTCTCACAAAAATTGTATCGGTGGAAAAAAAGTGAAACTTGTTCACTACACCCTTAAGTATCAACTGAGAAAGAATCTGCTAAAGCCACAAACGACCATTCTGTACAACTTTCAATGCATCATTTACTGTACTAAATTTCAAAGAACATTCTCGAATGCTAAAATAAATCAATGCCCAAACACAGTGTCTTGTCAGCTCATGCAATATAGGTTAAATAGTACCATATGGCAAAGACAGACACATGTTGCCCTTTTCTGAAACAAAAAAATTCCTAAACAAATGTCCTTTACTTTCACATGGGAAGAGTGGGGGATTAGAGAGTTCTTCAAGTGTTAATAGCGCTGAAAAATTTTTAATTCTTAGCCATTAACAAGAAATTATAGTTTTAATAGAGAACCTTGATTTTTTAAGCCTGTCTTTAACTGTGTCCTGAAAACTAACACCACATCTTCCTCTACGCACACCATCTCCTAAAAAAGCAAGAAAATAACAGGACAGCTGTATCCTGGAGGCTGAGCCAGCACCAGCAACTCCCCAGGGCGGTGAGAGACGTTGTCTACCTGGTTTTGAAGGAAAAAAAAAAAAAAACACCAGATTCCCTCTGCCTTGAAGATAACAAAACACACTAAGATTTCATCCCATTTTCACCACTCAGTTGAGGAACTGTCTGGATTTCACAATTACATACGATATACATCTCTTCTCGGCCCAGTAAATTCTGAGATTCTATAGACTTTACTTACTTCCTGACCAAGGTTCGGGGGGAAGGTACAGAAACAGGAATACGAAGTAAATCTACCAGAATTAACACAGAGTTAAAATACAGTATATGGTAAGATGTATCTAAACCTACTATAGTTGTCTTTTAAATAATTTTTCCTACTCTCCTGCTTGTGTTTTAGTCATCACTTAACATATATTTACATGTTTGCTTTCTAAAAATAGTTGCATTTCTAATTACTCCTGCTTTGTAATTTTCAGTACCATTTGAATTAAAGATTAAATGCCAGATCTTTTTTGGAAATGACTTTTAAGGCATGTTGAGAGCCACAAATTACACTGCTTTACAATTCGAATGTATACCATCGGAAAACATCTCAGGCTAGACATAAATACGATGATGGCTCTAGCTTTGGAAAGAGAAGCTTCAGCTGTTCAAGTCACGTGTGGCCAGATGCAGAGCATAAGGAATGCAAAACAGACAGTTGCAACTGCTGGTTTTTACCAGTCCATCTAAAATACACTTCGTACACTGTAGTGGATGCTAGAAATTTCAAATACAAATGATGCATTTATAGCCCCTATAAATATATCCTTCCTTATAGCTATTTAAGTCATTCCCCTAAAATATTCTTCAGTTAGAAAAATTAATTTTAAAATAAAGATACTTTTTAAAGAACAGGAGACATTCTAAAGTCATAGTAAAAGTTGTTCTTTCTTCCTCCTCCTCCCATAAGGTTAATTTTATTAATTATTCATAAATGTAAACATTTGACATGATTCTTTTCTTACAATAGGTTTGTGCCTTTTCAAAATTCCTGAAAATCGAACGATTCTGATAGTTCTCATCCAATGGTGGGTGGGAGGGTGGTCTTAACTGAGGGCAGAGGTCATTCCTCTATCAAAGAGAATGTCCTGCCCCACTCCCAAACTCACTGGTTCCTGGGACCAGAGAAAACTGAGGCCAGAGCTTGAATTTGAAAAATGCTGTCTCCTCTATGGCCCCTAGATACATTCCCGTAATAGGCTGCTGCCACTACACTTTCGGCCAGTCAGGTGGAAGGACTGAGGATGAGAGCCCCCAGGAGGGGAGGGAGAAGAAGGGAACAGCTACACTGTCAGCTCATGCCACCAGTTAGCGACCAGCCCAAGGGGAACCTAACCAAACAGTCGAACAACCAAATAATCACTGCTGCACAAACAGAGGCTTGTCCACAGCCCCCACCTCCATCTGCCTCCGAGAACCTCCACATCCCTCGGTGCCTCTCATACACGGGGAGATGTATTCCAACCATCACCCACTCAGACCCCACAACGGATGCACAGCCTGACACTACAATTCACTTGAAAAATGCAACTCTAAATGAGATGCAGCTCCCAACAACAGAGTAGGGGCCGCTTCCAAGGCCCTGTGAGCTAAATACAGTAATAAAATTAGTTCTTCACGTTTAGCCATTAACAATGCTGGAAGTGAAGCTCCAAGGTGCCAATTCGCAGGCAGCCAGGAAAGGCCTTTTTGCGGGATGCTAGTTAGGCAATAAATGCAAATTCAGGGAAGCAAGGATGTGCAAAGGAAGTCAGAGCGGCACACGTCCAGCTCCCCGAGCAGTGAACAAACCCACGGGTATTCCTTGGACTACGTTCAGTAGATAGACAACTGAACTTTTCCCACAGCTTCTAGAACTTTTGAGGGGGAGGGGGAGGGGGAGGGACAGCAAAGAGATGCATTTTTGAAAGAACTAATTGAGTGTGTCAGAATAGCTTTATCCAAGCACTAAAATGTATAAACATTAACAGCATGAAAGATGTCTGCTTTTGAAGAAGAAATATGACTTCCAAGTTCAAACATTTATAATGCAGATACCTAATCAAATAAATTTAACTTTCTTCCATTACAGTTCTATTACTAATAATTAAATCCATGTCTATCACTGAGAAAGTTACACATCTCCAGTTAAATTTGGCCAGCTGAAAACCAAAGAGAAAGCTGATATGTGTTTCCTGCACATTTAATAGCAATGCCTTCTTCAGTTGGAAATCTAGTAATAAGCGAAATACCACTTTTAATTAGGTAATTAACAGAAGTCCTTTTCCCCTAAATCAAAATAGAGTAAAAAACAAAATAATGCATGTCTTCAACATTTAAACAAGCATATTATACAGGAAAGTGCACACGTTTGGACAAGCTCCCTGCTGCAGAACGCAGTGAGCTTATATTTCAGTCTCTATCTCTACAGCATTAAGGTATAATGCAGCTGAAACTCTAAACACAGTCTCCAGTCAGACTTACAACCACTCCCACCAAATTCTTTTTAAAAGATTCCTTCTCTTAAATTATAAATAAGACCAATACGTATTCTGGAAAATGAACAAATAAAAATCCACAACGACCCAATACACTGAGTACTGGTTTTTCAAGAATAATCCATGACTAAACTCTACGTAAATTGCTAGGTCACATTATCATTTTTCCCCATTTGGTAAGACTGAAAACCATCTGTTGGAGTATACCTCATTTCAAAGTATTCTTTACAGAAGTCTCCTTTCCTTTTTCACATACGTTGCTAAACTTAATCACATCAAATGCTTCACTTATAAAACTCAAATATCTCCTTGCAGGGGGAAGTTAGGTAAATGGAATTAAAAGTTTCATTTATGAAAGTGGAGACAAAGTGCTTTTCACATTGTGACCTGTTTTCAAAGACCTCTCTCATTCCCTTCAGTCAATTTTGGTCTCTGGGACAACATCTTACAAAAAAAAAAAAAAAAAAAAAGTTAGAAATGTAGGACTTCAGGGTTCCAGGAAAAATAAAATCTCTAAATTAGTAGACTCTGAAGGTTGTTTACAGATAACAATGGGAAAACATTGGTGAGGTAAACTATTCTCAGGGTGTCAACAATTCATAGCAGACACATTTCTCAAAGTTAAAGTTCTTGATCTAGTGTATTTCAGGATATTAAGCCATCTGGAAAGATTATTCTAATAAACAAAAGCTTTCAGAAATAAAAATAGGCATAACTCCCATCTCTCTGCATTGTTGAAAGCTGTACCTACTAAACCTGCTATTTTGGTGTTGTGTTTCATTCTAGCGAGGCATCCCCATTCCTCTTGGTTAGTTTTATTACAGATCCACCGGGATTATTATTTTTTTAGAAGGTTAATGCGCTCTGGTGTTTCAGTATATTCAAATTAGCAAATGTTAAGAAAACAAAGCCCTACTAATGAATTAAGAAAAACATTAGACATGCTTGTGCCTTAACACACCAAAATTCAAATTCAATTACCAAAATATTTGTGAGTCTTACACAGAATTCAGTTCATCCCAGAGCCCATTCAAGATGGCCATGGGGGTCACTCCTGTGAAATTAAAGACGTCCTCCTACAAGTAACCCAACTCTCAAACCCCTGACACCACGGCAGGCTCCTACGCAACTTCACTCTCCAATTTTACTAAGGGGGGGCGAGGGGTTCTCAGACCCATGCACAATAGTGGTATGTGGCATATTTAATTCTGGCTGGTCTGTGTAAATATAAATAACAGTTACCTGACGACATAATCAAAGAATGCAAGTGAAAATGAAGCTGGAACAAATGATAAAATGAGCTCTTTTTATTTTACACGGCAGTAGCCAGTATCCTATCAAATAACATGCATGCCTAGCTCTTTTAAGTAACACATCCCTAAACCAAAATACTTCAATCATATTAATAAGGTGGTTTTTAAAATAAGCTGGAAAAGCTCCTTTTGGGAGGCTAGCCACCGTTGCATCTACTCGGGTCATTTTCTTTAATAGTATTTACTCCATAGCCCCATGGTGAACGTACATCACTCAGCTTTTAAATTACCTTCAATCAAGATTCGAAACTGCATGGCAGGCTGACGGGGGCAATGCCTTTCTGCTGTATGTGTAAGTAGGATCCCCACTAAAGTTCCTTTTGTGACTTGCTGGTTAAGTCACACGACGAGCGGACCGGAGGGTCCGAGGGCTCCGTCCTTTGTTACGCAGGGGACACCCCTGGAAGGCCAGCCCAACGCCCACGGGCACATCTGGGCTTTTCCAGGCAGTCCACAGAGCCATCCCCGGCCTCTTTACCGCGGAGACACTGTGAGGTCACACACGCAGAACACAAAACCCCCACGCAGCAGCCCCTCGCGAGGCGCCCCAAGCCCGGGTGCCCACCGCCAACTCCCACCCCAAATCCGCTCGCGGGCGCAGGACCGGTTCAGGTGTGAACACTTATGTAATCGTCCTCGGGGCCACGCCTTTCCCACCGCCCCACCTCCGCCAGAACAAAGTGAAGTTTAAAATAGAAACCAATTACCTGGGCTCCGCCGCGCCTCGGCCCCCGGAGCCCGGTCCACGCCGCCGCGCGGACCCCCGCCTGCCCCGGCCCGGAGCCCCGCGCAGACCCCAGTTCCGGACCGGACCCGCCCCCCTCCCCGGCCCCGGCCCCGGCCCCGGCCCTCCACAGCCCCATCCGCTCGCTCCCCCCAACCCCGCGGCCTGCCCTTCCCCCCGCAGCCCCCTCTCTCCTCCTCCGGGCCTCGCTCCCGCCCCCGCCGGCTCCCCCCGCCCGCCCCGCCCGCCCCCGCCCCCCGGCCCGCACAGACCCCCGCCTTTGTTATGGTGCGAAGTTGGGCTGTGGGTCCGTCTCTTTCACTTCTTGGGTTACAGTGCAGGCGTGTGACGTCCGCTCCACATGACGGGGGCGGGGGGCGGGGGGCGGGCGCCGGGGGGCGGGGGCGGCGGGCCAGGCCCTCCCCGTGCTTCTCCGCCCCTTCCCGCCCCGCCCACGGCCCTCCTCCTGGCAGCCCAGCAACAAGCGGCCACCGCCCCCACCCCGGGGCGGGCAGGTGAGTCCCCCCCCGACCCGCCCCCAGCCCAGAGGGCCGCCCTGCGCTCTCGCCCCCGGCCCCTGGCCGCGCGTGCCCCAGGTCCCCCAGTAGCGCCCCAGCGCCGCTGCTGCTCAGACACACCGAAATAGGAATGATTTAATCCAACGACACCTCCCAGGGCTGCCCAGTCCCGGTTCCGCCGGCTCCTGAGATTGGGGAGGGGCAGAATTGGGTGGAACTCGGGCTGGGGGGCGGAAATGGCCCGAGTGGGAGGGAAGGCGCGGAGTCGGACGCTACCTTGTAACCGAGTTAGATTTCTGCAGAAGAGGAGGACGAAGGTCGCCCACGGACCCTCGGGTGACCTCGGTGCGGCCTGGTGGCCGGGCACACCCGCGCATGGACGAGGTCCCTCCCAGGGGTCTCCCTGCAGGGGTCTCCGGGGAGGTAGTGGGCACGTGGGTCCTTAACCTCTCCATTGCATCATCCCCATCCCGGTGGGTACAGAAGCGCAGCAACCCCGCGGTGCTCCCGGAAGACACCGCGTCTCCAACATTTACACGGAGATGCTGCTCGGCTCAGGTCGGGTCCGTACGCTTCCCGAGGTGCGTACTACGCGAGCCACACACATCACTACCGATATTCCTGAGAAAGTCGGTGCCACAGTAAGTCAGCTGCAAGCGTGGGGTGGCCGGTGACGCGCTGTGCCCGTGAATACGCCCATTGTGCGGGTCAGACGCAGCCAGGGCGCAGCGTTCAGGAGGCGGGTGGGCAGCCGAACTTTCACTGGCCACGAGCGCTTCACCTTCTAGAATTTGCCAGGGACTAGGCATCAACTCCCAGTGAGAAAATCACATGTGAAGTTGGAAGACACATGCTGCCCTTCACTTTTCTACGGAGTTCACATCAGTTTCAGCAATCCGCGTTCTCAGTTCGCTTTGCCCGGGCGAGTGGGTTCCATCATCACCTGAACCAAAAACGCACCAGGGCGCGCGTGCCCAGGCACCAAGGCCAGAGAAACCGCACGTTTCGAGTCCCCAGTTGCTGAGAAACAATCACAGCCCTCCTCTTTTCTCCCCCTTCTGCAGGTTCCGACCTGAATCTGAAAGTGCTTCTAAACCCCATGCTTCACAGAACGTTCGGAGGGGGAGGCGCTCCGTGGGGGCTGCTGCGTGCCCATGTAGCCGAACTGACTCGAATAAAAGCGTGTCCACGTCTACATCACACATCTGTGTAAATGCAGAAGCCTGCGGATGCGCGGGGCTGGCCAGACTTCACAGTGTGCAGACACATGGGCTCATGCACGCGCACGCGCGCGCTCACACACACACCCCAAATTACCTCCGGGATGGAGAAAGCCGCTGCGGATTGGCCAGCAGAGCCGTCACTCACGCCCAGGGGGCAGGGAGACTTCGCAAAGCTGTTTCCTTTTTTTTTTTTCCTCCTCTCCTCCCTACCGTTTCATTTAATGGTAAAACAACAGCAGAGCTCTGAAAGTTAGCCATCTGCGCAGAGTTTGCCTTCTTTAAGGAGGGAGGCGTCAGACGATATCCATTTAAATATATTTTGTACTTCCACAAAGGATGGAAAGGGAAATTCACGAAGGGAGTGGAGGCGGAAAGGGAGCTCCGAGAAAGAAGGAGGGGTCATTCCGCGGGGGGCGGGGGGGGGGGCGGGGGCCGACGCAGGGGAAAGAGTTGCTCTCTACACCGAAAAGGGACTTTGACCTTCCATTGATCTCGAAATTCAAAAACGTTTCTTCACAGGTCAGATTGTAACAAACACTCGTTCCTAATTTATGAACTCGCCGTTTTGATTTTATTATTTAAGCATGCGCCAGCAATCGTGTTTCCTTAAGAAAGAACTGACCTATTTTTGGCTGGAGATAAACGATCATGTTAACAGATGTTAATCTTGTAATCTGTTTTTCCTGTAAGCACTTTACCTAGCCGGGTTTCAGACCTTAAAAATAACATCTTTTCCAAAAAGACCTGACGTCACAATTCACTCCCTGAAAAATCACACTCCCCCTCCAGTTTCTTCCCCTGCAATGATTTCAAAGACATTAAATCTTTTCCACTTTATAAATGCTGATCTGTTCTGCCTCTACTCCCACAGGCTCTTATTTGCATTTCAAATTCCACAGGTTACACCAGTCGCCTTTTCAAAAAATGTAAACCAACAATGCAGCAGCAAATGGCTTTTTGTGCATCTGGATTAAATAAAGCACAGAATGAATATATTTAAAAAGAGGGCTGCGCAAGTTGATCTTTGCACACCCGGAGACCCGGTGACTCTTTATCAGCGGAATGAGTAAGACACACACACAGCCCCCAGAGCTCCCGGTCTGCTGCGGGAAGCTTATTAACGCTGATAATAGATGAGGCTGACTTACAGACCCACATTTTTCGGGTAAAAGGCTGGTTCCCTCTGGTCCCTAATTGCGGGGGTCCACTGGCTTTCCTCACCACACACATAAACTGCTGCTTTTAAATACCCCACTCGGCTGCCATTTAACAAACTTATTCATACAAAGTTTCGTTAAAACTTGAGGCGGTTTAATCTAAATACTGATCGTAACTATTCAGTCTGTTAGTTCTCCCTGGAAATGGCAGCGGAGGCGCCTCCCCCCACCTCCCGCCCAACCACACACACCCCACCGCATTCTTCCTTCATACACCCGGGTTCATCTCGCCACCGAGGCCTCCCCCACCCGCACCCGGCGGGGCGCAGCTCCGAGGAGTCCCTGCCCACCCCTCTCCGAGTCGGTGCCAGACCCTCGCCCCCACCCCCACCCCCGCCCGAACTTCCCTTCCAGGACCTCTCACTTCTTTAACGTTAGGGTCACTTAGAAGCTCCCAGCAGACTGGCAAGCAGCCGGGGAGGGGGCCGTAAAAAACAAGGCCACCCCCACCTCCACGCAAACACGTCCCCTAGGCAGCAGCGCGCGGTGCCCACAGGCATCGATCCCATCCGCCAAACCCTTAATAATTGAAGCGGCTCCTCGGGCCCGCAGCCCCATCACCCACCTTCATTAGCCGGAGCGTTTTACTTTAAAGTAAGGCAATTTGCTCTTTGTCTCCTAATGGATGGAGAGCGCATCCGAGCTCCCCTCCTCCCGCGTCGCCTTTGACAAAGTGTACAAAGCCAGAGCCTCTTCCGCGCTCCCACCCCGGCCCCCACCCCGCCCCTCCACTGCGGTAAAAACCACCTCCCGGGCGCTCGCCCCGCCGCCCGAAGTTGCATCTTCCCCTATCCTGGAATTGACGAGCAGAGCAACTACCCACCGGGAAAGCCAAGTAGCCCTCCCCGCGCCCGGGGGGCCCCTCCCCGGCGCACCCCCCTCCCCAGCGCCTCCCCCCCTACCCCCAGCGGCGCACACCAGAGTACGGGGCACGTCGGGGCTCCGGGCCCCGCGCCCACCGCCCGCCCGCGGCCCCTGCGGCGCAGCCCTCCCCCCGCCCGCGGCCCCTACCTTGGCAGGGAGGCGGCGGGCCTGGGGAGGAGGACGCGCACGCCCCGCGCATCTGAAGGTGAAGCCGAGCGCCCGCGGCGCGGAGCCGAGCGCTGCACTAGACCGACCGCGCCAGCTGCGCCCGGGCGCGGGGGACGCGCGAGGGCGCGCGGGGCCCGCCACGCGCCCGGCCCCCTCCTCGCGCCGCCCGCGCGCGCCCCGGACGCGTCCGCCCCGCGGGGGCCCCGGCGCGAGCCGGGCTCGGGGGGCTGCGCGGCACGGGGAGGGGGCCGGGCGCTCACGGCCCGGCGCAGGCCGGAGGCTTCCCCCAGCCTGGAAATGGTCTGCCCTGTAGGAAACGCACACTCCACTATTGTCTCATCAGCACAAAGTTCTGCCACACTGAGGGGACAGTCTGGAGGCTTGCAGTGACTCAGACACAGCCAATTCCTCCCCTAATAGCACTGAATCACGGTTCCAGCGGCCAGTGGTCGCCCCTCGTCAAGGTCTAAGGCTGCTGCAGCCCCGGCTCCCGGAGGCCGTTTCCGCGCGCACACGCGCATCCATACGTACAGACGTGCTCGGGATGCGGGTCCCGCCGGCGGGTACCTGGGCACTGCGCCCCATCTGGACTGAAATGGGGACACCCCTTCGGGGGTCCCAGGTGCGTGTGCATTACACACGGCGTAGCGTGTGCGTGTCACTCAACTTCCTGGTAAATGCCTCTGGGGGTGTTCAGATGCAGGATCAATACATTAAGTCCTGAATCAAGGGTCACAGAGGTCCCGCTGGAAAGACTTCAAACAGCGGCTCTGCCACCCGGCCATTTAAAAATGAAGGGGTTGTTTACCGGTAGCCTCGAAAGTTCAACTCTTATTTTTCTGTTCTTAAAACTTCATTTCTTCACCTCACCTACTCCCCACGAGCAGTAGTTAGTTGTAATAAGTTGAGTCTGGGACTAGAAATCCTAATTTGACTCCAAAACGCTCTCCTGTTACAGGGCAGGGATGGCCGGGGTGGGGGAGGGGAGGGCGGGCGCGCGGGGGCGGGGGAGGGGCGGGTCGGAGCTAGCGAGGGCGAGCGCCCCTTCACGGCCGGTGACGTAGACCCGGGGAGCTGCGGCCTGCGGAGGGGTAACACTATCTTCTCCCACCAGGCTCCTGGCCGTATTGTTCTCCTTCTCCTCGTGATAACTCCGCAGTGGAGGTGGATTCCGTCCAAGACGCCCAACGTGGCTCCGCGTAGCAATCAGCGCTGCAATCCTGGCGGTTACCTCAGCGGCGGCGTCTCTCTCTGCGCCTCACACTCGCAGCCCGCGGCCCTCCCCAACTTAGGGCGTTTACAAAAGAAACTACTCCAGACGCGCTGCAAAGGGAGGCGCATGTGCCCGAAAGCTGGCGATCAGACGGGGGGGGCATTCTGCATGTGTGATGTTTCTGGGGGCGGTGGGGAGTGTGTGTCGGGGTCGGGGGGCGGGGGGGAGTCAGGCAGAAAGACAGGGACAACCTCCGCTATGAAGGATCCGCGAGTCCTCAAATGTAAGCTCCGTGTGACTAACGACCTGCACTGATTTGGAGAGCGGGCATGTTAAAGGTCACGGACAATTGTTGCTGGCTTCAGCATGAATGCCTAAGTGGGATGTATTCTTCAGCAATCACGTTTAAGTCTGATTCACCGAAAAGTATTGACGTGCCCACCATTCATTTCAGTACACTGTGAAAATGCACAAAGAAAGTATCCCCAAATTCAGTTAATTACAAAGCCGTAAATGTCCTTGTATACACATATTATTACATACATGTAGGTAACAACAAAGATTAAAATTTGAAGACACTTTAATAGCTTTTTGGTAGGATTTTGGAATGAATATCAGTCCTGTAAACCTACGTTCATCTGCATTCTTGGGTCTATTTTAAAGTACAAACTTGCGCTAACAATTTCCATGTGTTGAAAATGGACAAGGTAGATCATTGAATGGTGATCAAGACTTCCAAACCCCTCCACATAAAACTGTTCATGACTTGCTTCCTTTTTCTAGCCGGTTTAGGGCCCTGTCTTAAGTCACCCACATGTGATTTCACTCAGGGCATTGTCTGTCTACAATAATATTGTGCTTTTAAACCATTTCCTTTCTTACACGTTTATCTACAGTGCATGCGAAATCTGAGAGCGTAATTTGATGGATGGGCAAAGAGTTAAGTCCTGGTGTCTGGTGTGGCAGACCTAGAAAATGGCAGCTGGAGGGCCAGCATCATTTTGTTACTGACAATTGAAACGTGTTCACATTGATTGTACACAAGTCACTGGTGGTTGTTCATTTGTCAATGCACTATTCCTAGCTCACTCCACACACACAAAAAAGGTATAAAAATCAAATGTTTAATACAAGTTTCCATACTATTCCTGTAACCATATTTAGCATTGCCAACATTTCAACTGTTTTAATAGCTTCAAACACTTAAAGTAACCATTAGGGATTAAGGGCACCGTTTGCCCCTGGAATGGCCCAGGAGAGCTTCTCCTATTTTGAAAGGTTTACGTAAATTATAGTATTTGGATGGAGCAAAGTCAGCAGTATTAATGGTTGAATATTAATGGTTGATTTTGGCTACTTGTTTTATTTTAGTGATATGTGATATTTTACACATGTATGGGGTACGTGTATTTGTTACAAGCGTAGAATGTGTAATGATCAAGTCGGGGCACTTAGGGTACTCATCAGCTGGGGTATTTATTGTTTCTATGCGTTGGGAACATTTCAAGTTCTGTCTTCTATCTATTTTGAAATACACAATCCATTGTTATTAACTGTAGTCACTGTAGTCTGCTATCAAATATTAGAACTACTCCTTCTATCTAACTGTATGTTTGTACCCATTCACTAACTTCATTCCCCCCCACCCTCTATTTATAATTTTATAACAGACAATAATTTTGGTTAATGAAATAAATGGGGGAAAGAAAGCATTTTCCCTTGCTATTGTCTAACGAATTATCCGTTCAGCCTTTGGGACTCCACCCCTTTCAACGTGTGATGAAATGGTGTTCAATGGTTATGGAGTGATTGAGGACGTTTAGATTAGAAACATTCTCGAGGACTTCCATTAAAAAGATAGCTCAGAGTAAAAACCAAAAAGAACTCCGCCCCCCACAAAAAAAAAGGCCTCCAGTGCCTGAAAGCTAGAAGTGAAACTGTCTATACTATAGCATAAAATTGAAGACAAACTAAAAAATACATATTAAATATTCATGCTCAAAAATTTAAGTGCTCTGATTAGACAGTTGGGTGTGCTACTCATTAGTAAATAATATTAACCCTATCTTTGTGTAAATTTATTAGGATTGTCTATATCTGAAAAAGAAGAATTATATTATGCAATTAAGTCAAGGAGTAATCTTTTGTTTTCTGAACTAACTTAAATTTAGAGATTTCAGAGTGGATTAGGGATAAATTTGATTTAAATTATCAAGTATTCCTAGGTAAAGACTGTTTTAGGAGTACAGCTGTGCATTCCCTTTGTACTGTTTGGAATAGGTAACTATTTTGTGTATAAATGGAAATTGGCTATTTATTTAATCACTGATGGTTTCAAAAATATTACACCAATCCTAACGTGTTGGTTTTTTTTTTTTTCCTAAAATCTTTCCTTTTCATGGAACTAAAAAATTCAGAGAATACACTGTATTTGAATATGGAGGAGGGAAGAAACAGTCCTTCAGCAAGGGTGTATCGATATGGAATTTAACAGGATAATCCCCTTCGTGGATGGTGTGGCAAAATTATGATTATATTTTAAATAGAGTCTTCTATGAAGTGGTTTCAGACTGCTTAAATCTAAAGTTAACAGAATATTTTAAATCTTAATTTAGGAAACTATCTCAGTTATCGTACACATTTCTTACAAACACACACACACACAAAAGAAATCACTTCTAATGTGATCTACACCCAGAGTCTCCCGTGTTTACACTAAGATGGCTTCTTACCGAGCTTTCTCTTGTGGGGTCTTTTATTTGAGGTCAAACTGACAGTGATTTAGGTTTAATCATGGTTGAGACTTGCACGTTGCTTGAAACACTTTTGTGAAAATTTGTTCCTCCCTCTTCTGTATTCAAGTCAAAGGATGCCTTCAACAGGTAGTATGCCTGAATTTTTAGTTTGCTGAATAATCCACAAAGCATCGCCTCAAGATTGGACGCAAAATGCACCCGTGTGTGTGGGACAGAGAACGCCTTACTCATTTTCCCAGTAGCAGAAATCTTAAGAACTTTCCCACGGAACCAGCATTGTTAACAATCTGTCCTTGTTTTCCACACAGAAAAAAGAAAAAAAAAAAAAAAACCTTGCTGACCCATACACTATTGTTATTGCAACACAGATTTTCCTCTTACTGATTTTTGTGCATATATTTTGAATAATGATAAAGACGACATTAACAAATAACAATCTTGGATCACAGAGTTAGGGTATTTTTGCAATGGAGGAGAAAGCATTGTAGAAAACGTACTAGCAGTTCAAGCAACTGCAGTCACATTTTCTCACGATTTGCAGTTTTTGGTAACTCCATCAGGACTTCACAGCAGGTAGACGACCCTCAAATCTGTTCTTAATTTCAACTTAAGTAAAAGACTCTCAGCAACAGCTGGCTTCACAATTGCTGATACAGAATTCCACAGATGTGGTTGAGAACGGTTTGAAGAATAAAAGGAACTAGGCCACAGACCAGAATTCATTTAAGGAAAGACAAATTCAATAAAGATTCCTCTTTTGAAAGATTGCCCGTGTTAAGGAAGAAAGGGACTTGTTTTTCTTATTACCTTTTCTTATAATCCTACAGTATGTTAATTACTTAACAGATAGGTTGTGACCTATTAACACCACACTTTCTTACAACAGCAAAACCATTGACTTTCTCTGCCCCCAAAGCTCATTATGGCTCACCATGCATAACTGATTACATGTGCATGTTTATGCAAACTTTTCTAACGGAACTGAAAATGAAATAAGGGAACCAGCAATATCTCCTTCACTGTGGGTAGGCTAGGTACACTTGTAATGAAACTAAGTAGGGAAGACCTTTGCGTGAGATCTCATTTGACACATACATGATACAGTTCGAAGGAAAGCCGCCTTGGCATTCAGGGGGTTCGCTGGTGTAAGAAACAGAACCGTAAGAAAAGAAGTGGTCAGCATATGAATGAGTTGTCATAATTAAGGAATAAAGACATTTTGTTGATGGAGAGGCCAGCCACAGTTTTGGCGGGGGTGGGTGAGGGACTTTTTAATCATGTAATATAAAATTTACCATTGTAGCCTCTTTTTTTTTTTTTTTTTTTGAGACGGAGTCTCGCTCTGTCGCCAGGTTTTTTGAGATGGAGTCTCGCTCTGTCGCCCAGGCTGGAGTGCAGCGGTGCGATCTCGGCTCACTGCAACCTCCGCCTCCCGGATTCCAGAGATTCTCCTGCCTCGGCTTCCCGAGTAGCTGGGACTACAGGCGTGCGCCTCCACGCCCAGCTAATTTTTAGTATAATGTCCTCAAGCTCATCCATGTTGTAGCATGTAGCTAGGTACAATTTTGCCAGTCTTAAAGACACATAGATTGTACATGCAGGAGAGAACTTTTAGAAAAAACTGATTAATAGAGTGACTATAGGCTGGGCGCGGTGGCTCACACCTGTAATCCCAGCACTTTGGGAGGCCGAGGCGAGCAGATCACAAGGTCAGGAGATCGAGATCACCCTGGCTAACATGGTGAAACCCCGTCTCTACTTAAAATACAAAAATTAGCCGGGCGCGGTGGCGGGCGCCTGTAGTCCCAGCTACTCGGGAGGGTGAGGCGGGAGAATGGCGTGAACCCGGGAGGCGGAGCTTGCAGTGAGCCGAGATCGCGCCACCGCACTCCAGCCTGGGCGACAGAGCGAGACTCCATCTCTAAAAATAAATAAATACATAAATAAATAATAAAAACAGAGTGACTGTAATTTCACCAAAAACAATTCTCAAGAATTTTTCTTCTGTTACCTAAAATGATTGATTTCCTTATTTGGCTGTCTTTGTCTTTTCTCACCTTGTAAGCTTCAAAAGAAATATGACAGAAAGACTTACCTCCTTCCCAAATGGAAACCGTAACAACATGAAGCCACCCTATGGCCAAATTGGTGTTAAATTCTTTCTGGTTAGTATTTTCAGAGCTTATTTACGACTTACAAGCAGATGACTTTAAGAAAAAGAAAGAAAGTGGGGGGCGGGCACAGTGGCTCACGCCCGTAATCCCAGCACTTTGGGAGGCCGAGGTGGGTGGATCACCTAAGGTCAGGAGTTCGAGACCATCCTGGCCAACACTGTGAAACCCCGTCTCTACTAAAAATACAAAAATTAGCCAGGCGTGGTAGCGGGCACCTGTAGTCCCAGCTGCTTGGAAGGCTGAGGCAGGAGAATTGCTTGAACCACGGAGCGGGAGGTTGCAGTGAGCCAAGATCGCGCCACTGCACTCCAGCCTGGGAGACAGAGCGAGACTCTATCTAAAAAATAAAAAAATTAAAAAAATTTTAAAAAAAGAAGGAGAAAAGATGTAACGCCCAGGCATACTAAAAATCAGAAAACTAAACTTGCAGTCAATATAAAGAAACAGAGTGGTTGACACGTCAGGCACTTGAGGTGGGTTCATGAACGTGGCCGAGCACTAAGGCACCCCCAAGCTTCCTGGCCCCAAGGAAAAACCTTCATTAAGAGAATTTATCTTTCTGGGGACTGAACTAGGACAGGTGTGGATCTCTGGGCATGACTGAAGCATTCCATTTTAGAATAGACAGAGGTGTTTTGGTGTGCTCCAAACAGATGTTAAACCAATGGCATTAAGTTAAACTTGGGGAATCAAAATGAAATTTTTGTAAAGAGACAAATAGTTTGATCACGCTAATTGAGTGAGTAAATTGTATAAATTCTCACACTTTTGTGCACTTTTGTTTTTCATGGCAGCCTTATGGTAAATGGCAAAAGGAAAATGTGGGGAAGTGATACGAGATGGCTAAAACATTTTATACACTGAAAATCTAAAAAAAATTTCAGGCAAGGAGTCATCATTTAAAAAATGACAAAAGTTTAAGAAACTTCTAAATCTTAATTTTTCATATCTGTGCATTTACTTATTTATTCCACATTTACTCTGTAAGGCAGGCACTAGATCAAGTGCTCATTTTAAAAGCAGTATGTATTACATGCTTATTATGTAGGGAATCTTCCTAAGAGCTTACATTTTATGTCACTTAATATATCACAATAACCCATGAGGTAGGTGCCACTATTGTCCCATTTGGCAGATGCTGAAGGAGAGACCCAGAGTTCACAGTCCCGCCCGTCTCTCAGAGTTGGCGAATGTCAGCCATGGATTTAGAAATAGCCTCGACCATGACGCCAACCCATACATCCACCTACATTGAGCTGTACGCAGCTGAAACACGACAGCCCTGGCTATTTTAAAGATAATTTTATAGACGGACAGGGCCAAATATGTGTCTTCTCACAATATGTTTAGGAACTTGTCACACACTCTCATGTCCAGTTCTCGTTCTGCTTATTGGTCATTTGCGCTTGTGTAAGCTATGCAGCTTCTGGTTCTGTTTACGTCATCATGCACTTTGGCATTTGCCGCTTATCACAAAGTGTTGTTAGTCTTCCACATACCTAATATGTGCTACATATTTGTGCAAGAATACCTACTAACTAGCTGGTGGAGACAGAATCTCCATGCAAATGTTTCATTTGGTTTCTCAAAGGAGTTGAGCTGGCTTTAAAAAATATATAAAATACAAAGAAAAGCTTCAGCAGTGGGAAGAATGAGGTCAGGAATAATAAGAGTGGAAAAACAGAAAAATCAGGATCAATTTCAGCTCAACCAGTCTTAACACCAGCACACGTGGATACATGTCTAGTCATCCTTTGAACTGTCAGAAGCAGCAGAATGTTCCCCTGAGCTTCCTAGTACCCAAAGCAAAGACAAAAGCACTATGTTTACAAGATTTGTGCTGTCTGTGAAATGAGAGTGTAACGGACTCTGTTCACAATGACACTGTCACCAAATAAATTCTGACAGTGTGCCGCATAAGGATTTGGAGACAAAAACTATCAACCCATAATTGAATGAGAATTTATAGCAATTACTTTATCTGCAAAGTGGGAATCACACAGTTATTTTTAATGAGAAAAATTTAAATGTGAAAATCACTTAAAACTGTTTTCGTACTATACTAGTATGAGCAAATGTAAGTTATTTTCTTAATAGCACAGGCCCCCTCCTCAAATAGCAGTTGATATCATCAATATTATAAAACTATATGTTAATTTAAGATGTTTTAAAATATCTGAAGGCATAAAAAGTTATCTCTAATTGTGCTAATACTCTTGAACTGGAAGTCATTTCTAGAACCATTCCTTTCTCCCGCGGATTTTTAAATTGTGTTTGTTTTCAGAGTGTCCTTGGTATGGCCATGCCTAGCAGAATCTGAGATTCACACCTCAAAGTGTGAATGTTTACAAACTGTTTTCACTCAAGACCCAGTCATGCTCTTCCCCTGTGACTGCAGCCTGCCTCTTCCTCCCAAGGCGCCCTGTCTACTGCGAGGCAGGGCCCTGTAGGGCAGTGCTTGGGTTTCAACAGACAGACATGAGCCCAGAGGCTTCCTGGCAGGGAACTTGTCAGCACTTTGCTTTTCCCCCGTTAAATTCCAAAGCTAACCAGCCCTGCGCCTCTGGAAGAGAGAGGGAGGCCTCCGGACAGGCTCCTTGGTGTGCAGAAACTTCTGGGGTGTGGACTTCAAGGCATCTGAGTGAGATGCAGCGTGTGCAGGACCTGGACGGGCACTCTCGCTTCTTTATTTCCTACAGCTTAAGCCCTTTGGCTTCTAGAAAGCCTTTCTTTAAAATAAATACAGAAAAGATGTGTTACACTGTGAGTTACAATACAATACAATCATCCATTAAGTACCAAACTCTGTTCAAACAAAGTTCATGGATGGACTGACAAATTTACAAAAGCAAGGAAATCCAAAGAGGAGGGGCTGCCACTCGCCCCGGGGTCTCCCTGTAGCGCTGGGCAGGCTGTTTGTGAAAGTGGGCCAACAGAAAGAGCTGCGGGACGGTTGTTTTTCTTCTTCCCTCTCGTTCGCTTCTGAGTTCTATTACCTCAGTAAATTCAGGGTATTAGTAAAAGTGAAAAGGAATCCTTAAGCACAGCCAATTTTCTATATGTTTCTTTATTTCCAGAAAATCAATTACCCCATCCTTACACAGTGGGAAAAGCAATACTCCACCGCCCCACCCCTCCCCCACATCTCAATTTTTTTTTTTTTTGAACTTGCAATTGAGCTTATCCGGTTTTTTATATTGGGGCTTCACCTCAATGGAGCAGAGAAGAAATATTAGGCAAACTAATAATAAACTTCTATAACAAAATTCTAGGTCTTGTATTCTTTAGGAAACCTTCTTTGATAATACGATTTTACTAATATTTCCACTTGTAGAAAACATTTCTTTGGAGTAATACAAAAACGTCTAATAAAAAGGCCATATTTGTGCAGTATTATATAGACAACTGCTAAACTCTTCTCACCTTTTCAATGCTAGGAAATTTCATCTTATTTTTAAATACAATAGTGCGCACACATACTCCTATATTAAAAACTTTGATGAAACTTTGTTTCAAATTACCAATGCCACAAAAAGAATTTCAAAAACTGAAGTTGGTTTTTTAAGGACCTATAACAATATTATTTTCGTTTTATATAATGTCCTTCTCTCCCACCATGAGACGTTATTGTGCAATATTACGTCACCCTTTCTTGTCCAGTTTTGGACAAGAAACTGCAATTTTGCAGAGCAGTTAATAGTGCAAATATCCTATTCATTTCAGTACCTCTTTGCTCTTGATGAACCTAGGCAGAGAATAAAGCTAACACCGCTCATCCATCTAAGGGGATTGGAAAAAGCCTGGTTATCTAGCATGCTAAGCAAAAATATAGAAACCAAGTAAAAAACAAATTCTGATTGAAAATGTTTAAAATACAGCACCAAAAAGTGATTTCCAAAGTGTGATGTCTGTCCACATAAGGACAGTTATACATCTACACAATTGTTTCTCTCTTTCGTGTATGAAGGTGCCCATTTTCAAAGATAACATGTAGACGGTGCCATAAATATGAAGATGGGAACAATAAATTATCCACGATTATTTACAAGACAAAAAAAACAATAAAACTGCATTAATTTTTGAAAGGTCTAATCTTCCAGCGACCGGAGTGGTGGTGTTTGTATGAGTTTATGTGTCCTCATACCCGCTGTGCAGAACAGGTGACCACAATATTCCTTTTGAAATAGGAAAGGAGGGTCTATTTTATGGACTTATAATAATCACATGTGCTATTTTGAAGTGTTTTCTCATTTATTCTCTTTAACTGCTCACAACAGCAAAACAGAGTGGCTCAGAATTTTTCACACCATTTACAAGTTTAAAACTCATGGCAAAGTTGTTCTGTTTCTTACATGTCACAGTCAATTGGTTTTGAATGGTTTTGAATCCATACATGTTTTTAAAAATTATGTGTCTCAGAATATAGTTCTTAAAATCTATCTTCCCCCTCCATGTACTATAAGGAGCTTTCCTGCAGGCTTTATGAGTTTCACCCTGCTGTATGATGAAATCAAGGCAGAACAATGTCTTGAGCAATGATGTATAATTTCTAAATCCCCTGATATAATGGACACTGAGAAATTTTAATAAGAATGATGATTCTCTAACCAAGATTTTCTTGTGAAGCGTATCAGTGATAAACTGCAAATCTGTGACAATTCCTGGATGGACTCAGCTTAATCGACCAATGTCAACTGCATGCATGATTATAACTTTAGCAGTTTCCAAACAATGAATCATGTTAAACAATATTTAAGAGGCTAAAGGAACACAAGGAACATTGTGCGTAGTGCCAGTAAAACCACCAGTCATAGAGCCTAAAGTGTTAATTTTGACATGGTCATGGCACTTGGCATTATCACAATGATAACATTAGACACATAAGATGAGCAGAGGACCAGTCGTTCATTCATTCAACTGATACGAGTATTTGTTGAATTCAGATTCCCTGCGAGTCATGGTGCTAGGCCCGAGGCTTCCTCAGTGCAGACAGTGTCTCAGCCAGCAAGGAGGTTACCAGGCCTGCACAGATTTTGTACTAGGCCAGGGGACTTTGCCAAGCATTGGATTTTGACTGGAACCCCAGGCACAGGTCCCACAGCGCTATGCCTGCCCCTGTCCTATTGGCTGAAATATCTACCATGGACCCTGTGGGTCACTCCTTCCTCCATCCTGCATGGTGTCCACTGTGCATGGCCAATGGCTGCAGGAATGTGGACTAAAGCCCCAGGCCGCAAAAGGAGGCGGCGAGATTGATCTAAGCCAATGCGGTTGTCCCAGCCCCGGACTCCCAGCCCCTGCCCTGCCAGCATTTGGAGTAGATACATCCATATGACGTAATTATGGCAAGGGGACAGCAGGGAAAGTTGGCTGGGGTGGGACAGGGGGCTTCTAGCAAGGAGTCTTCTTGTGGAGAAAAGGAATTCCACGTGGGGAAATGGTGACTGGCTAGTCCTGGGGCCAGTCACCGGGAGCAGCAGTAATGTGGGGGCAGGATGCCAGTGGCTGTGCCACCCCGGGGGAGAGGGGCGCCTAGGGAGCCAGCCAGGAGGCGGAGGGAAAAGAGGGGAGGAAAATGTGGTTGTGAAGCCACCAATGTCACCCAGCTTGGAGCAGAAAACCTCCACTGGACTTTAACGAATTTTCCTTATTGTTTTAGCCATTTTATTCATGGATTTCCATTTCTTTTCATTGAAAACAACCTAAACCTGTGCTGAAATGGTGGTTTGCTTTGCACTCTTCCTCACCAGTCTGTGAGCCCAGTGAGTGGCGGGGACGGTGCAGGCGGAGAGGGCAGTGTGCGATGGTGAGACGGAGCCAAGGTCAGATCACCGAGGGGCTGGGGCTGACATTGAAGAGGCAACACAGCCAGAAGCATGGCCAGCGGCCACAGATGGGCTCTGAACAAGAGAAGACACAGTCAGATGTCTTTTTAAAGATTGCTCTGTCCTTTGAAACAGGTATGTTGTAACAATTGCTTTCTCCTCTCACTGAGGAGAAGGGTATGGTGGCAGAGAGTCAGGAAGTCCCATAATCAACCTGCAGATCAAAATCCTGAGTTGTCTCACGGACAGGTGGAGAAAGGGGTGTCTCTGGAGGAGATTGGGGAGGCACAAGGAAGAGCTGCTGGGAATCGGGGACGTCGGGAGAGACATTCACCGGGACACCTGACTCTCACAGGCTTTTCCTCAAAGACCTTGGAAGACGTGGCCACGAGTGTCAGATGCCACCGAAGCGGCAGTTGGGGAGCTGACGGTGGCGCTTCTGTTCAATTCACCAACAAGGACATGGCAGAGGCTGCAGGCAAGTAGCTTCAAGGGGCAAACAGAGCAGTCACCAGAGCCCTGCCACGGAGAAAGCGGGTGGTGGCGTCAGTGGACTCTCAGAGCTATACTTCCAAGGGTCTTGGGATGATGGACTTCTGTCTTCTATTATGGTTGTTTTAAGATGGGAGAGATGGGAGTATCTTGAACACAGACGCAAAGGCATCAGCAGAGATGAGAAGACATGATTTTAGAGAACGAAGACAGCACCGCAGACGGTAGCGAGACCCCTGGACCCCCACACTCAGCTCTTTCTGCTCCTCCTTGGTGGAGCCACTTGACTGACCACAATGCGCAAAAACACTATCACCCACGGGGCTAGGAGCCGACGTCGCTCCCATGAGTGAGTTTTGAGAAAGAGCACTGGCCAGTGTCTGGGAGAGCGAGGCTCCCCCGCCACGAGCAGGTGTCTCCTCCGTTCATAGGATCCTTCCTTGAAAGGCCCGTTCTGAGCACTGTGGAAGCAGAAGTGAACTTGCCCTTGCTCTGCTGCAGGAACCTGACCTAGCAACCATCCTTCTGTCCTTGCAGGTCTGAGACTGGTCTGCATGCCGTTCCAGACACTAGCGGCCACTCGGTACCTGCGGCCTGGAGGAGGGAAACCCCCTCAATGTGCAGGATTGCAATACTTCCCTTTCCTTTCACCAAGTTTTGTTTGAGCAACCTCAGGGCCTAGAATTCTTCTTCTGAACTCCAGAGTAGAGGAAATTGGGAATAACATATATATATATAATATATATAATATATAATATATACATTATATATGACATAATATATAATATATATCATATATCATATATACATTATATATGGCATATATATTATATATATTATATATTATATATATTATATATTATATATATTATATATTATATATATTATGTCATATATAATGTATATATTATATATTATATGTATATGTCATATATTATATATATTATGTAATATGTCATATATAATATATGTCATATGTCATATATAATATATAATATATAATATTATATGTCATATATAATATATAATATTATATGTCATATATAATATATAATATTATATGTCATATATAATATATAATATTATATGTCATATATAATATATAATATTATATGTCATATATTATATATATTATATTATATGTCATATATTATATTATATTATATATCATGTATTTTATATATTATATTATATATCATATATTTTATATATTATATATTATGTTATAGATAATGTATATATTATAATGATATCATATATAGTATATAGTATATATGATATCATATATAGTACATATATGATATATATAGTATATGATATATATAGTATACATATCATATATAGTATATATGATATATATCATATATAGTATATATGATATATATCATATATACTATATATTATATGTCATATACATATACATATACACTTTTTTTTTTTTTTTTTGAGACAGAGTCTGGCTCTCGCCCAGCCTGGAGTGCAGTGGCGTGATCTCGGCTAACTGCAAGCTCCGCCTCCCGGGTTCACGCCATTCTCCTACTTTAGCCTCCCGAGTAGCTGGGACTACAGGCACCCGCCACCACACCTGGCTAATTTTTTGTATTTTAGTAGAGATGGGGTTTCACTGTGTTAGCCAGGATGATCTCGATCTCCTGACCTCATGATGTGTTCGCCTTGGCCTCCCAAAGTGCTGGGATTACAGACGTGAGCCACCGCGCCTGGCCAATAAAATATATATTTTTAAAAAAGAAAATAGATAGAAAAAACAGTAGTGAGGAAAGAAACCAGGAAAACATATTGCCCCATTTATATAGGTGTTGGTTGTGAAAATATAATCATAGCTATCTAGGATGGCAATCCCCCATAGTCTGAAAACAAGAGAAAGAAAAGGCACAGTAAGATTTTTATTTTTGTTGGATGGAAAACAGGAAAAGTTTGTTAATACTGGACATTGACAGAAAGTCTGAATATATGAGTTTAAAAATTATGAGTAACAACTAGGAAAAATAAGAAGAAAAGTTTGTTAAAAACTTGAGGGAATCATGGCAAATAGAAACACAGTTGCAGAATAAGTTAAAGCACATTGGTGATAAATCAGAAGGCTCTAAGACTAGCTTTAAAATCGAGTTATATGCTCTGCACGCGAGACAACCCTGAAACAAAACAAGAAGGGTGAATACGAAACAAGAGACACCAGGCAATATTAACAAATACAAATAAAACGTGATAGTATAAACCACAGGCAAAACAGAATGCATGATGAAAAGAAGTAAGACAGCTAATGTTGATGAAATTAAAAGAAGATTAAAGTTATGATCATTTATTTAGCTAATACTATAGCTTCAAAGCATATAGAGGCCAGGCACTGTGGCTTATGTCTGTAATCCCAGCACTTCGGGAGGCCGAGGAGGGTGGATCGATTTGAGCCCAGGAGTTCAAGACCAGCCTGGGCAATGTGGCAAAATCTCATCTCTACAAAAAATACAAAACTTAGCCAGGCATGGTGGCACGTGCCTGTGGTCCCAGCTACTTGGGAAGCTGAGGCGGGAGGATCACCTGAGGCTGGGACTTTGAGGCTGCAGTAAGCCATGATCACACTACCACACTCCAGCCTAGGCAACAGAGTGAAACCTGTCTCAAAAAACCCCAAAACAACACCATATAAGGCTAATAAATATCAAGACAAAAGTGGACAAATCATCAATTATATTAATGGACTTTCACATCTAACAGAAATAATGGATTAAGTATGCAAAACTAGCTGGGAATAACAATGAGTAAGCTTCAGCTAATAAAACACAGAATACTATTGCTAATGAAGAGAGAATACAGCCTCCTTGCAAATACACATGAAGCAGTTACTTAAAAGAAGACCCTGAGAACTTACTGACAAATTCCTAAGTGCAGAAACCATGAAGGCATTGTTCTAAACCACAAGACAAATAACTAGGAATTAACAATAAGAAAATAGCAAACCCTTCACTAAAAAAAGAGTAATTAAAAAATTGATGCCCTGAACCTGAAATAAAAAGTGGAAAGAAAAAAATTGAGCAAAAACTTAAAATACCTTACATTTAAGATACCTATTTACCTATAAATTTAAAGATTTTAAGACAAAAAAAGTCAATCAGAAATTAGAAAGTATTTAGAGAAAAAATAAATGAGGGATCTAGGTATCAAATATATGGGATTTGCCCAAGCGAAACCCAGAAAAGTCTTAAACAAAAATTCATTTATTATAAAATACATGAATGAGGGTTTCAACTCAGGAAGTTAATAACAGAAGTTGATGTCAACAGAAGTTATCAACGGTTATCCACATTTATTTTTCAAACACAATTTAATGAAATAAATAGAAATAATAATCATTCAGTTGAACAATAAAATCTAAAGCTATTTATTTTAATAAGTAAATTATCAGATAAACTCTGCCAAGTCTAAACAATAGAACAAAATAGAATAAACATAATAAATCAGTAGGAATAAATAATATGAAAATATTTTTGTATTATAAAAGAATAATGCATTTATACCAATACGCTTAAAAACAAATGTTTCTAAAATTATTTTAAGAAATATAAACTACCAGCTGGGCGTGATGGCTCATGCCTGTAATCCCAGCACTTTGGGAGGCCGAGGCAGACTGATCACGAGGTCAGGAGATGGAGACCATCTTGGCCAACATAGTGAAACCCCGTCTCTACTAAAATACAAAAAATTAGCCGGGTGTGGTGGCACATGCCTGTAATCCCAGCTACTTGGGAGGCTGAGACAGGGCAATCCCTTGAACCTGGGAGGCAGAGGTTGCAGTGAGCTGAGATCGCGCCACTGCACTCTAGCCTGGAGACAAAGTAAGACTCTGTCTCAAAAAAAAAAAAAAAAAAGAAAAGAAACAAAAAAGAAAAAAAAAAGAAAGAAATATAAGCTACCAAAATTGGCTTGAAGAATAAGGCTGGACTCAGTGGCTCACACTTGTCATCCCAACACTTTGGGAGGCTGAGGCGGGTTGATCACTTGAGATCAGGAGTTCAAGACCAGCCTGGCCAACATGCTGAAACCCCGTCTTTACTGAAAATACAAAAATTAGCCAGGCATGGTGGTGAGTGCCTATAATCCCAGCTACTCGGGAGGCTGAGGCCGGGAGAATCACTTGAACCCAGGAGTTGGAGGTTGCAGTGAGCTGAGATAGCGCCACTGCACTCCAGCCTGGGCGACAGAGCAAGACTACATCTAAAAAAAAAAAAAAATGTTATGACCTTAAGTAAACCAATAATTATAGGAAAAAAATTGAAAATCTAGTTAGGTCTGGCCAGGCACGGTGGCTCAAGCCTGTAATCCCAGCACTTTGGGAGGCTGCGGTGGGTGGATCATTTGAGGTCAGGAGTTCGAGACCAGCCTGGCCAACATGGTGAAACCCTGCCTCTACTAAAGATACAAAAATTAGCCCAGAGTGGTGGCGTGCACCTGTAGTCCCAGCTAGTCGGGAGGCTGAGGCAGGAGAATCGTCCGAACCAGGGGGGCAGAGATTGCAGTGAGCAGAGATCCTGACACTGCACTCCAGCCTGGGTGACAGAGTGAGACTCTGTCTCTCAAGAAAAAAAAAAAAAAAAAGAAAATATAGCTAAGTCCTGAATTTTGAAAGACACCAGATTAAATGATTTTATGCAGTTGGGCAAATATCAAAATAAAGTTATGTTTACACTATAGTGTATTAAGTATGCAATAGCATAGTGTCTAAAAAACTAATGTACATACTTCAATTAAAAATGACTTTGTTACTAAAAAGTGCTAACAATCATCTGAACCTTCAGTGAGTTGTAATCTTTTTGCTGGTGGAGGGACTTGCCTGGAGGCTGACGGCCTCTGACTGATCAGGGTGGCAGTTGCCGAAGGTTGGGATGGCTGTGACAATTTCTTAAAATAAGACAACAATGAAGTTTGCCACATAAATTGACTCTTCCTTTCGTGAAGGACTTCTCTGTAGCATGCAAGGCTGTTTGATAGTATTTTACCCACCTAGAACTTCTTTCAAAATTAAGTCATTTTTCTCAAACTCTGACCCAGCTTTATCAACTAAGTTTCTGGAATATTCTAAATCCTTTGTTGTTATTTCAACAATTTCACGGCATCTTCAGCAGAAGTAGATTCCATCTCAAGAAACCATTTTCTGGGCCGGGCGCGGTGGCTCACGCCTGTAATCCCAGCACTTTGGGAGGCCGAGGCGGGCGGATCACGAGGTCAGGAGATCGAGACCATCCTGGCTAACATGGTGAAACCCCCTCTCTACTAAAAACACAAAAAATTAGCCGGGCGTGGTGGTGGGCGCCTGTAGTCCCAGCTACTCGGGAGGCTGAGGCAGGAGAATGGCGTGAACCCGGGAGGCGGAGCTTGCAGTGAGCCGAGATCGCGCCACTGCACTCCAGCCTGGGCGACAGAGCGAGACTCCGTCTCAAAAAAAAAAACCATTTTCTTTTTTCATTCATAAGAAGCAACTCCTTATCTGTTTAATTTATACCGTGAGATGGCAGCAATTCCGTCCCAGCTTCAGGCTCCACTTCTCATTCAAGTTCTCTCGTTATTTCTACCATGTGTGCAGTGACTTCCTCCACTGAAGTCTTGAACTTGAAGTTAATTCCCACCCTCCAAGTCATGCATGAGGGTTGGAATTAACTTCTTCCAAATTTCTGTTAATATTTTGACCTCCTTCCATGAATCACAAGTATTCTAGAATAGGGAATCCTTTCCAGAAGGTTTCCAACTTACCTTGCCCAAATCCATCAGATATATTACTATCTATGGCAGCTATGGCCTTACAGAATGTATTTCTTTTTTTTTTTTTTTGAGACGGAGTCTCGCTTTGTCGCCCAGGGTGGAGTGCAGTGGCGCGATCTCGGCTCACTGCAAGCTCTGCCTCCCGGGTTCACGCCATTCTCCTGCCTCAGCCTCCCAAGTAGCTGGGACTACAGGCGCCCGCCACCACGCCTGGCTAATTTTTTGTATTTTTAGTAGAGACGGGATTTCACTGTGTTAGCCAGGATGGACTCGATCTCCTAACCTCGTGATCTGCCCGCCTCCGCCTCCCAAAGTGCTGGGATTACAGGCATGAGCCACCGCGCCCGGCCCATCTTTTTGCAATATAAGGCTGTTTTGTCTACACTGAAAATCTGCTGTTTAGTGGAGCCACTTTCATAAATTATCTCAGCCAGATCTTCTGGGTAACTTGCTGCAGCTTCTCCATCAGCACTTGCTGCTTCACCTTGCGGAGGTGGCCTCTTTCCTTAAACCTCATGAACCAATCTCTGCTGACTTCCAGCTTTTATTCTGCATCTTCCTCACCTGTCTCAGACTTCACAGAGGTGAAGACAGTTAGGGCCTTGCTCTATAACAGGCTTTAGCTTAAGGGAATGTTCTGGCTGGCTTGATCTTCTATCCAGACCACTCAAGCTTTCTCCATATCAGCAGTGAGGCTGCTTTCCTATCATTCATGTGTTTACTGGAGTCGCACTTTAAATTTGCTGCAAGAACTTTTCCTTTGCATTCACAACTTGTCTAACCATTCAGCACTACAGGCCTACCTTTAGATCTATCTGGGCTTTGGACATGTGTTTCTCACTAAGGTTAATCACTCCTAGCTTTTGATTTAAAAGCAGGGATGCAGCCAGGTGCAGCGGTTCGTGCCTGTAATCCCAGCTTTGGAGGCTGAGGCAGGAGGATCACTTGAACCCAGGAGTTCTAGACCAGCCTGGGCAACATGGCAAGACCCTGTGTCTAGCAAAAAAAAAAAAAAAAAATTTAATTAGCCAGACATGGTGGGTCAACGCCTGTAGTCCCAGCTACTCAGAAGACTGAGGTGGGAGGATTGCTTGAGCCCAGGAGGTTGGAGCTGCAGTGAGCTGTGATCATGCCACTGTACTCCAGCCTGGGAAACACAGTGACACCATGTCTCAAAAAAAATAAATACATAGTCAATAAAAACATTTATGTGATCACTTGAACACTCAGAGGCCATTGCAGGGTTACTAATTGGCCTACGTTCAATATTGTTGTGTTTCAGAGAATAGGGAAGCCAGAGGAGTGGAGGGACGGGCCTGCCAGCGGAGCAGTCGGAACAAACCCGACATCTATCCCTCACGTTTGCGGTCCTATATGGGCGTGGTTTGTGGAGCCCCTAAACAATGACCATAACCACAAACCTCACTGACCACAGGTCACCATAATAACAGACATAATAGAATGCAAACGTTTGCAATATTGTGAGAATTACCAAATTGTGACCCAGAGACACAAAGTGAGCACCTCTGTTAGAAAAATGGCGCTGATAGACTTGCTTAATGCAGGAAAGACTTGCTTAATGCAGTAAAACAAAAACACAAAAACACAGCAAAGCACAATAAAACAAGGTATTACCTGAATGTAGACAACAAACAGAGAATGCCTCAGCCCCTGCTTCATCCTAATCCCAATGCCTGGGACTATGAACTATAGATCTTTTACTATGGGAGTGAAACTATACATATCTACATAAAATTTACAAAAATGGATCTTGTTACATTTTGCTTTGCAACTTTCTTTTTCACTTTAACCACATATAAGGATGTCACGCCATATTAAAATATGATAGATTTGTAGTACTGAATTGTATGAATGTTCTGTCATACACCGTAGAATATTTAGCTTCAGTTTTTCGCTTGCTTCAGTGAAATAACATATATATACAATTTTTTTTTTGAGACGGAGTTTCACTCTTGTTGCCCAGGCTGGAGTACAATGGCGGGATCTCAGCTCACTGCAACCTTCGCCTCCCAGGTTTAAGAGATTCTCCTGCCTCAGCCTCCCGAGTAGCTGGAATTACAGGCGCCCACCACCACGCCCAGCTAGTTTTTTGTATTTTTAGTAGAGACGGGGTTTCACCATGTTGGCTAGGCTGGTCTTGAACTCCTGACCTCAAGTGATCCACCTGCCTCAGCCTCCCAGAGTGTTGGGATTACGGATGTAAGCCACCACACCCGGCCCAGTATCTGCCTAGATATTTCCCAAAGGAAATATGCAAATGGCCAACAAGCTCATAATACATGCTCAAAAGCATTAGCCTTCAGGGAGACTCAAATAAAAACCACAATGAGATACCACTTCACACCCACTGGGCTGGCTGGAGTCAAAAGGCAGATAATAACAATAATTGGCAAGGATGTGGTGAAATGAGAAGCCTTGTATACTGCTGGTGGGACTGGAAAATGATGCAGCCACTTGGAAGACAGTCGGACAGGTCCCCAAAAGGTTCAACATGGAGTTACCAGGTGACCCAGCAATTCTGCTTCTAGGTATACACCTAATATAAATGAAAACATGCATTTACACAAAAACTGGTACACAGATGTTCACGGCAGCATGATTCATAACAGCCAAAAAGTGAAAACAAGCCAAATGTCCATCCACTGATGAACGGATAAAGAAAATGTGGTGTGTGTAATTGATGGAACACGACTCAGCCATGAAAAGGGGAGAAGAACTGACACACGCCATCACATGGATGAGCTTCTCAGAACAGTATGCTGAGTGGAAGAAGCCAGGCACGAAAGAATGCATCATGTCTGAGTCCATTCATATGAAATGTCCTCAACAGGCAGATCCAGAGGGGCCAGAAAGTAGATTCGTGGTTGACTGGAGTTGAGGACCTTTGGCGGGGAAATGAGAGTGACAACTGATGGATATGAGGTTTCTTTTCAGGGTGATGAAAATATTTTGATACTGGAGACGGGCCATGGTTACACAGCATTGTGTATATGCAAAAAGCCATTGAATTGTACACTTCAAATGGGTGCACTGTACGGTAGGTAAGTTATACCTTAAAAAAAGCTGTTACTTGTTTGAAATGACAGGACTGTTAAATACACACACACACAGAGGTCAAGTGGTCTGAAAGACAGGGTATCTTCCTAGATACCCAGGAGGAGAGAGATGGAAGTGTTGGCTTCTTGCCCTGACTTTGCCATTTACTAGCTGTGTGATTTTTCATAAGTTCTTTAACTTCTCTGGGCTTTAGATAGCTCATCTGAAAAATGAGAGGCTGGAACTAAATAAATCCTCCCATAAAAGAGTTCTATGCTCTAGATTTAAAGTGGAGCTGTATCTGCTCATATGGAAATATGAGCATAATTATGAAAACAGTACATATTGTACCTATTTAAGATCTATAACAATATATAAATTGTGGCTGTCTTATATAATGGGTGATTCGGGTTTTGCTTTTATCCTTGTATGCTTCCTAATTCTTTCATAGCAAGCATATTTTATGTTATACTTGGAAAAGCCTTATAAAAACCAAAAAACAGTGTTGTATTGCATAGGTTAAAATATGATAGCTTGATATAAATACAAGCCTGTTAAATCTATAAATACAAATGCAAGACATTTGTAAGTCCCCTGTGATGTGTGGAGATATTTGAAATCCCTCCGTGTATTTAAAATTGGGATTCTTTTTTTTTTTTTTTTTTGGATGGAGTCTCACTCTGTTGCCCAGACTGGAGTGCAGTGGCGCAATCTCAGCTCACTGCAACCTCCACCTCCCTGGTTCAAGGGATTCTCCTGCCTCAGCCTTCCGAGTAGTTGGGGCTATAGGTGCCCGACACCATTCCTGGCTAATTTTTCTATTTTTTAGTAGAGACGGGGTTTCACCATATTGGCCAGGCTGGTCTTGAACCCCTGACCTCGTGATCTGCCCGCTTCGGCCTCCCAAAGTGCTGGGATTACAGGTGTGAGCCACCGCAACCGGCCAAAATTGGGATTCTTCTATACGAATGAAGTTCTTCGTTTAAACGTGTTCTTTGTTTTCAAATTGAATGTGGTCCTTGGCACATAGTTTTGATTTGTATCATGTATGTGCAGGTGCTGAGTTAACTCACATAGACACCAAGGTAGCGAGGGGGCCTCTGGTGCCCCTTTCCCAATAAAGGGGAAATGGAAAAATACTGAATCTCGCAATTTCATATGCGAAACTCCGTTACTTACAATGAGTCTGGACTGAGAACAAGACGAAAGCTATGGTGAGTAAGTTATACCATGCAATCAGTAATTTTTCCATGAAGGAGGTAATAAAACGGTGAAGACCTTCATTTTATTTTAGGATTCCAAACTAGGAAAGTAAGATTTACAAGACCACTTCGATTAAATTAAAAAAAAAAAAAGCCTTTCTTTAACTGAAGTATTTCTAGTGAACACATTTGAAGTGGCATTTTATCTCTATGAGCACGAAACAAAGGTCATGTATGTTAAAAAGTGAATACAAACATAATGGAAGATCTTACGTATGAGGGTGGGTTTTGGGGGGACCTCAAAAATCCATCCCCATGCGTCCCTCCAGGTGTTTGCTTGTTATGTCTGGAAAGGGATCTGGAGGTCATGGTGGACCTTAGAACTCCCTCAGCAAATGTGGCTGCGACTGGCTTTTACTCTGGGAGACAAACTGCCCCTTGCAGTGTGAAGGGACCCACGATAAACACTCGTCCCTTTGCCTGTTACCCTGCACAATTAGAGGCAAGCAACAGGACTCTAAGGATGTTGGTTATTTCTGCAGCTCGAACACATACAGATGGAATTGGAGATGCATATGTTGTGTTAGGAGCACCCCCCCCTTTTTTTTTTTTTTTTTTTTTTTGCCTGGCGTCTTTATTGTATTTGTTATTTAAATATCCTGTTGTGTACGTATAAAGACAGGAAGTGAGTTATACAAAACCTTACAACAACAACAGTATTGAGTGTCAGACAAGCAGATGTGCCTGGTGTTTGGGGAGATGATATATATTTAGTTTTTGAAAATGTTCAATAGTACCACATTTTCTCTGGGAGAAACATTCTCAGTATTTCCAAAGAAGCATGGCAGCGCCGCATAAATATTCTCCGGTTAATCACGGGCGCTTGGGCCTGGAGCAGCAGACTTTCATTATTGAGCTTTTTGCTTTGCTTTATTTGTGTTTCTTTCAGAAAACTAAAATCTTGTCTTGCACGGTCAGAGAAAGAGAGGTGGGATCGATGTCCTCTGTCTATTCCCTGGTGCATTGTTCCTGCCTGGGCTCCGCGGGGCTTGATGCGGATCAGAATCTCTGTGCACACAGGAGAGGGATCCTCTTTCAGGTCCACACCGCCGCCGGTTGTGCGGCCGAAACTGCAGCCCGGGGTGGTGTGGGAGAACGTCCGCCAGGGCTCACGCCCCCGACTCGACAGAGAACTGTGGGGAGCAGCTCCTTCCTCTCTCGGGAAAGGGTCGACACCCCCTGTTCCCATCTGAGCTTTTTTTGTTGTTGTTCGCCCATTCACATTTCCTTGGTTGTATTTTGGATTTAAGATTTTAAAAATCTATACATTTTCCAACGTTGGGTAGTAAAAAAGAATTTTGATTTAGAGTAGAAAACACGTTTGTAAAAACCCAAGGACTTAGCTTGTCAACTCTCGTGTTCATAAAATAAACTGGCTAAGATATAGTAAAATGGCGTTTTAGGAGAGATTACAACAATTATTAATTTTATTAACAACATTGAAAATGAGACTCTCCATTTCTAGCATAGTAAAGCAGCCCTTTTAATGGTCTCACATGAAACGCTGAACCCTGGGATAGGAAATGGAGAGGAGTTTGAAGAAGAGTGTTGACCGTTCCCATTAGTTTCTGAGCTGGCTCTAAACGCCAGATAAAGAATGAGTCCTTCCTGCGGTGTAAGCCCCTCGGCTCTTTCCCCCTCCTTCTGGTGGACGGGAGCAGATAGGTTCCATTTTCTGCCTCTAAAATGATCCGGAGCCTCGTGATGCTTTATCTCTACAACCAACGCCACATAGTAATTGTGAAGCCCCTACTTTTACACAGTGAATGTAGCTTTAGCTTAAACAGCGCGTTCTCTTTAAAGTTTCTCAGAAGGATCTCAAATCTGACAAAATGTAAAAGGACATAAACTCAGATGTTTGGGGGAAAATTTACTGCATTTTGCTTGTATGTTTTTCATGCTGACAATTTGCATATATTCATTCATTAGTTTGTTAACTTTATTTAAGAACTACACATTTTAAAAGTCATGTTAAAATTAGAGAAAGTGATTCAAATGTACCATTTCACAATAAAATCAAGAACAACCTAATTTCTTGTCACTGTTTCAGCTTCATTTTTCCTTTGCTTTTTTTTTGTTAGACTGTAAGAATTGTTATTTTGAAATCAGTGTGCACATTTTTGAGCAAATCTTTCTAAATAGCTATTTGTGTAAAACTTAAACTTTAATAAGCTTCGGGGCAGCATTGTTCGGTGTTTGGATTGCAAGGTGCCCACCCTTTTCAAGTGGCATTAGTGAATCCCAGCTTAAAAAGCTTAATGAACAAGCACATCCCACTCAGGAGGCAGCCTTGTTAGAAACTACAATTTGGTCCAAAGGCAGCCTTTTTATGTATTTGATTTGCTGATTTCTCAGAATTAGGTAAACTATTGCTGGAACTGATTTATGTTAGCATCACTTGAAAACATCATTTGGCCAGCTATGTTTTAAACACCTTAGCTTGATCTCTGTTTCTGGGTTTTTCTCAAACATTGAAAAAACAAATCAATGGTCCTTTGGCCACTTGAAGCCTTATTTTTTATTTCCCTTAAATAACACGAAACTTCAGGCATGCATTGCAGTACCATAATATGTGTGAATGTGTATGTATATATTTATAGATGTTATATTTATAGTTATAGTTGGATTTTAATAACATTCTCTTCCAGTTATGATTCTTCTTTGGTTATCATGTGCTCTAGGATTCCCACCCTTAGTGGTAACGTGATGACAAATGGATTCCTAAAGTAGTATTTAATGGCCTTTGGGTTTGATACAGCAACTGTTCTTATGTTCATTCACAGGCTTTGTCACAAAACACAGTCCAGTTTATTCCTAGCCCTAGGAAATAATAGCTCCTGACATTTGTAGGATTAAAATATAGGATTAATGATCAGCTTTTAATGTGCAAATTAAGTATTCAGTCTGAGAGTATCAGCCTTCCTGTTACCCATCTTATTTATCCCAAATTTCCTGTTGAAATAAGTGCAGGTAGAGAGTTTCCACCTCAGCCAGCAGGAATCACACTGGTACAAAACTTCTAGACTTTTACGATAAAATAAAAAAAAGTAAGGAAGAATACTTTGGAAAGTAGCATATTTATATTTCTACTGAAATGCCATCAAGATTTCAGAGCAGTTAACGATTAACTTTAAAAACTGCAAGGCCTGAATCTCAACCTAAAAAATAAAAAAGCTGACAGCTGAGCAGAGCTTCCTCTTCCCTGTTGAGTCCTATCCACTTAAATGGGGAGAAAAGGGAAATTTATGGCTTTCATGTTCTAGTAAGAAAAAATCATTGTCTTATTCTCAGTAAAACTGGGAAAGGTGCTTTTTTTCTGAAAACTACGGCATAGCTGCCTGCCTTCTTTAAAGGCTTAATAACGTTCTTTGTCAGTCTTCACTCATGGCAACCCATTTAGAGGCTACTTATATGCATCAAATTATATGGTTAAATACCATTGCATATTTTCGTAACTAGAAAAAGCATTTTTAAATACAATGTTTAAAAGACTTTTCTATTGTCTATGCCACAAGGGGGGACATTTAATTTGCAAAGTCATCTGCATGGCAGTAACAAGTTTCAGGACTGACATTTCTCCAGCTAAATGAAGTCCTTTTTTTCTTTTTAAATTTTTTTTTTCATTTTCAAATAACCTCCTTCCTGCCATTTTGGTGGGATTTAGGTTTTAGGAGTCGACTGATTTATTATAGCATACAAGCTTGATTGGCGAGGCTTTATTTTTCATTGGTATCATGTTTGAAATTATTCTTTGGTCTCAGTAACATAGGTTGACTGGACACATGCATCCCAGAACAGCAGCCCTCAAGGAGGCTTTCAAGAGCCACACACAGAAGTAAGAGCGTGCCTCACACTTGCCACGGGTGCGTCCATGAAAGGCACACTGTCATGCACACTCTCCACTTCGGCAACTCACAGCCCTTCTCCCTCCTTCTTTATATCGTAGTATGCAGAGGCTAACAGGATCTTTATACCATAGTATGCAAAGGCTAACAGGATCTTTATACCATAGTATGCAGAGGCTAACAGGAAAAGTCAATTCAACTACTTGAGAACTTTGGTCCTAACAAACTGCTTCTAAATGTCTCCCGGGAGATTTCTTTTGTTATTTCAATAACAATGCCAATTTAAAAGGATACCTCTGATTTCCAACAATCCAAAGCAATATATTGCTAAGACCCTTTGAGAAACTTAAACCACATATAAATGAACCGTACAGATTCTCTTTTCAGTGCATTTAGATAGCCATGGGAAGCAGAGGTTTCAGAGAAGCGGGTTTAAAATGAATAGGGCATCGCCAAAAGTATAGAAGACTATAAACATTATGACGCACACACTGGCTTTCAGACAACAGCCTTGATTTCAACCAGTGAAAATCCTAGGAAACTTTTTAACAAAGACTAAACTCTTTTAAATGAGCATTCAGCCAGAGCTCCATGTGTTTATCACGGGGCAGGGAGATTTGGAGGAGTGGGAGCGTGGGGGAGCTGAGTGAAGGAGGTCAGGGTGAGTCCTGTGCGCACAGAAGGCCGGGCCTCCTCGCCCTGCTGCAGCCACCTCCTTTCATGCTGAATGAGCCGCCTCTTCAGGCACAGAACCGTCTGTGACTAAGGGGGAACTTCGTGCCCCGTACAGCAGCAGTGAGGTGCTCCTGCGCCGGCCTAGGGAGGTCTGTGTGCTTCTGGGCCACTACCTTTTCCCGTTTGTTTTGAAAGCAAGCAAGGCAGCCATTCCTGAAACGCGCGCCTAGGAGCCTGGGAGCGCCGGCGTCACAGGCCACGTCCAAGAGACCACGTCTCTTGGATAAATAAAGCGCTTCAGAGAAATCCTTGCTCATTCGATAGAGACCATTTAAAAACTGTATTATTTATAATAATACAAATTATTATGTTATAACACCCATAATGACAAAAACTGGCAAAGTTATGATGCATTTATTTTCCTTTCTCTTTCTTCTCTTTCTTCCTTACTTCCTTCTTTTTTATCTTTCTCTTTCTTTCTTTCTTTCTTCCTTTTTTCTTTCTCTTTCTCTTCTTTTTCTGTCTTCCTTCTTTTTCTTTCTTTTTTCTTTCTCTTCTTTCTCTTTCTTTCCCTCTCTCTTCTTTCTTTCATTCTTTATTTCTTCCTTTTCTTTTTTTTCTGAGATGAAGCCTCACTCTGTCACCCAGGCTGAAGTGCAGTGGCCTGATTAGGGGTTACTGCAGCCTTGAACTCCTGGGCTCAAGAGATCTTCCCACCTCCGTCTACTGAGTAGCTGGAATTGCAGATACACCGCACCACACCCAGCTAATTAAAAAAACATTTTTTTTGCAGAGATAGAGTCTTGCTATGTTGCCCAGGCTGGTCTCAAACTCTGGACTCAAGTGATCCTCCTACCTTGACCTCCCAAAGTCCTGGGATTATCGGAGTGAACCACTGTGCCAGGCTGGTATTTTTATTTTCTTATTTTCTTTTTTGAGACAGAGTCTCGCTCTATCACCCATGCTGGAGTGCAGTGGCGCGATCTCAGCTCACTGCAAGCTCCACCTCCCTGGTTCCAGCAATTCTCCTGTCTCAGCCTCCTGAGCAGCTGGGACTACAGGCCGCACGCCACCATGCCCCGCTAATTTTTTTTTTTTTTTTTTTTTTGGAGACGGTGTCTAGCTCTGTCCCCCAGGCTGGAGTGCAGTGGCACAATCTCGGCTCACTGCAAGCTCCGCCTCCCGGATTCATGCCATTCTTCTGCCTCAGCCTCCCAAGTAGCTGGGACTACAGGTGCCCACCACCACGCCCAGCTAATTTTTGGTATTTTTAGTAAAGACGAGGTTTCACCATGTTAGCTAGGATGGGCTTGATCTCCCGACCTTGTGATCCACCCACCTCAGCCTCCCAAAGTGCTGGGATTACAGGCGTGAGCCACCATGCCCGGGCCCCCAATTTTTGTATGTTTAATAGAGACGGGTTTGAGCATATTGGTCAGGCTGGTGGTATTCTTATTTTCTATAGTACATATCTTATATAAGAAAACTAAAGTAGTGATAGGATTTACCTAGTCTACCAGGTTGCTAAAAAACAGGTGTTTAAATTGTGCAATGTTGCGTAGAGGACTATTTGGCAAATATTGGTAACTTCAGCAATCTCTTTCACATCTGACTTCCCCCCAAAGCTCCAGCTGATGCCCACCTGCCCTAACATTATGGTATCTCATCACGGCCATGCAGAGCAGTTTCTATTGAAGTTTCTTTTCTAAATACATCTCCAGGGGTGCCAACTTTGCACTATCAAAAGCCCCAAAATGCTTGGGGAGGTTAATATTTTTAAAAGGCCATTTCTTTCCGACAATACCCAGGTTTGAAATCTGGGTTGAGGATCTTGATCAGGACAAACCCACAAAGTCTTCATACTGAGAAGGAAACATTTGCTCTAAAGAATGAACTAAATATGTTAAAATTAGAAAAGGAAAATTAAGTTGACTTTAGCATTTTCTTAACTGATTTTTGTTACCTGGAAACAACTTCTAAGAGAAGTTAAAAACACTTTAAACTTTTCATTTAAAGTTAAGTGGAAAATGGGGGTAGAAAACAATCTTCAGGAATGAGAAAAAATGCTATTTAAACAAAAAAACTCCACTACTTATAACTCTATTGAATAACTATCAAAAACATTCAGAGATTGTCGAGACTAACTGGCAAATTAATATTATTTTTTAAACTAACTGAAAAGCCTGATAAAAGGCACCTGAAACTATTCCACCAGCATGCTCTTGCTGGGAGGTTGTTCGAGACAGCTTTGGGGTTTTCAAACCTTAAATCAAGTAGAATTGAAAAGTTGACAGAAGCAGAGAAATCCACACACACACGGCTGAATTCAATTATGTTTTGCAAGAAAAGTGACTGAGGTATGTCACAAAAAGTAGGCAAGGAAGATAGATACAATTTCACAATTAACGTCATAGTTCACACATTGGACCATGACCAGTTTATATTTACCAAAGTCACAAAATAATGAATGCTTTATATGTTTCCATATGATTTTTGCATTTAGAAAATGTTTGTAAATTGCCTATCTAAGAAAAAAAATCACTGACTTTCTTTAAATGAAAATTTCCATTTACTTCTTCATCAAATAGTTGTGTTTTCTAATTTATCTGTGGTTCTTTAACCAAGAACAAATATATCATTAAAAAGAAAAATAAAAGACATAAATGATACCTACAAAAGCAAAACGTAGAAGCCTATTTATCGGGTACTCAGAGGGTTGGATAGGCAATTTTCTTATTTTAGAAACCATAAAAAGAACGATGTATTAATTAATTTATTAATTCTTGAGTGAAACTGCCCCAGCGAGTAGCTGTGTGCCAGTGCCAGTGAGGGACCAATTATTATTCGCCCCACACAGGACAATATGGAGAGTGCTATCAGAGGGGACGCCGGGGCTTTTCACCGAGTCCTTGCTGCTGTTGGGCTCTCAGTTGTTTGCTCTATTTTCTTTATTTAGCCATAAGACCGTGATCTGGGGTTTAGGACAGCAATATTTTTACAAAAGGCGCACTAAACCTCCCACATCTGCACAGCTCTCGTGACGATCTGTTCTGCACCCAACGCCGTGTTTTCCTGAGAGTAATATGTCCGCTGTGTCTTTAAAAGAACCACTGTGTCAGCTTTCATCTCGCTGTTTGCACTTTTACCTGTAATCTGATTGTGGGGAGAAAAGGAGAACTTGGGTATCCCTCCCTGGCACCCTGTTACCAATAGCATTTGTTTAGTTAGTAATTCTATCTCAGCCGGGACTTTTCCCATTCGCTGGGTTTGTTGCACTCTGTGTACATAGCTGCATCTCCATGGCAATGGAAAAACATGATGCTGGAGATTCAAAAGGGGGCGAGGGAGTGGAGGAAACACTACCCTCAGGTCCCAGCCTCCCGGGAGGGGCTGGGCTAATTTATATGTCAAGTTAAGGGATGCTGGGACTCAGAGATCAAAGAAGGTCAAAACTGGGCTCTTGGAATGGGAGATATTTATTATGTTTAATATAAATACAAATGTGTCCAAGAAGAGAAACTGAAACCTTAAAAGGCATGTAGATTGTGATTGGTAAACATAAATAACACATCTGAAAATGGGTAGATTGCTAAAATTAACAGGCACTTTTAAAAGCTGTCTTAATTTAAATCAGGATAAATTAAGACAGTGACAACCTCAATTGAAATTGAAAATACAAATCACTTGAAAACGTTGATTAAAATTTCTAACAAGACTTTAGAAATGTCTTGTAATACCTTCTGACTATAAATGCACTTTAGACATTTCTGGTTTCACTCCTCAGCTACATGTTTTGTTATTAAGAGCATTTGTTTCATACCGTTAACAATACAGCACTAGTTTGACAAATTGTGGTATGGGGGTGTGAGTGCCTGATGGAGAAAGAGGCTTTGTCTTTTGGGGGGCCCATTAGTGAAACAACTAATAAGCCTATAGCAAAACTGATATGATGGGAAATGACTTCTATTCAGTTAACTCGATTATTAGTGCTAATTGGGGCCAGGTGAAGCATGGATAATTGAAATTCACAGATAATCCAAAAACCTCTATTTAACCAATAACTTCAAACTTCTTCCCCATCAAACCAATTACCGGAGGAGCTAACAAATAGAAAAAATGGATTAAATTGAATTTCACTTCCCCCAAAGATTACCACTATGATGTCTTTTTTATTGATTAATTCAGAGCAAGAGCCAAAGATTAACTATATTTTAGAGACTAAATTACAGATAGTCCCCAACAATTAAAAAGAAAAAGATTATATTCCAACGGTTTGTTTATAAATCAGTTACTTCAGTTACTTGAAGCTCAGAATGCTTTTTCTCATAGAACAAAGCGTCGATTGGGGTAGGGTACCAAGGTAGCACACAGAGGTCAGCCAGTAACCCAATGACACTGGAAATATATTTAAGATTCTCAGCTCCTTAGTCAAGTTCTTTTGAATCCTAAATCCTTACCCTCCCACCCCTAAATCTCTCTGAGCCTTCAATCTATTTTTTTAACTGAAGTAAAACTCACATAGCCTAAAATCAAAAGTGTACAACTCAGTGGCATTTAGTGTAGTCACGGTGTTATGCCACCATCACCTCCAGTTTCAAAACACTGTCCTCATGCAGAAAGGAAAGCCCCCTTGGACCCATTAGCAATCATTCCCCATCCCCGACTCCTTCAGACCCTGGCGACCTCGGATCTGCTTTCTGTCTCTATGGATTTGCCTCTTCTGGACATTTCATACAACTGGGCTCATAACAATCTGTGGTATTTTGTGCCTGACGTCCTCCACTCAGCATAAGGCTTTTAAGGTTCATCCACGTTGTGGCATGTGCCAGTGTTTCACTCCTTCTCATGAGTGAATAATATTCCATCGTGGGGATACAGCACACTTTACTTATCCATTCCCCCTCTTGGAGGGGTGCTTGAGTTGTTTCCATTTTGTGGCTACTGCGAATGCTGCTGCTATTAAACCTGATTTTGACCCTGTGGTGGCATAAGGAGCTCATCAGGGTGAACTGGAAGGGGTGTGCCCCACTGCTGGTGTCTGGTCAAGCAAACCCTCACCCCTTGAGAGAGGAGTCAGTGGGAGACACCACTCAAGTCTCCATAATGAGGGACAATTTCAGGCTGGGACAACATGGTGGAGGAAGGACCTCTTCAGAGAGGAAGTGCACGTAAGGGGCAAGGACCCTAGAAAGACCTGTGGGACCTGTGGAGAGTATGCACGTCCTTCAGATTGAGGCTGGTTTGAGGCCGGGTGCCATGGCTCACGCCTGTAATCCCAGCACTTTGGGAGACCAAGGCAGGCGGATCACCTGAGGTCAGGAGTTCGAGACCAGCCTGGCTGACAAGGTGAAACCCCGTCTCTACTAAAAATACAAAAATTAGCCGGGCGCGGGGGCACACACCAAAAAAAAAAAAAAACAAACCTGGGCTGAGTGCAGAAATCAGTCCAATCCAGGGAGAAATCTGGCAAATACTCTTGGCCAGCTCCTGTTTTTCTGAAAACATAGGTGCCAGAAGAGCATCCGGTAGCAGCTGCCAAGTTCAATACTAGGACTCCACTCCACAGACAATTCTGTCACCCCATTGTGGGTGTCCTGGATGCCCAGAAAACCCACATCTCTTGATAAAGTCCTCCTGTGGTAAGTCTGCAACCCCTCTGCACCCAGCCCCTCTGCTGACACCCCCTCTGCACCCTGCATCTTTGCCAAGTGGGGAGAGATGCATTCCAGAACTCCAGTGGCAGGATCTGCCCTTGCCGGGATCATGCAGACTTGGCATTTTCCAGTACCTACTGTTGCTTGAGGTTTCTTATAATAGAGCAGGATGAGCAACACGACTTCTCGTTTTGTAATTTGGCACATATGTATATGTTTTATACATACATGCTATGTGTCTATATGTACACACGGCAATACATACGTGTATATGTATACGTATATATGTATGTCAACGAATACCTAAATATATAATCATATGAAACAAACTGTTTATCCCTGTTCCATAAACTTCATATCAATTCAATAAATAAAATTTATTCAAAATCCAATCATCCCAACACATTAACATTTAATTTTTCCCTATTTTCTGTCTGTGTTTGTCATTGAATATTAAAAGTTTTGCTTTTTTTTACTATTTCACCTCTTTTCTAGGTAGTCCATAATTTTAAAACAATATATATGGCACCACTTGGTCTTCACAGCTTTCAAGACAGGACTGTCAAGGCAAGGACACTCCTTAGGGGACCCTGTCCCATAAAGTCAAATTATGCGGGATGAGTCAGTGACGCAGGAGCTAAAAACAGTGTCCCTTTAAAAATGTGCATGCCTTTGAAATGGAATAAGTAAAGTACTTGCAGATGCAAATGGTTTCAAGTTTCACTGGAGACCCAGCGAAAGCGGCTGTTCTCAAAGTTGCCAGGCAGTGTGGAAACGCCCACTGAGGGGCACACAGTGAGGCGGCCACTGGCTCTGTGTCCTTGGGGAAGCCCCTTCTGCGGTCCCCTCCATTGTCTGCGTGACAAAGTGGACGTAGAACTCCCCCATTTCCTGCCCAGGGCGGGTGAGGACCCTGCACACACACGGTGTGTTTGTGAGCTGTGCAGAGTGGGGTCTCCCTGGCAATGGCCACAGCCTCCAGGGGCGCTGACACCTCCCGTCTAACTGGTAGACAGTTTCTGCCTCTTCTTGTTTGGGGATTGGAGAGGGAAGTGCGTCTGGATGACTACTAAGGTAAATATGGAATGGGCACCGCGTCTTCCCTTTCTTCTCTCCCTTCCCACGCACCTGCCTGGCTCCCCGGCTCTCCCGCCCTGGCCAGAGTCAATGTGAGCTGCAAAGTCCATATGTGAACAGCTGTGGGCAAGTCGTGCAACAGTGCTCATGGGACTTACTACGCATCTAAGCCGCTGAACTTCAGCTGGACCCCAAATGGCCTTGGTCACGTTTTGTTTCTGTTTTGTCATTTCCGGCTGCATCTCCCACAGTCTCAGCCCTGCGCTCCTTGCTCTGCCTTCTCCTCCCCACAGCTTCTTTGCAGATAACATCCTGGCCGTATTATGCAACTGAACCCATATTATCCGGGGGAAACTTACCCTCCTCTGCTCTCTAAATCTTCCTTTTCCTTCTGGTTTTGGAGAAAGAGGAGCTCCTTTCCATCAATCAGGTCAACCTCTTCCTGTTTCCTTTCTTCATTCTTCGTTATTTTCCACTCCTGAGTTTTGGACTCTTCTCTCGGTCAATAAGTATATCCGAATTCTTCCAGCTGTAAAACCAACAAATGAAAGGCCTCGTGTACCAAGGCTGCCCCCGCGTGCGGCCCCCCGGGCTGTGTGGCCTTGGCCTGGAACACAGCCCCGCTGCCACCTTCCTGCACTCCGTGGGGGAGATGGGCGGTGCACACTACCCAGAAGTGGAATGTGCATTTCACAGAAAATGACCAATTTAAGCAGAAAATTAAAGCAGAAAACGGGGTGAGAACGGCAGACGCGTGTGTGGGCACCGCAGCGTACACGCTTAGGATCCCGAGTTTATTTTTCTAGGGCCCGTGTGTTGGTGCGCATGCGCGTGCGCCCCCACCACCTGAAATCTTGGTAGTGCCTGTTAACCCGGCAGTAGACCCATGGGTGAATTTACTCTCTTCTCTGTGTCTTTCTGTATTTTCCATGCTTTCTGTGACGAACAACATCATACATACCGCTACTTCTTTTTTTGGGGGGACGGAGTCTCGCTCTGTCGCCCAGGCTGGAGTGCAGTGGCGCGATCTCGGCTCACTGCAAGCTCCGCCTCCCGGGTTCACGCCATTCTCCTGCCTCAACCTCCCAAGTAGCTGGGACTACAGGCGTCCGCCACTACGCCTGGGTAATTTTTTGTATTTTTAGTAGAGACGGGGTTTCACCGCGTTACCCAGGATAGTCTCGATCTCCTGACCTCGTGATCCGCCCACCTCGGCCTCCCAAAGTGTTGGGATTACAGGCGTGAGCCACCGCGCCCGGCCACATATCACTTCTTCTATTGTGCATTCACTGCACACCAAGCACTTCTATTGGGCGTTCACTACACACCAAGCCTAAGTAAGGGCTTTCTGTGCACGCTCTCATTTCATGCTTATGACACTCTGAGAATTAAGACCATTTTGGCCCCTGTCTTACAGATGAGGAGGCTGAGGCCTAGTGCTCCTAGCGGGCTTGGTCAAGAGCAGGAGGCGGAGGTGGTGGAAGGCTGTTTCCCTGCGGTGAGTGCTCACACGGTTGGCGGTGATTTCTCCGCAGGGTCTCACAGGCCGGTGCTCTCAGGAGCCACACCTGAAGAATGGCAGGACCCAGGGTGGGCAGAAGAGGAAGGTGAACTGAGGAACAGTTGCAACAGAGGCCTCGGCCAACCCCATGGAGGGCTCTGAATTTGAGAGCCCTGAGAGTCACTCCCCCTGAGGCAGGAGGCCAGGCGTTGCACCCATGCGCTGGCCACTCGCTGGGGACAGGCTGTGTCCAGGGAGGGTACCTGTGTTTGGGTGAGGTGCCCTTCAAGAAGGGCAGTTCCTGGAGAGTCCCCAGATAGAGGTTGTCAATAGTTGACACTTTCTGCAGCTGGCGGGACAGCGCTTGGTTGAGGGGGACTCTGGGTGGCCCACTACAGTGTCTACCACAAATGCCTACCTGCTCTCCAGGATACATTCAAATCTCGCCACCCCCAGGAGGCCTTCTTAGATTCCCATGGATCAGAATGGGCCTGGGATGCTCTCTTCCCATGTCCCTCAGGCTTGCTTGAGCTGTCTCAGGCATGACAGCTGTTGTGGGTTTGAAAGGCTCTGCCACTAGACTGTGATTCCCTGGGGAAGCAATAATCCCCTTTGGGGACATCACTGACTTCAAAACGGTTAAGGGTAAAAGGCAAAAGACCTGCCCGTTTGGGGACATCACTGACTTCAAAACAGTTAAGGGTAGGCCAGGCGCGGTGGCTCAAGCCTGTAATCCCAGCACTTTGGGAAGCCGAGGCGGGCGGATCACGAGGTCAGGAGATCGAGACTATCCTGGCTAACATGGTGAAACCCCGTCTCTACTAAAAATACAAAAAATTAGCCGGGCGTGGTGGCGGGCGCCTGTAGTCCCAGCTACTCGGGAGGCTGAGGCAGGAGAATGGCATGAACCTGGGAAGCGGAGCTTGCAGTGAGCCGAGATTGCGCCACTGCACTCCAGCCTGGGCGACAGAGCGAGACTCCATCTCAAAAAAAAAAAGGGGGGGTAATAGGCAAAAGACCTGCTTCTGTGGCCAGGCAGCGTGCCTTGGGTGTCACTTGTACCTGGCTTGGGAGTTGTCTAGGGATGACTTTGGGCTGCAGTTGGTGTTCCTGGAAGGCCACAAGACATGGCTGCTCTTCCAGATTTGGTGTGGGTGAGTCCGCTGGGAGTGCTGGCTCTTTCACACTGCTTGGAGGGTTCTGCCCGCCAGTGTAACTCACCCAAACTCACTAAAGCAGCAAATGGCAGCTCCAAGACTTAGCCTCAAGGAGGTGGACATCAGAAGGCATTTGATGAGGAAAGGACTCAGGTGCGGCCGCACCTGGCTGTCTGTGGGTGAGGGCCTGGGCATTTGGGTCCTAAGCAGATGGGTCCTGGGTAGGTGGAGTAGGTCTTGGGCAACTGGGTCTTGGGCAGGTGGAGTGGGTCTTAGGCAGGTACATCCTGGGTAGGTGGGTTCTTCTGGGCAGGAGGGGTGGATTCTGGGCAGGTGGATTCTGGCCAGGCAGATTCTGAGAAGATGGGTTCAGGGAAGCTAGATTCTGGACAGGTGGGTCCTGGGCAGCTGGGTCATGGGCAGGTGGATTCTGGGCAGGTAAGTTTTGGACAGATGGGGTCCTGGGCAGGTGGGTCCTGGGTGGGTGGGTCCTGGGTGGGTGGGTACTGGGCAGGTGGGTCCTGGGCGGGTGGGTCATGGGCAGGTGGATTCTGGGCAGGTAAGTTTTGGACAGGTGTGGTCCTGGTCAGGTGAGTCCTGGGTGAGTGGGTCCTGGGCAGGTAGATTCTGGGCAGGTAAGTTTTGGACAGGTGGGGTCCTGGGCATGTGGGTCCTGGGTGGGTGGGTCCTGGGCAGATGAGTTCAGGGCAGATGAATCTTAGGCAGGTGGATTCTGGGAAGGTAGATTCTGGGCAGGTAGATTCCGGGCAGGTGTGTCCTGGGCAGGGGAGTTCTGGGCAGGTGAGTGTTAGACAGGTGGGTCTTGGGCAGGTGGGTCCTGGGCAGCTGGATTCTGGGAAGGAGAGTTTTAGACAGGTGAGTCTTGGCCAGGTGGATTCTGGGCAGGTGGGCCCACAGATGGCAGGCCTTTAGCAGGGCCGAGGGGAAAGGGGAATGGAGAGGCTTACAACTGTCATCCACGTTTCATCCTTTTATGGTTTGAGGGACATTGCTTTTCAAAGCCTGATGTATACAGTTTATTAAAATAAAACCTTTTCCACACAAGACGAAAGAACAAAGCTTGGGAAGTGGATGCTCACGGTTTGTCGGAGGCGGCACCGCGCAGTTGTTGCAACCACGGGCTCTGGGCAGGCTGACTGTGTTTGAACACTGCCTCTACTGCTTCCCAACTACAGGACCAGTGGCCAGGCCACAATTTTCTCATCTGCAAATAGGGAGAGTGGCAGGACCTACTTCATAGGCTGTTTGAGGCTTAAGTGAGTCAATATTTTTAAAGCATGTGGAATAGAGCATGATACAAAATAAGTGCTATATAAAGACTCAATAAATAGATTTGGTTGAAAGACATATGAGAAAGCACTTTGAAAAGAGTCGGAAACTGATCTAATAACTTGATATGTGATGTGGGAAAATCATTGCATCCTGCCATGTCAGCGTATTTAGCTGTGAACTGGGCAGAGAGTTGCAGTTACCGAAAGCATGCCCGTGTATTCGTTGGTGTTCTTTAAAGAATATTATACTGCTCTGATAGTGGAACTTTGTAGTTGCCCAGAGGTCATTTGCTCCCTAAAAACTTAGCAAGGGGCCGGGCGCAGTGGCTCACGCCTGTAATCCCACCACTTTAGGAGGCTGAGGCGGGTGGATCATGAGGTCAGGAGATTGAGAATCTTGGCTAACATGGTGAAACCTCGTCTTTACTAAAAATATTAAAAAAAATTAGCCAGGCATGGTGGTAGGTGCCCGTAGTTCTAGCTACTCAGGAGGCTGAGGCAGGAGAATGGAGTGAACCTGGGAGGCGGAGGTTGCAGTGACCCGAGATCACGCCACTGCACTCAGCCTGGGCGACAGGGCGAGACTCCGTCTAAAAAAAAAAAAAAAAAAGTAGCAAGGAAAGTAAGCAGGCTACAATGGAACTAATACGCAATATTGCAAGTGGGAAAGGACATTCGTATTCAAACCACATCCCTCTGCCCTGGTAAAAGTGAAATGGTTTCAAACGGCTTTGCAGCTACCTTCAGATGGAGGTGGTCTGCAGGTGCAGGCAGTGTCCACAGGCACAGGGATTTAACCCTTTCCAGAATCTCTCTTCTCCCATCCCTTAAACCATGTGCTGCTTTAGAAAGCAGGGCATTTGTATGACATTGAGTAGCTTGCAGAACCTGTTTTTTCCCATCCCAAATGATAGTATTCTAGAATGTACATTGTTTTAATGGCACACAATTGTTGCTGGAGCCACAGAGATTTTACAATGGGATGAACAATGTTGCTCCCATCTTAGTTAAATTTGTGAAACACTATTTGATTGAATGCATTTATAATATTAAAGATTCATAATATCTTGCAGGAGAACACAAATATCTAAGTGAACATTTGTGACCTTTGTAAAATCCACAGAAAAGCAACATTAAAATTTAATGTAAACCATCCCAAATGAAGGGGTTTTTGTTTTGTTTTGTTTTTGTTTCATTTTGTCTTTGTTTTGTTTTGTTTTTGAGATGGAGTCTCGCTGTGTCTCACATGCTGGAGTGCAGTGGTGTGATCTCAGTTCACTGCAACCTCTGTCTCCTGGGTTGCAGTGATTCTCCTACCTCAGCCTTGCGAGTAGCTGGGATTACAGGTGCGTGCCACCACGCCCAGCTAATTTTTTGTATTTTTCGTAGAGATGGGGTTTCACCATGTTGGCCAGGCTGGTCTCGAACTCCTGACCTCAAGTGATCCGCCCGTCTCGGCCTCCCAAAGTGCTGGAATTACAAATGTGAGCCACGGTGCTTGGCCCCCAATTGAAGGTTTTTAGAGCAATATCTGTGTCGTCACATTGGCTACGGATATCCATTTTGATTACTGGTTCACCTGTTAAGGTCCCTGCTATGATGCAATCAATGTGACATTCTAATTGGCATTGTAGATGGAACTGTCTACAATGGTTATACTATAATGTTCAAGAAATATGCCCGAAGGCAGTAAAGATTCAACTACTCACCAAGGACTTAGGCCGCATTTACTCGGTGTTGCGGGTGGGAATGCACAGTCAATGGGAACAGCATCCCCCGTTCAAAAAGCCGGCCATTCAGGAGAGGTGACAGACACACATAGGAGGTTGAGGAACGCCATCCTGTAAGCTCTAGGAAGAGCAGGAGCTCTACAGAAGCAGAGGCAGAAAGACACTCGGGCTGGTCAAGCAGCTGAGTCCCAGTGACTGTAGCTACAGATGCCATTGATGATGATGATGATGGTGATGATGATGATGATGATGGTGATGATGACGTGAAGGCAGGCCTGTGGGGTGCGGGGGCTTGGCTGGCAGGACTTGTTTCCCTGGCTTGGCTGGTTGCTCGGCGGCGGGAAGAGGAGGTGAGGGCTGAGTGGAGATGCAACTGATAATGGGGTTCTGCCAGGAAGAGCCCGAGAAAAGCCCCGGCAGGTGGGTGTCTCAGTTTCTTCTCTTTCATTTCTGTCCCAGGGCGGTTCCCCTCCCCTTCCCATGCCTTCCCTTCTTTAGTCGCTGTGGAGCCCCCATTCATGAATGAAGTTACCAAGTGTCTCTTCCATGCCACACACTGTGTGTTTCATAGGTATACAAACACTGTGTGTTTCATAGGTATACAAAAAATTTCATTTCATCCTCAGATGTGCTGGGCATTCTTGAAATTTCAGGAAACCAGCCAAAAATCACAATATCATCTGTTTAACCTCCTTCCTCCAGCACCCTTGTGCCCATAATGAAATACATGCCCACATGCCTCTGCTCTGCTTCCATGAAATTGTGTGCAACTCCCAAGAAATGACCATATCCTAAAATCAACTTTCATATAGACCAAAAACTCATTGAAACATCGAGATGATTATAATAATGACCAATCTCATATAGGGTTTTTCCAAACAAATTTATTTATCCAAGTGTAGATTTAGAGTATATGAATTAGATACGTGTGCGTTAATCCTACGTCGAGGGAAATTTAGTCACCAATTCCCCCTATTTTCGTCTGACTCCTTTTCTAGGAACTACGATAGCATATAATTTAGGAGTTGAAAAGAAATAATAGTGCATGAAGAATACAGTTCCCAAAATGAATAGACGGATCTGTCATTTTCAGTATAGTGCATTTAGAAGAATAGATGGTTTGACTTTTAACCATTTTGGTATCTTATTGCTCTTACCACTGGCAGAGCAAAGTCAGAGTCTGCATTGGCAGAGGACAGCATTTTACTTGAAAATTCTCTAAAAACAGTGTTCTCTGCTTATGTAGACCTAGTTGCTTCTGTGAAACTCCCTGACGGTGGTATCTGGTCAGAAGATGCCTCACCGGGGTAAGCCGGTGGAATTTCTCGCAGAATGAGGTTGTCCTCATCAGTTGAAGCAAAATCTCCTCTTGCCGAGTGCCTCTGTTTTCTCTGAGTTTGAGTTCAGAGCAATTTTTTAACGCACTGGAGGGAGCCAGGCAGACGGTGAGGCCCAGCAGCAAGGAATGCGATGGAATGCAGCTCCGAGCTGCTAGGGTACTGTTTCTTTTTTACAATTTTAACTTTAACTTTTATAGATTTGCTACCCTTTAGGCTCCCATAACGTATTTTCCTGTTAGTAAAGAAATTATTTCATTGTCTTATGATGGCTAGTTCCTCACACTCCATTGTGCACTGTTGGAAGGTATGATTGTGTCTTCTTCCATATCTGCCAGCCCAGCTGGGTGACGTTCCATGTGGGAGACACCGTCAGTCTGACGGGCGCCGCTCCTCCTCCCTGGTATTTACTCCGATCCCAGTTCCAACCTGAAGACCTTGGTTCCAGGGACACTCCACTGGGATGCATTTTGCTCATTTGTTTTCTTATATTTATTTATTTATTTTATTTATTTTTGAGACAGAGTCTCACTCTGTCACCCAGGCTGGAGTGCACTGGCGCAATCTTGGCTCACTGCAACCTCTGCCTCCAGCGTTCAAGCAATTCTCCTGCCTCAGCCTCCCAAGTAGCTGGGATTACAGGCGCCTACCACCATACCCAGCTAATTTTTCTATTTTTAGTTGAGACAGGGTTTCACCATGTTGACCAGGCTGATCTCAAACTCCTGACCTCAGGTGATCTGCCCATCTTGGCCTCCCAAAGTGCTGAGATTACAAGCATGAGCCACCGCGCCTGGACGGTTTTCTTATATTTAAAATGGAATGGAGTGTGTGTGTGTGTGTGTGTGTGTGTGTGTGTACGTATGTGTGCTTGTTGATTCTGTTTCTCACATTTTATCACCAACTCTTAAAGGCAGGTGTGAAATCTTTTACTTTATATAATTGTGTGCATCTGGACACTCACAAATTATTTTTGTTGTTGTTTTTTAGAGATGGTTGGCAGGGTGGGGCACGGGAGTTTCACGATGCTGCCCAGGCTGGTCTCGAACTCCTGGCCTCAAGTGTTCTTCCCACCTAGGCCTCCCAAAGTGCTGGGATTACAGGCAGGAGCCACTGCACCCGGCCAGGAGTTCTTCACTGGCTAACACCGTCTGGAAGACAACTTACCTGCCAGTGGGTCTTTACAGAGAAATTTTGCGTTTTGTTCATTTTATTTCAAAATAATAAACATTTGGTATTTCTTTAATTAAAGTGAAGTTTTCACAATAGACTTCATTTTTTAAAAGCAAGCAAAATTTCTCAAATCTGCTGTGTATATTTTATGAAACTCTGCACCTTTCTTTCTTTTTTTTTTTTTTTTTTTGAGACGAAGTCTCGCTCTTGTCCCTCAAAGTGGAGTGCGGTGGCGCAATCTCGGCTCACTGCAACCTCTGCCTCCCGGGTTCAGGCAATTCTCCTGCCTCAGCCTCCTGAGGAGCTGGGATTACAGGCGCCTGCCACCACGCCTGGCTAATTTTTGTATTAGTAGAGACGAGGTTTCACCATGTTGGCCAGGCTGGTCTCCAACTCCTGACCTCAGGCAATCTACCTGCCTCGGCCTCCCAAAGTGCTGGGATTACAGGCATGAGCCACTGTGCCCGGCCTCTGCGCCTTTATTTCAATACATATTTACTTTGGTTAAGGCAGGCTGCTAGAAAACGTCCTGAAACCTGAAAGCCAGAATAAAGCCTATTTGGAAACCCGCTGACTCAATACACCATTCTCTTGCCACCAATTCCATAGCATTTCCCTGTCCCCCTGATTGGCCTGACAGGTGTGGTCTCTGTTCGGCCTCCTGGGTCCCATCCCACATGATGTCCGAGCTCTGAGTGCCCGGGCAGCTCATCCACACGAAGCCTTTGCTTCTCCTCTTTCCCCTGTGTTTTCTTTCCCATTAGTCCTTCTAAAGACAGGGTAGGGAGGGAAATTAAAGTGAGGTTGGGGAATATCTATGGATTCACTATTTCCAGACCCTAATTAACAGGTCATTTAGGACTTTTTGTCCACTCTATGCGTACCAGGCTCCAGGACCCTGATGCCGTCTTCCCGTCACGTGAGCCCATCCCTTAAAACAAATCTCCCTCTCTCTGTATATTTTCATTCCGTGGGCTCTATGTCCCTGGAGAACCCTGGCTAGTACGAGGTGGAATTGGACAGTATTTGTCTTTTGTGACCAGCTTTGTTCACGGAACAGAATATTTTCAAGATTCATCCAAGGTGTAGCCTGTATCAATATATCATTACATGTGTATCACATGTTGTTTATAGATTCGTCAGGGTGGACATTTGGGTTCCTTCCACCTTTCGGCTATTATGAATTGTCTCTTCTTTATCTAAGTCAATGTGGTGGTGGAAGGCATAGGTCGCCCAGTCCAGCCTGCTGCTGTCTTTGTTCTACAATTTTCACAAACCTCAATGAATGACTAATACTTTAAAGGGGAGATTTTACATCGAAATCCCACCTCTAGCTTCTCTCAGAGATGAGGCAGTGCCTGGCCAGGCCTGCCCTTCCTCAGGGCCATGCTGGGTCCCCGCTCTTGCCAGTGGTCCCTAGCTGCTTCTCATGGGGACCACACCCCTGAACCAGGAGGATTCGTATTTACCAAACTCAGCTGCCTCCTGCCCCTGGGGACTCAGCCTGGAGTGGAGGTGGGTGCGGGTGCTCACCAGGCAGGCATCTCTTCTGAGAGGTTGGAGGTCATACTCATCATTAAATATCTTTAACGTTATTTGGCTTAGAGCTTAATATAGTATTTTCTTTCTTCCTTTCCTCTTCCTTTTTTTATTACAAAATATTACTTTTCTAAAATTCCCATCATGGTTTAAAAATTCATATATCATTTAAGGACCATAGTTGGGATTGTAAAATGCAGACGAAACCCATGATTCTCCACAGACTTTTGAAACTCCACCACTCCGCGTGGCCTCCTTCCTGTTGCTCCAGCTCTTGGCATCCCTACCCGGCCAAACAGCTGTCCCCTACAAGTCTGAATGTACAGGCCAGGGAGAGTGCCGTGCGTTGGCTGCCCGAAGTGACGCCTTGGGTACAATCGTGCAACTGTGTGAGCTGGTGTAGAGCCCCTCGGCAAAATATCTGCTGCTGAGGACTGGGTGTGTGCGTGAGTGTGTGTGCACACATCTTTCCATGAGAAACTTTCACCAAAGCTTAGAGCCCTGTTTTGGACCAGGGAAGGGGAGGGCTGAGTGGCATGCATTGCTTTCTTGGGGGCCCTCTGGCTGCCTGGATGGCTCTCCACAAAAGAAGTGGGTTTATGAGAGGCAGGAGGCGGAGAGACACTGGTTTCCCTTTATTACTTGAAGAAAAAGGAAAACTCCTCACTGGAAGAATGACAGCTGTTGATATAAACAAGTGTTTTTGATAAAATCTATCCTCGTAGCCCAATAGAACAAAGGTGAGCGTTTTGCTAGGAAATGCCTTTTGGAGAAAAAAAGTTAGCACACACATGTTTGGATTACTTTATAAAAACATTCATTTATTTACTTGCTTGTTTTTAAATTGTGGTACGATGTAAAACCATTCCACCCCAATTCCCCTTCTCTCAGCCCCTCTCATCTACCGTCATCTACTTACCGTGGCTATGAATTTGTCTATTCTAGACGTTTCATCAGTGTGTGTGATGCATAATGTTATGTGTCATTAGCACTTAACTAACCCAACACTTGGTTGGGCCACAGCGTCCAGACATTTGGTTAAACATTATTATTGTGGATGTTTCTGTGAAGGTATTTTTTGGATGAGATTAACATTTCAATTAGTAGACTTGGAGTAAAGCGAATTCATCTCCACAGTGCAGATGAGCCTCGTCCGATCAGTTCACAGCTTGAGAGAAAAAGACTGGTCTCCCCAGAAGGACGTCTGCAGCTCTTCCCAGCGTCCCCAGCCTGTCCACCTGCCCCAGTCAATCATGGCCTTGCCCTCCTCCACAGTCACGTGAGCCCATTCCTTAAGACAAATCTCCCAGCTGGGCGCGGTGGCTGACGCCTGTAGTCCCAGCACTTTGGGAGGCCGAGGCGGGCAGATCACAAGGTCAGGAGATCGAGACCATCCTGGCTAACACGGTGAAACCCCGTCTCTACTAAAAATACAAAAAATTAGCCGGGCGTGGTGGCGGGCGCCTGCAGTCCCAGCTACTCAGGAGGCTGAGGCAGGAGAATGGCGTGAACACGGGAGGCGGAGCTTGCAGTGAGCCGAGATCGCACCACTGCACTCCAGCCTGGGCGACAGAGCGAGACTCCGTCTCAAAAAAACAAACACACACACACACACACACACACACACACACACACACACACACACACACAAATAAAACAAAACAAAAACAAATGTCCCTCTCTCCGTATATTTTCGTTTCGTGGGTTCTGTTTCCCTGGAGAACCCTGGCTAGTACGAGATGGAATTGGACAGTATTTGTCTTTTGTGACCAGCTTCGTTCACAGAACAGAATATTTTCAAGATTCATCCAAGGTGTAGCCTGTATCAGTATGTCATTACCTGGGTATCACATGTTGTTTATGGATTCGTCAGGGAGGACATTTGTGTTCCTTCCACCTTTCAGCTCTTATGAATCTAGTGCTGCTTCCAACATTAGTGCACAGGTTCCTCTCTCAGTCCCTCTTCTCAATTCTCTGGGTGAGGTGCTTCCTAGAGAGACCTGGTTCTTCTGAGTCGTCCCCGCAGCCCCTTGCCCTGGTTTGCATGTCAGGTTCTAATCGGGTAAACAATGGGGCTCTCGCTCAGATGTTCCCTTGACGGTCACCCTGGCCAGCACGTTGGCTTTAATTACATGGATTGATTTGTGAATTGTCATCTCACTGTTTCAGCAACTGTAAATATCGGCAGTGCTGTGTTTCCCTTTACCACGCTCTTTTGTGGGAAATTGACATGATCAATGTGTTCTCAAGGTCTGGTTTTTGCCAAAGCATCACATTTTTTCTGATAGAAATTTACTGTCCCCTTGGCAAGATCCATGTTATTGGAACATTTCCAGGAAGCCCTTTGGTGGCATGTGAGACCTGGCTCCGTGGCACTGGACAAATCTCCTGAAGCAGAAGTTTCAGTGGCTCCTGGAACAGCACCCCCCCTACGGGGAGCCAAGAACTCCCAGGAAGGGGGGGTGGGGGTTGGGATGCACAAGCCACCAGCTCTGTCGGCTCTGGAGTGACACTAAGAGAAGAAAGACGAAGACAGTAGCTCTCGTCTCAATGCGTGTTCATCACATTTGTCACTAGGAGACCCCATTTCAGTGCGTTCGGTGATCAGAAAGATTGTATCTTTGCTAATGTGCTGATATTCACGGGCTGCACATCTGGCAGAAGGGGAGAGAGCAAGACCTCTGGGACGCTGTTATCTTGGCTGGAGTCCAGACCCCATTCTGATGTCTTGAGCAGATGACTTAACTTCTTCAGCCTCAGTTTCCTCTTTGTGACATTGGAATGATGCTGTTACCCACTTCTTAAGGACGTTATAAAATAACAGCACGTAAGAGCTGCTTTAAACTATGAAGAACTTTGTAAATGGTGGTAAGGTTTTATTTAATAGGAAGAGAATATGAGCAGAGAAAACTTTATTCATTTTTAAGATATAAAATGTGTGGAAAATTACAGTGAATAGATTTTATAACACATCCTTTTTCTCTGTGTTCACTGCAGATTTTCACATAATTTTTAAAAAATCACCATATGTCGGCCAGGCGCAGTGGCTCACGCCTGTAATCCTAGCACTTTGGGAGGCCGAGGCGGGCGGATTACAAGGTCAAGAGATGGAGACCATCCTGGCTAACACGGTGAAACCCCGTCTCTACAAAAAACACAAAACTTAGCCAGGCGTGGTGGCGGGTGCCTGTAGTCCCAGCTACTCAGGAGGCAGAGGCAGGAGAATGGCATGAACCTGGGAGGCGGAGCTTGCAGTGAGCCGAGATCGTGCCACTGCACTCCAGCCTGGGCGACAGAGCGAGACTCCTTCTCAAAAAAAAAAAAAAAGAAAATCACCCATATGTCTGGAAATCTTGCCTTAAAGTAGGTCTTTTTAAAAAATACTATTAGGTTGCCTGTAATCCCAGCACTTTGGGAGGCCGAGGCGGGCGGATCACGAGGTCAGGAGATCGAAACCATCCTGGCTAACACGGTGAAACCCCATCTGTACTAAAAATACAAAAAATTAGCCAGGCTTGGTGGCGGGTGCCTGTAGTCCCAGCTACTTGGGAGGCTGAGGCAGGAGAATGACATGAACCCGGGAGGCGGAGCCTGCAGTGAGCCGAGATTGCACCACTGCACTCCAGCCTGGGTGACAGAGTGAGACTGTCTCCAAAAAAAAAAAGATACTATTAGGTTGAACCACATAAAATTACCACTTGTTCAGTCAAAAATGGTCAAATATAAGCAATTTCATGTGGTTTGTCTGGATATTTTTCTCAAAAAAAGTTTTAGTTGGAGATTGCATTCCTTAAAAAAATTGATATCAAATAAATGATATGTTCATGATTGAAACAGTATGTCATAAAAACAAAGCTGCAATAATTATTGATGCCTACACTAATTTTAAATAGTCAAATTATGCTCCATGTCATTGCATGTTAGAGCTGAGAAGCACCTAAGAGATCATTAATCTAACATTGTTTTTAAGATATGGAAATTGAGTCTCAAAGAGGTTAATCACACATACAGGACCAGAACTCATATTTCCTGATTTCTAATTCAGTACTTTCCCCCCCATTCTATACAGCCACGCTATACAACATGCATATGAAATAGCCTGATTGTACAAGAGCCCTAGTGTTCTGTCAGATTTGCATATAAAAAGATTCTAAGAAATCACAGTTCTACTATAGCGTAAATAAGACCTAAATGAAAATATTAGCTGTTGAAATATTAAACATGTACTTAATGCTTTTGCTCACCTCTTTACACTTCAGGGCATATATATGACAAGCGATTTGGACCAACTCTTTCATGGATGGTCTTCAAGTACCTTCCCAGGACTCTGCCTCCCAAGTCCCTGAAGCAACTTAGCCCCATTCACCCCACCACCAAAAATGTGAGGAAAAAAAGATGTGGCCAGGTGCGGGCTCACGCCTATAATCCCAGCACTTTGGGATGCCAAGGTGGCCGGATCACAAGGTCAGGGGTTTGAGACCAGCCTGGCCAACATGGTGAAACCCTGTCTCTACTGAAAATACAAAAATTAGCAGGTATGGTGGCACATGCCTGTAGTCTCAGCTACTCGGGAGGCTGAGGCAGGAGAATCGCTTGAACCTGGGAGGCGGAGGTTGCAGTGAGCCTAGACTGCGCCATTGCACTCCAGCCTAGGCAACAGAGCGAGACTCCATCCCCCCAAAAAAAAGAAGAAAAGATGTATCCTGGTCTTCTGCATAATGTGCACTGTCCATCTGTTGGACATGGACTGATCACGGTCATGTTCCTGCTGGTGAGGAGGTGCCAGAAGGACATGTGTAGGAGAGACAGTGAGCGTGTGCTACTCGGAGCTTAGGAAGGGCTGTTCGTTGAATTGAAATCTGAACATGTTGATCTCATTCTTACGTTTGTAGGGGGAATCCCAAATTGTCAGCAACCCATCACTCCCAGGCAAAATCCAAACTGCTGGGCTGTCCCCTTGGACTGATTTGTGTGCTGGCTTTTGGGGACAGCTATCCTCTGCACAGTGGACACCAGGCTCTGTTAAGCTGACCTCTAATGTGCCTTGAGGTTGGTTACCTTGGTGAGTTCACTGTCCTCCCAGAGTTGGAGAAACCCTCCAAGGCGAGTTAAACTGGGTGGGTGATTGGCCCCAAACCGGAGGGTTAAATAACAGAAGTTATGCTGGAGTCAGGCTTGGAGGATTTGGCTTCATGATGTGCAGATTTTTTTTTTTTTTTTGAGGCGGAGTCTCACTCTTGTCGCCCAGGCTGGAGTTTAGTGGTGCAATTTTGGCTGACTGCAACCTCCACTTCCCGGATTCAAGAAATTCCTGTCTCAGCCTCCCAGGTAGCTGGGATTACAGGCACCTGCCTCAGCACCTGGCTAAATTTTGTATTTTTAGTGGAGACAGGGTTTCACCATGTTGGCCAGGCTGGTCTCGAACTCCTGACTTCAGGTGATCCACCCTCCTGGGCCTCCCAAAGTGCTGGGATTATAGGCGTGAGTCACCGTGCCTGGCCTCCGTGCAGAATTTCAGGTGGCGTCAGGGCTGTGGTCATGACAGAGACACATAGAAGTGGAAAATCAGTCCCTTCGTTACCTGCTACCTCCTCAAGGCACCCACGGCTCTCTTTATGTGTTAGAGCATTTGGCCTATGTTTTGAGTATATAGCTCTGTTTCATTTCTTTGGCTGGGAGCCTCCTTTGGGCAGGCAGAGTGTATTTTTTTCTCTTTGGGTCCCCTGTTCCTATTACATAGGAGACATTCATTGAAACTGTGGAATGAGTGAATGGATGAATGAATGTGTATGTGCTCCGACTAGGACTTTGTTTGATGAATAGGCAGGGTGGACTTATGTAATATGATTTGAGTGGCATCATCTGCCACCAATTTGTGGAATGACGTTATTAATCATTCATCTGGTTGGATGAAAGGCTTCTTCCTGGCTGGCATGGCTTTTGAAATGTAGCACCCTGCAGGGGTAGAGTAGGGCAAACCTCTGAAGTCATTACCACCCATTAGCAGCTGAGTGTGAATTGGTTAATCAGCTCACTTCCCTCCTGGGGGCTCCCTGAGAGCAGGCCTGGAGGGCCCTGTGGGTCTGGGCTGGTGCAGAAGAGGCAGGGGGGTTTCAGGGCTGGGTGGGCTAAGTGTCAGGAAAAGACCTTCGGAGAGAAGAAGCAAGGAACTTAGAGGGGAAGGGGGCTCCAACAAACTCCTCCCAGCTTTTCCAGGAAGGCTGCCCCGGGGCCTCTAATAGGTGAGCTGGGACCTAAGACGCCCACCACCCCCAAGGTCAGGGGGATTCCTTTGTGTGTGTGCATTTGCCTTTCTACTTATTCTTCTTAAAGAAATTACCCATAAGCTGCCTAACAGTGCCTGATCTACAGAACACTCAATAAATGTTGAAAAACAGCAAAATGTGGAAAGCATGGTTTTGCAAACCAACCCTGACTCTCTCAAGAGTCAATAGGATGACGCTGGGCCAGTAGCTTCCTCTCTTGGGTTCTTTCTTCAGCATCAATTGCTGATCAGACCATGGCTCTGATGGGGGCTCGTGTGCGCGCATGCATGTGCATGCAGGAAAGTGTGTGTGTGGGGGGGGGGAGTGCATGTGGTGCGTGGTGGGGGTGTGCATGCATGTGTATCTGTGTGTGTGCACACGGGTGCAAGTGTGTGTAGGGGGAGTCTCTGTGAGTTGGGCTATTTAAATGTTTAAGGAAATGATCAGTATCAGGGCAATGTTTTTGAATAGTTAAATGTGATTCAAGAAAACTGTTTTAAGAAAGAAATAAACGGTGCTATGACAACCCACAAGTTAAAAAGAGACCCGTATCTGGAAACAAGGGATAATGTGCCATGTTTTCCTGCAGGGCAAGCTGTGTCCCAGCCCCTGTGTTGGAAGACCTGAGCCACTGCAAACTGCTTTGGGGGCAGCTCAACCAAGGCACATCCACAGCGCAACATGCCCCACACAAGTCCAACAGCCCAACACTCCTTTCCAACGCATAGGCCTGTTTTCCGCAGAAGGCACACAACTCACACATGCTCCGTTTCCATTTTGCAACCTCACATCCGTAGGTTTTTCTAACATTGTTATTTCCCACAAATTGCATCTTTTGCGGCACATGATAAAACGAACTAGGTTAAGCTGAAATCGTGTAGCCACTTCCCATGGCCTGGTGAGGAAATCAGAGTGTGTTTTGCTTTGTATTCTATTCCCACCTCAAAGGCAGGATTAAAGTAGCACTGCTTGTCACGTCTCATTATGGAAATCGGTGTGGCCCTCACAGGGGCGCAGTCAGTTCGGGACTAGGAGCTGCTCTGAAGGTGTGACCTGCCTGCAGTCCAAGACCACAACCTGTCATTTCAGAGCAGGGAAGACCAGCCAAATCTCCCAGCAGTCTTAATCGTATTCACAAAAAAAAAAAAAAAAAAAAAAGGAGGCAGAGGGTCATGGGTTTCCCCATTCCGTAAACTGCTTGCGAAAATAGAATGGATTTCTCGCTTTGTTTGCTTTCTATTATCACATTGCATGGGCAGAAAGAGGCATGTTTTCTTCTGTTTTAAAATGTGCAAGAACCAGGGACACAGATCCCTGTTTCAAGAACATCTTCCAGATGGAAACGATTAGAATGCCCCCTCCTTACTTTCTTCATGCTCATCTCTTCTAATACGTTGGCTTTTCCTTGCCGGAAGTCAAGGAGCAAGCAGTAAGGAAGTGTATGCCTCTGCATTTGTTCTCTTAATTGTCACAAATAATTGGATTTTGGGAGAGAGACAGGAAGGGTCGAGGTGGGGCTACCTTATGTGAGGAGGCAGGAAGAGTTGTCCCAGGATGTTGCATTGCTCTGTTTTGTTTGTTTCTTTCTTTCTTTTAGAGCTCTGAGGGTGAATTTGATTCTTCTGTATTTTTTTTCCTTTTTTGGTGAGCTTCGTTTGGGGTTTTCCACGCTATCATTATTACGAACAATGAACCAGGGGAAGAAGGGTAGGGAGGAAAAGGTTTACTGGAAATAATTACGAGGCTGCTGCACAAATCAGGAGACAGGATGGTATAGAATTTTATTTCATTCTGTCTCCCTGCACTTGAGTCTCAAGTATGCTTCCCATAACGATGCAATTAATCTTGACATATAAAGACTGACCAGAATTCTAAACCTTAGGAAAACACACCTCAGCAAAATTCTACATGATGTTAACATAAAAAGCATGAGACAAGAAGGGAATTTAAATGATTAAAAATAATTGTAATGTAATTTCACTGCGTTCATCCATACCATTGCATTTCTTGAGCCGTTTTTACCTAATGCTGCTCCGAGAGAGAAGAGCATCTGAAAGCGGAGTCTGCATCGGGGTTGTCTCTCTGTTTATTTCTTCCACTCCCCTGTCTTCAAGGCTCTTCCAAGAATGGACCTCACAGTCTCCTTCAGTCATTCACTCAAAGACGTAACCATCCTCTGGGCTAGGAAATGCATCCTTGCAGCTCTCTCAAGCTGTTTACTCTCCACTCTTCCGACCTCTCTTCAGAATGACATTTCTCAGAGAGCAAAGTCCCTCTCATTTGCCTGGGAAATCTGCGATGCATTATCTAATACAGCTCATCCTCTAATAGATACTGATAGAAATCGATTTAAACCTTTACAACTCCTATTAATTATACACTTGAGATTTCAATAGCTGGTGAACGAAAACTTCACTAATATCCCGTAATCAGGCAGAGCGAGACAGCGTGGTAGAAATTGTAAATGTATATCAAGCCAGTATACGGAAGAAATGATCCAACATGTGTGTACAAAGGGTAAAACCGTGAGTGTGTGTGTGAGCGAGGCCAGCTGTGAAGCTCTGGCCTGCCTCCGTACCACTCCAGCTGCAGCTTAATGTGGTAACTAAGAGAGCAAAGCCCGCGAGGTTTCTCAAAAGACAGGTAGAACCCCAGACTGGGAGTTTCTTAGACATGAAAGGGCATCTTTTATTTTCTTCTTCTTCTTTTTTTGTTTTTTTTGAGATGGAATTTCTCTCTTGTTGCCCAGGCTGGAGTGCAATGGTGCAATCTCGGCTCACCGCAATCTCCGCCTTCCGGATTCAAGCAATTCTCCTGCCTCGGCCTGCCGAGTAGCTGGGATTACAGGGATGCACCACCAAGCCTGGCTAATTTTTTTTTTTTATAGTAGAGACGGGGTTTCTCCATGTTGATCAGGCTGGTCTTGAACTCCCGACCTCAGGTGATCCACCTGCCTCGGCCTCCCAAAGTGCTGAGATTGCACGCGTGAGCCAACGCGCCTGGCCAAGGGCACCTTTACTTAAAGTTTTACTGGAATGCAGTTCATCCTTAGATTTGAGAGAATCCTGTGTGCGCATGTGCTGAGGCTTCCCAGAAAGATGCAAGGTCTGAAGTCACAAAACCTGTACTATCAGTGGTATGGCCGGACGGTTTGTGTCTCTCCACTCTCCCTGAACAGAGGGTCACGTTAGCGGGTCTTTGTCCTCAGGCAGGGGTCGGGTCGGAATGATGTCATCGGTGGGCTGTGCAGGGTCTCCTCCCAGATGAACACATTTCCTGGTTTCCCTTTACCGCCATCCCCTTCTGACACCGGCAGCCGTGCTCCTGAGTGCCTTTTTGTTCCTGTGTTTTCTGGAAAAGTGTATGGTTTTGTGTTGGAGTGTTTTTTATCAGTGTAAATGGTATTGTGTTGCACATTTTATTTTGCTTCCTGTTCATTCACTCCGGATTGTGCCCTTGGGGTCCACCCCTTCTGAACGTGTACACATATGACTTGTCGCTTGCTAGGAGTGCCCCGGTACTGATCCTTTCCAAAATGACCGCTCTGTCCTTCCAGAGTGGACACGCAGGGTGCTTCTAACTCCCTACTACCAAAGGCACTCGGGTAAATACCCTCGCTCCATGAACAGCCTTGTGGAGGCCTCTGTGGAAATGCGTGCTCTGAAATGCACTGCTCTGAAACACGCCTTTGGTCATGGGGTGAGTGTGTGCTTCACATACCTCGGATGGCTGGTGGTGCGTCAGGGTGGAGCCACCAACTGCCCACTCAGAAACAGACCCGGGCCGGTCCAGGATCACGTATCCTACATAAAGGAGGCTTCCTCGGGCAGTGGGAAAACCTCAAGCCATCCCTGAGCCTTCTGTCCTATCCCATTTGACCTTTGGTTCTTGTAGCAATCACAATCACAATCCAAGACTGATTTGGGATTTGATTTGGGATTTTACGTAATATTTGGCAGAGAAAACCCCCTCATGACGTTTCTTTAGGGTTGACTTACTGTTTCATGAACATTGATTTTTTTCATAAGTTCCTTAAGTGAATCCGACTTGAAGGTTGATTGATATTGCACTGAATTTGTAGACTAATTTGAGGACAATTGAAGCCATTGAGAAAACTAAGTTGTCCCATGCAAGATGGGATTTGTTCGGATCATTTACCTCTTTAGTCTTTTTTTACTTTTTAACTTTGCATTTTGAAATAACTTCCAACCTTACTAAAAAGTTGCAAAAGGCTGGGCGCAGTGGCTCAGGCCTGTAATCTCAGCACTTTGGGAAGCCGAGGCGGGTGGATCACAAGGTCAGGAGATCGAGACCATCCTGGCTAACACGGTGAAACCCCGTCTCTACTAAAAATACAAAAAATTAGCCGGGCGCGGTGGCGGGCGCCTGTAGTCCCAGATACTTGGGAGGCTGAGGCAGGAGAATGGCGTGAACCCGGGAGGCGGAGCTTGCAGCGAGCCGAGATCGCGCCACTGCACTCCAGCCTGGGCGACAGAGCGAGACTCCGTCTCAACAACAACAACAAAAAAAGTGCAAAAGTAGAACAAAAAAGTTTCTCATATGCCCTTCACCCAGCTTCCCCAAATGTCACCGGCTTAAATGCAGCTTAGGGATCAAAATCAGGGCATCAGCGCTGATGCGACGCTCTTCACGAATCCGCAGGCAGTGTTCACGTTTCACCAGCTGTCCCCTTCACACCTTCTTCTGGTCCCAGACCCGATCCAGGACCACACATTGCCCTTAGTGATCATGGCTTCTGCATCTGGGATGGTTTCTCGGTGTTTCTGTGCCTTTCATGAGCTTAACACCATGGACGGATATACTAACTGAAGAAACAATGGCTGGCCTGTTATTTTGTAGGATGTCTCCCTTTGGGAGTTTTTCTGATGTTTCTTCATGATTGAATTCAGGTTGTACATTCTTGACAAGATTACCGCATAACTATGCTTGACCAGTAAAATAGTGAATGCCCAGGTATCACATGAGACATACTCATACCAAAAATGTATTCACTGTTCATCTGAAATTCAGATGTAACTGGGCTTTCCCTATTTTTCCTTTGGCAAATCTGGGAGGCCTACATATATGTGATTCTATGTCCTGCTCTGGGCATCATTTAAGGAGAACATAATTTTGACAACTCTCATCTAGTTTGATCAGTTGGTTAGGGTGACGTCTGCCATGTTTCTTTTAAATTGATGCCTATTTTCTCTGGAGAGAGAGTTTGTGTTTAAATAAATATCCAGTATCTCATCATATTTTGCCCACTAATTTAGCACTGGTTGATGATTTCTTGCCTGCAACAATTATTAAAGTAGTGTTTGCAAAATGGGGTCTTGAGGCAGCTATCATGTCCTCCGTATTCATTAATTGTGACACTACTATAAGGAAGAGCTGTGGATTCTCCTCCATTATGTATTCAATTATATTTTATGTTGGTAGGAAGGCATGGATATTAATGTTATTGGATGGGAAATAATCCATTACTGCCATTATTTATTAAATAGCAGTTTCTGAAATTGTTCCAGGTTTGGCCATGTGAGAGGGCTCTGGCATCCTTTGATGTGCCATCGTTATTCTCCGAGCACTTCCCTACTTTCTGGCACTACGACCTGTTCCAGCCCCTCTTGGGCTCCACCTACCCAGCCCTGGAACCAGCCCTGGAATCAGCCCTTTCCCTGTTCCTTTAATCGAAGAATGGTATTTAGAAGCCAAGATCTAGCTTCAAGGATGCACTCTTCCTCGAGAATTGTCATTCTCATTATTAATTTTACTTTTAAACTTTTCATTTTTAGTTGTACATGGCAAGTATAGAGAAATACTATTTTATTTTATATTTCACAACATAATTAAAGCTTCTACCTTGTACCGATATCTAATATACTTGATTTTTAGATGGCCAGTCATACAAGTGCAATTAGGTCTTATTACTTTCCTCCCACTAACATTTATTTTTATTTTCTTTCATTATAGTATTGACCAAGGCTGCTATGACTACATTAAAATGTAGACATGATAGTGGGTATTCTTATATTCTTATATTATGCCAGAAAGTATTCTTATATACCCACAATCATGTCTACATAGGGGGGGGATAGGGGACCTCAACTTAAAGAGAACAAAGCTAAAGTTGTTTGTTTATGTTTAAATGCTTCAGATTTTTTATCTGAAACTTTGCTAAGTAAATTTCTTCTATGATCTAGGTTGCTGAGATGTCTTTCATTTTTAAGTCATAAATGAGCATTGGCCTTCTTAAATAACTTTTCTTGCATTGTTGACTTTTTGAGAAGATCATCTAATTTTTTTGTTACAATCAGTTAATTGGAGAAAGGCATTGATTACTTTTCTGATATTCATCCATCTTTGCACTCCTGGAATAGCCCTTCTTGGTAATGATTTATTCTTTTTAAAATATAATATTGTAATCTCTTGATTAATATTACTCTATATGTAGGATTTTTGAAACTGTACTTTCTGTTTTTACATTGCCTTTATCTTATTTTGAAATCAAGATGACACTAGCTTCATATAAAATAGCTAGGCAATTTTTTATTGTTTATATATTCTAATAAAAATTCTACAGGAGAAGACAACTATTTCTTAAAAGTTTGGCAGACCATGGAAACACAATTAGAACTAATAAACAAATTAAGCAATGTTGTGGGATATAAGATCAATGTACAAAATCATTGTATTTCTATATATAAGCAATAGGCGATCTGAAAATTAAATTTAAAACAATACCATTTACAAAGGCCTCAACAAGAATAACATACTTAGGAATACATTTAAAAATGAAAGTGCAAGACATGTACATTGAAAACTACAAATTATTGTTGAAAATAAATTTTAAAAGACCTAAAAATATGGTAAGACACCCTATGTCCATGGACAGAAAGACTTGATGTTAAAATGGAAATACTCTCAAAAGTCATCCACAGATTTACTGCAATCCCTCTCAGGATACTAGCTGACTTTTTGCAGAAATCGGCAAGCTGATCTTAAAATTTGTATGAAAATGAAAGGGACCCAGAATAGTCAAAACAATCTTGAAAAAGAACAAAGTTGGAAGACTCCTATTTCTGATTTTAAAACTTACTACAAGGCTAAGGTAGTCAATACAGTGTGGTACTGGCATAAGGGAAGACACATGGATAAATGGAATAGAATTGAGAGTCCAAAAACAAAACCTAACATTTACGGTCAATTGATTTTTGACCAAAGAGTTAATATACTTCAATGGGGAAAGAATAATTTTTTCAACAAATGGTGGGGAGACAACTGGATATTCGCAGGGAAAAGAATGAAATTAGACCCCTATCTCACACTATACACAACAGTTAACTCAAAGTGGGTCACAGACCTAAATAAATGTAAAAGCTAAACCTATAAAACTCTTCAGAGAAAACGGAAATAAATCTTTGTGATGTTGGGTTAGGCACTGATTTCTCAGGTATAACACCAATATCACAAGTGACCAAAGAGAGATTGGTAAATTGGACTCTATCAAAATCAAAAAAATTCAGTGCTTCAAAAAAGATGCCATCCTAAAAATGAAAAGACAACACACAGACTGGGAGAACATATTGGTAAATCATATATTTGATAAGTCAATTGTATCCAAAACATATAGCCGGGCCAGGCACAGTGGCTCACGCCTGTAATCCCAGCACTTTGGGAAGCCGAGGCAGGTGGATCACAAGGTCAGGAGATCGAGAACCATCCTAGCTAACACGGTGAAACCCTGTCTCTGCTAAAAATACAAAAAATTAGCCAGGTGTGCTGGTGTGTGCCTGTAGTCCCAGCTAATCAGGAGGCTGAGGCAAGAGAATCGCTTGAACCCAGGAGACGGAGGTTGCAGTGAGCTGAGATTGCGCCACTGCACTCCAGCCTGGGCGACAGAGTGAGACTCCATCTCAGAAACAAACAAACAAAAACATACAGTGAACTCTTACAGCTCAATAATAGAAAGACAACCAATTTAAACATGGACAAAGGATTTACATAGACATTTATTTAAGGTAGATGTATCAACAGCCAACAAGTACATGAAAAGAAACTGACCATTATTAGTCACTAGAGAAATGCAAATAAAAACTATAATGAATTAGCTGGACATGGGGTTTTGCGCCTGTAATCCCAGCTACTTGGGAGACTAAGGAGAGGGGATGGATTGAGCCCAGGAGTTTAAAGCTGCAGTGAGCTCTGAGCCACCGCACTCTAGCCTGGGCAGCAGTGAGACCCTGACTTAAAAACAAAAACAAAAACAAAGCAAGAAAACCCCACCATAATGAAATACTACTTTATACCTACCAGAATGGCTTTGATGAAAGAAATAGACAATAATGAGTGCTGGCAAGGATGTGAAGAAATTGGAACACACATGTGTTTTTGGTAGGGATAAAAATGGTGCAGCCAATTTGGAAAACACATCAGCAGTTCCTCAAAATGTTAAACATAGGGTTATTAGATGACCCAGCAATTGTATTCCTAGGTATATACTAAAGAGAAATTAAAAAAAAAACATGTACACACAAAAATTTATACACAAATATTCATAACGGCATTGTTCATAATAGCCAAAAGGTGAAAAGAATCCAAATGTTCATCACCCAGTGAATGGGCAATATGGATAACATGGTGTATCCACAAGATGGAATGCTACTTGGCCTTGAAGACACTGCGCCAAGTGATGAAGCCAGACACAAAGGACCTACATTGTGCTCAGCGTGGTGGGTCACACTTGTAATCCCAACACTTTGGGACACAGAGGAGGGAGAATTGCTTAAGGCCAGGAGTTTGAAACCAGCCTGGGTAACATAATGACACCTTGTCCATACAAAAAATTTAAAAATTAACCACACACAGTGGCACACACCTGTAGTCCCAGCTACTCAGGAGGCTGAAGTGGGAAGATCGCTTGAGCCTGGGAGTTTGATGTTGCAGTGAGCTATGATTGCACCACTGCACTCCAGCCTGGGTGACAGAGTGAGACCCTGTCTCTTAAACACACACACACACACACACACACACACACACAAAGTATGATACTATTTGTATGAAATGTTCACAATAGACAAATCTGTTGACACAAAAAGTCATTAGTGGTTGTGCAAGGCTAGGGGTGGGGAGGAGAGGTTGGGGAGGGAAATGGGAAGTGACTGCTAACATTGCACAACTCAAAATATACAAAAGCCGTTGAGCGGTATGCATTAAGTGGGCGAACTTTATGGCATGTAAATTACATCGCATAAGAGCTGTACTGTTTGGTAACATTCCCTTGTAAAGCTATCTGTGGCTGAGATGTTTTGAAAAGGGGAGATCTTTAATGCTCATTTCAATTATTTAAACACCTTTTGGTCTATTTATTTCCCATGTTTCTCTCTGTGTGAAATTTGGCATTTTTTCTTTATATGGCTTTTCAAAGTTCTTAGCAGTTGTTCACAGTGGCCTTTTTAATACCTTGGGCCCAAAGACATTCCCCTATTTCCTAGTGCATCTTGAGCTCTGGGTCATCTCTCTTCCTGTCTTCTTCTGTCTGGCTAGAAATCTCTCCCATTAATTTGTTCCAATAACCAGCCTTTGCTTTTTAAATCTCCTTTAGTATTTTTGTTGCCTGTATCGTTGAATTACATCTTCATGTTCATTGTCTTCTCTTTTATTTAGTTTTGCTGTGTTGTTCCCTTTTCAGCTTCTTAAATTGAATAATTGGCTTATTTAAGTGCAATTTCATTTCCTCATAAATGTATTCGAGGCTAGCAATTCCATCCATCCTAAGCACTGCTTTTATGATGTCTCACATTTTTTTATTGTATAGTGGTTTCATTATGACCTAGTTTTAAACATTAATTAACTTTCTTTTTAAGTAGTATGTTTTTGCTGTTTTGTTGTTTCCAAGCAAAGGGACTTTTAAAAAACCATCACTGTTTTAGACATTTCTTTTTGTCGCAGTATTGTTAGAGAGCCTAATCTGAACGGCACCGATCCTTTGTGGCCTAACGCATGGCCTATTTCTGCCAATGTCTCGCATGTGTGTTCACAAACACGTGCACTCTCTTAGGTCTGGAGTTCTTCTTATCTCTAATAGCTCCGGCATATTAATCATATTGTTTGGATCTTTGACATCCATGCTGAGCTTTTGTCTTCTTGCTCTGTCCATTTTTGAAAAAGATGTACTAACGTCTCCAACTACAATTACTGATTTAACTATTTCTCCCTGCCGTACTGTTGCCCGTGGCTCAGTGTGTGTTGAGGCTGTCACTGATGTTCATGAAGGACATCACTTCCAGCTCTCAGGCTGCCTTCATCAGTCTGTAATATCATCCTTTGGCCTCATGGTATTTTTTAGCCTTATATTCTCTTTTGTCCGATATTAAGATTACTACACCAACTTTCTTTAGGTTCATAGTTGCTTAATATAAACTTTCATTCTTTTTCTTTTTAACTTTTTTTTTTCATTTTGTCTTCCATGTGTTTCTTTAATATTCTTGTTTTTAACTCCAGGTTGACGGTATCTGTCTTTTAGTCGGTGGATTTAACCTATTTATGCTTATATTTACTCATATTTAAAAAACTTACTTCTGGTAGCTTATTATATTTTTAACTTACTGAACTTCTCATTTCTTCCTTTTTGTTTTTGTTCCTGATTTTAATTGTATAGATCAAGTTTTCTTCTGCTGGTTTAGAAGTTGTTTTTATACTTGTTATCCTTATCTTAAGATATAGTCTCATGTTTACTTATCCCTACTGACTTCTTGAACTTATTAATATCTGCATTTTTCTCCTAAGAGGAAAAGTACTTTATCATATTGTCATCTGCCTTTAATATTTTGATACTGCCCAGAATTTAAATTCTGGGTTTGCTTGAATAGTGAATATTACCAAAATATTTGGTTTTCATTAATTCTCTATCTCTTATAGCAATTTTCAGGGATCTGTTTCTCTCTTTTTTTTTTTTTTTTTTTTTTTTTTTTTTTTTTTTTTTTTTTTTGAGACAGGGTCTTATTCTACTGCAGCCCAGGCTGGATTGCAGTGGCACAATTAAAGCTCATTGTAGTCTCCACCTCCCAGGCTCGGTTGATCCTCCTGCCTCAGCCTCCCAGGTAGCTGGCACTACAGGTACACACCACCACGCCTAGCTAATTATTTTTTATTTTTTATAGAGATGGTGTTTCATCATGTTGTCCAGGCTGGTCTCAAACTCCTAGGCTCAAGTGATCCACCCACCTCAACTTCCCAAAGTGCTGGGATGACAGCTGTGAGCCACCGCACCTGCTGTGCTTCTCTTATTTTTATTGCTTTCCTCCAAAATGTTTTCTCACAAAAAATGAGTCTTTGTATGGCAAACCATTTGAGAGCTATGTGAGAGAGTACTTTTATTATACCTTCAAATTCGTATGACAGTTTGTCTAGAAATAATATTCTAGGTTCAAATTTCTTTTCCTTCAATTATTTAAAAATATGGCTCTATGGCTGGGCGCGGTGGCTCACACCTGTAACCCAGCACTTTGGGAGGCAGAGGCAGGTGGATCATGAGGTCAGGAGATCGAGACCATCCTGGCTAACACGGTGAAACCCCGTCTCTACTAAAAATACAAGAAAAATTTAGCCAGGCGTGGTGGCAGGCGCCTGTAGTCCCAGCTACTCAGGAGACTGAGGCAGGAGAATGGCATGAACCCGGGAGGCGGAGCTTGCAGTGAGCCGAGATCGCGCCACTGCACTCCAGCTTGGGCAACAGAGCGAGACTCTGTCTCAAAAAAAAAAAAAAAAAAAAAAAAAAAAAATATATATATATATATATATATGGCTGTACTGTTTTGCATTCAGTGTCGCTGTTGGGAAATCGAATGGCAGTCTGGGTCTTGTTCCTTTGCAGGTGAGCTGCTCTTTACTTATGGAAGCTCTTGGAATATTTTCTTTGCAATCGGTTATATTAAATTAACTACAATATGTCTAGGTATGGGTTTTTCCTTACCCCTGTCCTGTCTTTTTTATTCTATCAGCCTTTTTTTCCCCTCAGAAACATATCTTCATTAGTTTAAAAAATTTTCTCCTCTCGGATTTTGTCACTCTTTCTGGGATTCCTATCATCCCGATGTTGGCACTTCTTTGCTTGTTTTTTTTTTTGTCTGTTTGCTTTGTTTTTTGAGACGGAGTCTCACTCTGTTGCTCAGGCTGGAGTGCAGTGGCACAGTCTAGGTTCACTGCAGCCTCCGCCTCCCGGGTTCCGGTGATCCTCCTGCCTCAGCCTCCTGAGTAGCTGGGATTACAGGTGAGTCACCGCACCCAGCCCTGGATGTTGGCATTTCTATCCTCGTTTCCCTTAGCCTTTCTTTTCTATTTTGTATCTCTATCCTTTCCTTTTGCCTTATGGGAGAATTCCTCAATCTGATCTTTGGACTTTTCTGTCCATGCTTCAGCTGTTTCCACCTCACTGCTCAGCCTACTCATGGCTTCACATTGTTATTGTTTGTGGTTTTTGAAAACGTAGTTCTCAATTACAGCAACATTTTTAAGTGTATCAAAATAATAAATGCGGAACATAGTTTCCCAGTACATGAAAGTTTGCTATATTAAAATTTTTGAGCCAGGTGCGGTGGCTCATGCCTGTGATCCCAGCACTTTGGGAGGCCAAGGTGAGTGGATCACTTGAGGTCAGGAGTTCAAGACCAGCCTGACCGACATGGTGAAACCCCGTCTCTACTAAAAATACAAAATTAGCTTGGCGTGGTGGCACACGCCTGTAATCCCAGCTACTTGGGAGGCTGAGGCAGGAGAATCGCTTGAACCTGGGAGGCAGAGGTTGCAGTGAGCCAAGATCACCTCACTGCACTCCAGCCTGGGCTACAGATTCAGACTTTGTCAAAAACAAACAAACAAACAAACAAATAAATAAATAAGTTTTGAAGTCAGAAATTGACAAGCGAGACACCTTGAAGTCCGGTGTTACACTGGCTTTGGAATCGGTCTTTGCCCGTCGTGATACTACCTCTCTCATGACTTTTTGGTTGCAGGTGACAGAAACTCCATTTGCACCAGCTTACATTAAAAAAAGAGGAGGGAGAATATGGTCGAGTGACCCCAGGAGTGATAGGGAGCACTGACGGAGTTTCTCCCTGCTCTGGATAGCAGATCCGCTGGCTCCCAGCTTATGATCCATGAAGAGAACGTCTTCCCCTTGGGCTTCAATTTGAAGAATCCTGAAGACGACCCTGATGGCCTTTCGCGGTCCACGTGCCCCTTCTTGCACTACCGTGATGGTCCTATCCACGGACGCCTTCTCTTGGGTTCTGTGGTTGGATGCGGAGGAATCATCGATCCTCTGTAGTGGAAGGGAAGGGAGGACACACCAAGACCATGTGGCCCCAAGAGCCGTGAGAGGAGCAGAAGCCTGACTGGTGCCTCTTACATGTCACTGCAGCCTCGGGGGGGGCCACCAGGAAAACACCTGACATCCTGTTCTCTAGTAATGGTGTGGCTGGAATCATTCCTGTACCAAATAATTCACCCATTTAAAGTGTGCAATCCAACAATGATTGGTATACTCAGAGTTCTGCAACTCTCACCACAATCAATTTTGGAACATTTCTATCATCCCTAGCAATAAATACTATATCTTTTTTTTGTGTGTGTGAGACAGAGTGTCACTTTGTCACCCAGGCTGGAGTGCAATGGCGTGATCTCTGCTCCCTGCAACCTCCACCTCCCGGGTTCAAGCAATTCTCCTGCCTCAGCCTCCCAAGTAGCTAGCTGGGACTACAGGCACGCACCACCACACCTGGCTAATTTTTGTATTTTTAGTAGAGACAGGGTTTCATCATGTTGGCCAGGATGGTTTTGATCTCCTGACTTCATGATCCACTCGCCTCAGCCTCCCAAAGTGCTGGGACTACAGGCGTGAGCCACCACGCCCGGCCAGCAAATACCGTATCTGACTAGCACTTTCCATTTCCCTCCAACCCCCTAATGGTTTCTTTTCCCACAATAATCTAAATGTTTAAGGAACTGGTTTGCTAACTCATTTCTTAATGACAAGAATTAAGCCAGCACAGCCTCTGGTTTCTGACATTCTTTCCCTACAAAGTCATTCATCATTTATCCTTTTTTAAGGGACTTCCTTCATCTCTGTGCCTTAGGCTCACTTCCTGACTGTGGGGATCAGCTCCTCTCACCAATGGTGAGTAGGGAGTACCTGCCGTTAAACCTCTGTCACCACAGGAGAGAGATGCCATGGATGGATGATTTTCTCTCTGATTCTTGGCATTAGTTCATTGGGCAAAAATTCAGCTTCCAGTTAAGCACCGGCCCATGGACCGGGCTTGGTCCTGTTTCCCCTGGAAGCACTGCTGGGAAACCAAGCCCAGCCCTGCAGGGCTTCCTCCTGCTGCCGCCCACGCCAGGATCAGCCTCCTCTTGCCGCTGCAGCCCCGTCGCTGCACCGGTTTCATCGGTCTGAAGTCCAGCTGCTCCTCCTTGGCCTCTGCACCTCAGCACAGGCTACTGCCTCTGAGGGGCCGCCCAGCCGTCGTCCTCCTCACAACCTCCCATGATCGTGGCCCTGAGGTCACCTTTCCATTGGCGATGAACAATCCCATTGTCACTCCCCATGGGTGTGCCCACCGGAAGCTGCTCATGGGCAGGAGGGGAACTGTTCAAGCTGGTTTTTCCAGCCCCTACCACAGCGCTGGGTGTGTAGGTGGACAAGAAAGTCATTACGTATGTAAATGAGGAAGCGCATGAACACCTGAGCGTGTGAGAATTCGGTGGGGTGAATGCCACTCCAAATGTGTGTCAAATATGATGGGACTGAATGCAAATGAAAGTGGGTCAAGGAGATATTCAGAATAAAATGAGCAACTTTTCCTCATTATGTAGTCATTGCATAATTAAACGAAAAAAACATACTACAAAAGAGTAATAAAATGATAATATAACAACAACAATAATAATAGCTAACATTCATCAGACACTTTCTATGCCCCAGCCCAGCTTTAAACACTTTATATTCATTACTGTTTTTCATCTTCACACGTGCAATTATCATCCCAACTTGACAAGATGAGCTGTTGGAAAGCACGTGGTGTGCACGTGTGTGTGCATTGTGTGTATGAGTGTGACAACATCTAGAAGTGTCATCAGTCATGATAATCTCTATATAGCCCTTAGATAAGCTTGTGCTCAAAATGCCTGTCTCAAAATAAACTAAAAAGGAACTACGGAGTCAGAGAAAATTGAAAAGAAACATGATTTTAAAAATTGCTCCCAAAGGAATATAAATCATTCTACCATAAAGACACATGCAGGTGTATATTCATCACAGCACTTTCCACAATAGCAAAGCCGTGGAACCAACCTAGATGTCCACCTGTGTGTCAAATATGATGGGAACGAATGAAATGAAAGTGGGTCAAGGAGCTATTCAGAATAAAATAAGTAACTTTTCCTCATTATGTAGTCGTTGCATAATTAAACAATGAAAAAAACCATACTACAAAAGAGTAACTTTTATCCAGTACACTGGATAAAGAGAGTGTGGTACATAGACACCCTAGAATACTAGGCAGCCATAAAAAGGAATGAGATCATGTCCTTTGCAGCAACATGGTTGGAGCTGGAGGCCGTTGTCCTAAGTGAACTAATGCAGGAACAGAAAACGAAATACTGCATGTGCTCATTAGTGAGAAGTAAACATCCAGCACATGAACAAAAAGAAGGGAACGACAGACACTGGGACCTCCTTAACGATGGAGGGTGGGAGGAGGGAGAGGATCAGAAACCGACCCACTGGGTCCTGTGCTCATTACCTGGGTGATGAAATCATCTGTTTACCACACCCCCATGAATGCAGTTTACCTACACAACAAACCTGCACGTGTACTCCTGAACCTAAAATACAAGTTAAAAGAGGCCGGGCGCAGTGGCTCACACCTGTAATCCCAGCACTTTGGGAGGCCGAGGCAGGCGGATCACGAGGTCAGGAGATCGAGACCATCCTGGCTAACACAATGAAACCCCGTCTCTACTAAAAATACAAAAAATTAGCCGGGCGTGTTGGTGGGCGCCTGTAGTCCCAGCTACTCGGGAGGCTGAGGCAGGAGAATGGTGTGAACCCCGGGGGCGGAGCCTTGCAGTGAGCCAAGATCTCACCATTGCACTCCAGCCTGGGCAACAACGAGGCTCCGTCTCAAAAACAAACAAACAAACAAACAAACAAAGTTAAAAGAAACCTTCTCTTAGACAGTAGTGATGGCTTCATTTAAATTAGTTGAGGACTAGAAAGAGGCACTGATTTATCTTCGCTGTGAAAGGTCCTGGCCACGTGTAATGAATGGGCCCTGTGAGTGTGTGTGCATGTATGTGTGTGTACGTGCGTGTGGCTCCCTGAGAGTGTGTGTGTCCACACTGCTGGGTTCCTACTCCCGAGCTGCCCTGATAGCATTTGGGGTGGGGAGTACGGAGGGCTCCTATCTGAGCAAGGTACTTCCCTGCCTCAGAGGCAGAGGACTGGATGTCAGGGTCAGAGTCAACAGTTCAGTTGAAAGGGAATTAAACTTTGTGTCACCAAGTCGCATTTTGCTTGTGTGTAACTGGGCGTTTCTGTAACTGCACTTGCCGTGCTGGCTGCCGTGGCCTCACTCCTGGGTCCTAGGACGGATGAGGATGCCTCCATGGGGCCTTGTCTCTCTCCGCAGCCACATCGCCGACTCTCCCTGCATGGACCCAGCATTCATCCTGTCCATTCTGTTGGCCAGAGGGCATTTTTGTTTTGTTGGTTTTTATTTTTGCAAGGACAGGAGGTGACACTCCAGACAGCATTAGTGTTTCCTCCTAAAAAAAAAAAAGTATTTTTAAAAAGGGACGATTGCCGTCTTCAATATCCAGTTCCTTAACCTTTTTCTTAGCATTCTAGCCTGTGAGAAGAAGAAATGTGTGAAAATTCTGGAGCTTTCCTCTCCCAGGGATAACTGGAGGCCTTGAGGATTGAAAGAGAAAGCGTCGGTTTTTTGTCCTTGAGATAGTTTGCTGAGAATGATGGTTTCCAGCTTCATCCATGTCCCTACAAAGGACACGAACTCATCATTTTTTTATGGCTGCATAGTATTCCATGGTGTATATGTGCCACATTTTCTTAATCCAGTCTATCATTGTTGGACATTTGGGTTGGTTCCAAGTCTTTGCTATTGTGAATAGTGCCGTAATAAACATGTACCCTAAAACTTAAAGTATAATAAAAAGAAAAAAAAGAAAAGAAAGTGTCGGAACCCCTGCCCTCGGCTGCTTCCTGAGGAGCCTCTCAGGCTTGTCATCCAAGTGCTAGTCCTGAAGAGAAAAGAAGGTATCCCCAGGTGCCCCGCCCATCCCCTCAGCAGGGACTGTGGTGCCCCATCCTCTCCATTGTCCCCCAGCCTCTGGGACCCAGCTCCAGCCCTTCTGCACCGCGCTGGCCTTGCATAAATGTCTCAGATGCAGGGAAGAGGCTTTGGCCACTCCTGAGATCTGCGACCCTCTTCCGAGCAGGGTGTGGAGAACGCTTTCCTGACTGCGGTTGAGTTTGCAGGTGTGCTGTGATGGGTCTGTAGCAATAACCCCAGGCTGCTCCTGCTGAGGACACCCGGGACGCACAAGCGCAAGCTGGGTGACTGCGGCCACCCGAGGGCTTGGCTGCTGTGCGACTGGACCGCAGAAAGGGCGCGGGCCTGAGCGTGCAGTCAGTGGGAAGGGACTCTCCGTGGGCAAGGCCTGGAGAAACGTCCTTGCCGAATAAATGATGCTCTTTTCTCTGAACGTGTGCAGCAACACGCAGCTGATTATGAATTTCAATGTCCCAGACACCTCACGGGGAAGAGGGTAAATATAAGAATCATAGAAAGGAGGCATCTTACCAAAACTCAGCACATTCTCCTGGGGTACAATCAGCTCCACAGCAACCGGGAGCTTTGTCTGTTTTGTTCACTAGACGCACGGCGTACGCTCCATACATATGTGCTGAGTGCTGTGTAATCCTGGTCAATAGATGGGTGAGTTCTGGCTTGGGTGAGCTGGGGTGGGCTCTGACGGTCTAATCACCACCAGAACAGAGCCAAATTAAAGTTTCTGGATGGACAAGCCTGGAATATGGTGCCTCTGCCAGGACACCGTTGGGATAGCCTCTGTTCTGCCCCAGCGCCAGCCACTTCCTCAATGGGGTGGGTTCATTCTACAACAGACCTGGTTTTTGTCTGCCCCGTCCGTGCTCCGTGAGGCCACTGTTCCCCTGCAGACCTGCCAGTCACCGATGTCCCTGCTATCTGGACGTCCCTCTGCCACCGGAGGTGCCTGGGCCGGCTCGGCTCCCAGTGGCTGCTGCGTCTGTGTGGCGTCCGGTTCAGCATCTCTCCCTCTTGGGGAGATGGGCAGGGCCAACCTGAGACAGGACAGGTGCGCTCCTACCGCTGACACCAGAGTCCCGAAGATGCCCGTCCATGGGGAGGCAGAGACCGTGCCCACTGATGCAGGAGCTGCACTTGTGCACTCAAGACCAGTAAATGCGGCCGGGTGTGGTGGCTCACACCTGTAATCCCAGCACTTTGGGAGGCCAAGGTGGGTGGATGACGAGGTCAAGAGATCAAAACCATCCTGGCCAACATGGTGAAACCCTGTCTCTATTAAAAATACAAAAATTAGCTGACCGTAGTGGTGCGTGCCTGTGGTCCCAACTACTTCGGAGGCTGAGGCAGGAGAATCACTTGAACCTGGGAAGAGGAGGTTGCAGTGGGCCAAGATCGCACCACTGCACTCCAGCCTGGCAACAGAGTGAGACTGCATCTCAAAAAAAAAAAAAAATCATTAAATGCTTATCAAACGAGCATGAGTCACGTTGGTCTTGTGAAGGCAGTTGAACCATCTTTGTCTGGATCCCCTGTGTTTGTAATAAAAGGCTGGTTTTCCTTACATGTGAGTGAGGAACCTCTTCTGGGATGACAGTAATGGCAGGACACAGCAGAGACGAGAGCAGTCTGGCCATGAGGACCTGGCTTTCTGTTGAGGGTGACTCTCATTAGGCCCTTCACATCTTCAGTCCATCTATAGGACCAATGATTTCCCTTCTAGAGGATGAATGGCTACATAAAAATAATACTTTTAGAGGCTACAGAATCCGATGATAGTTTTCTCCAGATGACTTTCCAAAAGTCCTCAGAAAACGTGAATTTCTGAATAGACTTTAGAACAGGTGTCACTGAGAAGACTGGATGTAGCCTCCTCCAGGTTTAATTTTTTTTTAATCGTGGAATTTCAAGTAAGGTGATCTGGGTTCAGAATTCCAACGGCATGATCTTAGATGAGTCATCTGACTTGTCTAAACCTGAGTTCCCTCTTTTGCAAAATGAGAAAGTGACTCATATCTGCTATATGCAATTTGAAAGGATTCGTACAATGATCAATGCTAAAATGTGCCAGCAAAATGCTCTGAACAGCATTACATCGGTGAATTCTCTAAGAAAACAACAGTGGCCGATTTCTAGGGCATGAGGTCCCTCAACTTCTCTCATTTACGTATTGGGTCCCTCATCCTTCGATATATGTAGTCAGAATTCGTGGCTGTTGTCCTTAATTCTTTCTTAAAGGCAGAAACAATAATGTCAATTCACTTCATGAATAATGTAAAAGCAATTTGCCATTTATATGGCGTTACTTAATGGTTCACAGACTATAGTGGTGGATGCAGTTGATGTTAAAGAGACTTGGGTCAGAATTCCATCTCAGCTGCTTCCTAGCTCTGTTACCTTGGGCATATCCCTTGGCCTCTTCACCTTCCATTTCTGCATCCGTAAAATGGACATATTCATACCGATTTGGCAAGATTCCTGCTGGGGGTTGGTGATCGAGATCATCTGTGTGCAACCTCCTAACAGGATCTCCAGGGCGTCTGGTCCTGTGCAGAGCTCACATCTCTGTGGGCTTCTTGTCTTGCCTCTCAAAGCTAGATGTTAGGTGTCAGGAGGTGTTGGCCTCCTGGGAGCTAGAATATTGCCTTCCAAATTTTCCAAAGCTTTTTAACATATTAGGAAGCCTAAGATATGTTAGCCAGAGTGATAGGTCAATTCACTAACCTTGAAGGCTTGAAAAAAAAATTGCTGATTCATTTTGTTTGCTGAGTACAGACTTTCAGTATTTTTGTGCTAAAGAAGATTTATTTAACATTTTATCATTTAATTAAAGAAAGCATGTTTATAATCAGTTTGTGCCTGTCCCAAATTGTCCCTTTGTCTTCCCAGACTTTGTCAGAAATTCCCTTTCTCGGAGCAAAAATGCTTTTGTGCAGGCAACATTTCTTAGATGTTTTTGTACTTAGAGTTTGACTTGAGGATATTTGTGGATGGGACTCAGATTTCAGAGTGTGGGAGGAGAAGAGGTCTGGCCAATGAGGAGGCGGCTTTGCTCGGGTCATTTGCATCTGGCCGCCCAGGTTCCAGCAGCTCCATCGCGTTGGTGAAATATATCCTTTAGGGGATGTCACGGCTTTGGTTAAGTTTTCCTTTTTACTCCTTAGCTGCTAGCGCAGTTTTAATGATAGCTGTTTCACATGTGCATGCGGCACTCATGTGGGCAGAGCTGTCAGAAGACTGTAAAGTCTCAACCATCCTGCGATTGCTTGCACCTGAGGAAGACGGAATGACGATGTTCTGCGCCATGGTATTCCTTTGCTCATTCATACACTGATTTATGGCTCGTTGTTTTCCTTTGGCTCAAGGTGACATCAGTACCTACAAAAAGGCAAATATACGTGAGAATGCTTTTATAGCAAAATCCTTGTTTGCAAAGGTAATGATGTTCTAAAACTGGAAAAAATGCAACTCAGGCAAAAGGAAGAAACCCTAGCGTGACTTTTTCTTCCTAGCTTTTGTGGGTAGTGAAGTTTTTCTCAACATGCTATCAGATTGGTTCCATTATTTAAAAGTATTTTTAACACAGGAAAAAGTTTCGTGTTTTGTATTTCGCAATGCGATTCGATCATCTTCCGCTGTTCCAGATGGTGGCTTGCACCGTGCAATCAGGCTGGATCTTACACAAGAATCCATTCCAAACCCTGAATAAGGGCCCAAGCCCAGAGAGGGACTTGTGTATCCATTGCCACAGGAGCATTACAGAAACATGCCCCCTAGGCTTGGACACCGTGGAATTCAGGGAGCAATTCTAGCTAGGAATAGTAGGGAGATAAAGATTTGTTGTTGTTGTTGTTGTTGTTGTTTGTTTTTTTGAGACAGAGTCTCACTCTGTCACCCAGGCTGGAGTGCAGTGGCGCGATCTCGGCTCACTGCAAGCTCCGCCTCCCGGGTTCAAGTGATTCTCCTGCCTCAGCCTCCCGAGTAGCTGGGACTACAGGCGTCCACCACCAGGCCCGGCTAATTTTTTGTATTTTTAGTAGAGACGGGGTTTCACCATGTTGGCCAGGATGGCCTCAATCTCTTGACCTTGTGATCCGCCCGCCTCGGCCTCCCAAAGTGCTGGGATGACAGGCGTGAGCCCCCGCGCCCTGCCATGACGGGACTTTCTGACGTGGCGCTGTGTCTGGGCTCGCCCTTTCCTCGGATCCCACCTCTCCGGAGGACGGGGAGAGTGCTGGGTAATCCTGGGAGTTCCTAAAAGCCAGCACAGAAGGCAGGGGTTTCTTTCTCTGGGGGACTTCGGAGGAGGTGGCCACTGGTCTGAGAAAGTCTAAGTGTAGGTTGGGACTTCGGTCAACTGGGACTTAACTATGCCACTCAAACTGGTGTGCATGCAATGCCACTTCTGCTGGGTCTGAAGAGGGAGGCCCTGCACCAAGGCCACGTTCATAAGACACAGGGTGGAGAAGAGAGATGGCATCCCATGGGGAGAGCTTGTCTCCCAAAGACTGGTCCATCTGTTGAAAGAGGCTGTCCTCTCCCCTTATTTCCTGAGGAGCTGCCCAGGAGGGCTCCCTGCTTCCCTCTGGCCTTCACATTGGCCACCGGGACCAGGAGGAGCCCTCCCTCTTCCCTTCCCCTACCTGTCTCTCTCTCTCTGTCTCTCTCTCTGTATCTCTTTGTCTCTGTTTCGCTCTGTCTCTCTCTCTATGCCTCTCTCTGTCTTCCTCTTTCTGCTTCTCGTTGTCTTTCTCTTTGTTTCTGTCTTTCTGTCTTTCTCCCTCTTTCTGTCTCTCTCCCCCATTCCCCCGTCTCTCTGTCTCTCTTTCTTTGTCTCTCTCTCCTTCTCTCTGTCTCTCTCTCACTGTCTCTGTCTCTGTCTCTTTCTGTCTCTGTCTCTCCCAATCTCTTTGTCTCTCTCCCTCTCTCTGTCTCTCTCCCCACCCCCACGTCTGTCTCTTTCTCTGTCTCTTTCTCCTTCTGTCTCTCTCTCTCTCTGTCTCTCTCTCTCCCTGACGGTGTGGTGCATTCTCTGACCCTCCCCTCCCCTCCTTACCTTTATGACTGGCAGGTGGAGAGACAGCTAGTGACTCTTCTGTGGCCCATCTTGGGATGTGGCCCTGGGCAGTACTCACTGGAGGTGGACAGGACAGCACTTGCCCCTGAGGGCCCAGCAGTCGGCTCAGGTCGCCCGTGTGCATAGAGAGGTGGAAGGTCAGCTTCCACTTCTGTGTTGGTTTCCCTAGACTCTGCCACAACAGAGCATCACAGAGCGCGAGTCCTAAACAAGAGGAATTTATTCCCCCACAGGTCTAGGGAGGAGAGGTCCAAGATCAAGGACCGAAGGTGGGTTCCTCCCGAGGGCAGGGTGGGAGAATCTTTCCAGGTGCCTCTCCTAGTTTCTGGTGGCTGCTGGCACTCTTGGGCATTCCTTTGTGTGAGGAAGCATCCCCTGGTCCCTGCCTTCATCTTCACAGGGCCTTCCTCCTATGCGCATGTCTGTCCCCGTAGCCACATTTTCCCTTTCCATAAGGACACAGTCATATTGGATTAGGGCCCACCCTATTGACCGCATCTTAACTTGATCATCTGCAAAGATGCTATTTCCACAGAAGGCCACACGCACAGATATTGGGGAAATCATCCAGCCTGCAATGACTGCCAAGGTGTGCTCTGCGCCTGGCTCGCCTGGGAGGAGCTCCAGAACATGGGGCAGAGGCCACTCAGGTCGGGAACAGACAGTAACACACCCCCTGCAGATGCCCTACCGTTTGGCCTATGATCCTTGGATCAGGGCAGCGATGCGTGAAGGTGGATATTATTATGACTCTAAAACCACACTGCCGTCCTGCCCCCAGGTCCACCTCAGAGCTAAAAGGGCCCCTTGATGCAGTTCTTGGGGCACCCGTGGTGACAGCCCACTGGATGAACCCACAATGCACCCCACACTGCGCTGGGCTCGAGCATCCTTGCTGTGAGGGTCCCCCTGCCTGAGCAGATCTCACCCTGCAGATGAGAGACACGTGTCTACCACCTAGCCAGGATGTGCAGAGGGGTGGCTGGGGTCTCAGTGGAAGGGAAGGTGGCTGCTGTCTTTCCTAGGGCTGGGAGCTTTGAAAAAGGGAAAAACACTCACTCCGCTGAATGCAGCTCTTGGGGGACTGGTGGGCCAACCCACAGGATAAGAACTGCATTGCAGGGGCCGGAGCCCAGGATAAGGTTCACAGTGCATTCTGAATTTCCACCTAGCATGGGCTCCAAGCACTGCGCTTGAATTTGAAATATCAAAAGTATCGGACCTCGTGGAATTGATACATAGGTGAAGCACTTTTCTTTCTTGGTTGGCAGAGTATAAAGTTCAGTAGTATTTGCCTGCGCATGACTGTCTTTTTCAAATGAGGAGGGGAGTGGGAGGCATGGAAAGGAGATGGTTTGTTCCTAACAAACTACATTCCAGAATGTTCTCTCCAAGGTTGGAGCCCTTCCTTGGCTGGAAAGCTGTGTGACTCTCCCATACTCTGAACAGGGCCATCTTCATGGCAGGCTTGCGGCTGCAGTCTTTCCTGTGGATTTGCACCAGAGCTGTTTGTACCAGGGGCTTGTTGCAACTCATCTTGCAAGGGGAAATCCAAAACTCAGAAATGACACAGCATTTTAGAGTTGGTGGCAAGGCAGGAATAGGATAATGGAAGAGAGATTCAAGGTCCACACAGCACTTAGTGTTTTGTTGTTTTTTTTTTAACTTAACTTATTGGGGGAATAAACTATTAGATTTTTATAACATATACTTTGGGTTGTTTGTTTGTTTTGAGATGGAGTTTCGCTCTTGTTGCCCAGGCTGGAGTGCAATGGTGCGATTTCAACTCACTGCGACGTCCTCCTCCCGGGTTCAAGCTATTCTCCTGCCTCAGCCTCCGGAGTAGCTGGGATTACAGGCATGCTCCACCATGCCTGGCTAATTTTAGTAAAGACGGGGTTTCACCACACTGGCCAGGCTGGCCTCGAACTCCTGACCTCAGGTGATCTGCCCACCTCAGCCTCCCAAAGTGCTGAGATTACAGGCGTGAGCCACCGTGCCCAGCCTGTAACATATATCTGGACTCATAGGGCTCATGATAAAATGTGGGAGGTTCTGAGTTCCGCGACTCCTCCCCGGCTGCTTTCTGATCTTTTCCTTGTGCTTCCACAACCCGCTCCCTCCAATGAGGTGGAAAGTGTGGGTATGACGGAGTGGCCTCCAGCCACTGGGGGAAACTCTCCTGCAGTGAACATGGCTTGTAGCCAGGTCAGAGAGACTGTGGGGTCCATGGCATGGTGGCAACTTCTAGCAAGAATTAGAAGGAGAGACACACCCACAGGTCACGTTCACTTGTTGGCTGAGAGCAGTTTTCCTGGCTCATGTGCAGAGTGTCAAGGTTAGCAGACCTCAATGCCATTGGTAAATCCCTTCGCAATGTTTGAATGAGGAGAATCCCATAGCTGCACAGCTGATTTATTCCGTTTGTCGTTGGTGTCGTCATCATCACTCTCTGTTTTCCAGTCCTCATCTCTGGCTTTGTGCATTAGGATGAAAGTCCTGAAATGCAGTGTGAGTCTGGGCTCTGACATGTGGGCTCTGGTGAAAGTTGGCACGCAAGTGACTCCACCTGTGGGCTCTGGCATCCTCAGTCTGAACATGAAAGGACTAACACCTTTGTCTATGACCCAGAATGGCTGTGGGAATTAAACAAGATGAAAATAGGTGGAAATCGAAGCTTTTCAGTTTGCCCCCTAGAACGGACGCTGAGACCAGTGTGTGTGCTGGGGAGTTACAGGCCTCACTCTCAGGACGAAGCCTGCACTGAGTGAAGAGGGAGCCAAGGGAGGAGTCTAACCGGCCAGCAGCTGCAGCCAAGGCCTCTGCCCATTCCGTGGGAGTTCTGGACCTGGGGTTGGTGGGGGGGCCTTCAGAGTGGCCCCAAACAAAGGCAAAGGGACGAGCCTTTGTACCCGCCCTGCAGGCTGTTCAGTGGAGATGATGCAGCCTCGGTGAGGCCACAGCTTTGCATATGTCCATTTCAAATACAACAGCAAAGCTTACAGGCAATTTGGGATTTCATGAAGTCAATGAAAGTGACGTTGGAGAATTGCTCAGGACTTTCCCACGGTCACTGGCACACGGTTAACTATAATTAGCAATTAAAGAGCAAGTAATCACCATGGAAAGTGGCACAACAGCATTAAGAGATCTGCATCCGCACAGCTCCGGTTAAAGACGCCTTTGAGAAAGATGATACAGCGATGCAAGAGTGTTGCAGACATGGCCTTTCGTGGGGGAGCGCTGTAAGCTGGGGGGGTGTCTCATCCTGCTGGCTTAGAGTTTTGTTGGAAAAATTACACCAGAAAAACAGTAACACTGGAAGCCTTCTTTGCTGAATCTAAGGATTATTGCATAATTATAACTTAAATTTTGTATAAACTAAAATAAATTTATATAATTCGGTTTTATTTGGTTTCAAGGTAAAACCATCAACTGACCTTTTTTTTTTCATTATTTATTATGAAAGTTTTATTCTTGTTTAAAGTGGATTTTCCCTTACATAGCCTTTTCCTGGGAACACGTATCTTCAGAGGACATCAACACCAGCCTCTCCTGCCATGTCTTACGTCAAACTCAATCCCTTCTGAGGGCCTCAGCTGATGTCACATCCATATAAGAAATTGGGACACACCTTGGAAGTTTCAGTTTTGGTATCCTGTGGTAAAAGTTGGTATCTAGACAGGATTAGCCATCACATCCCCAAGAATGAGCTATGGCTAGATTTCTTCAGCTGAAGATGAAAGACATCTGCCTGCGAGTCAGCTCTAGAGGGTAAGAAAATCTAGGCTTGGGAAGGTCAGATGAAGAGGGTGGGATCTCAATCTCTAAAGACTTGGAATTTCAATCCCAGCTTCAGTTGTTCCATCAAGAAATGAGAAAATGACAACATAGAATTGTCATTTATGGCAAATTATGCATAAATGTAAAATAACTGCACTGCAGTTTCTGAAAACACTAAGATTCCTAAATAAACACCTGGGGCATTGAGATAGATCGTGAGAAATAATACACAAAAGTAGAGGCATGAAGGAGACCACAGGCCTCAGATGGCAACAAAGTGTGGTAAAAACCATCCTGTGTTGGGCCAGGTGCAGTGGCTCACGCCTGTAATCCCAGCACTTTGGGAGGCCAAGGAGGGTAGATCATGAGGTCAGGAGATGGAGACCATCCTGGCCAACATGGTGAAACCCCCTGTCTACTAAAAATACAAAAATTAGCTGGGCGTGGTGGCACGTGCCTGTAGTCCCAGCTCTCGGGAGGCTGAGGCAGGAGAATCACTTGAACCCAGGAGTTGGAGGTTGCAGTGGGCCAAGATTGCACCACTGCGCTCCAGCCTGGTGACAGAGGCAGGCTCTGTCTCAAAAAAAAAAAGAAAAAAAAGAAAGAAAACCATCCTGCATTTACCTGGGTGTTAACCTTGGGTAGCCTGTTTCCCTGATAATAGCTTGGATACTTGCATGCAGTGAGAAAGAGGGGGATGGGAGGTGTGGGGCAAAGAGTTAGAGTAGCCTCAATGCATTGTGAAATTCCTGCAGCCACACAATAAAAAATACCGTGGTAAAACATAGGAAGGATACAGGGGCATGCATTTCAGCAGAAGTCATGCGAACCTACACATTTTTTTATAGCATTGAGGTTTGTGGGTACTAATACATTCAGGATTATCTAAAAATTACCTTTCATGGTCAGGTGCAGTGGCTCACGCCTGTAATCCCAGCACTTTGGGAGGCCAAGATGGGCAGATCACCTGAGGTCAGGAGTTTGAGACCAGCCTGGCCAACATGGTGAAACCCTGTCTCTACGAAAAATACAGAAAATTAGCCAGGCGTGGTGGTGGGCGCCTGTAATCCCAGCTATTCGGGAGGCTGAGGCAGGAGAATCACTTGAACCCTGAAGGTAGAGATCACAGTGAGCCGAGATTGTGCCACTGCACTCCAGCCTGGGCAACAGAGTAAGACTCTATCTTAAATAAATAAACACAAATAGAAATTACCTTTCTTAAAAACAAACAAACTCAAAGATTTAATTTTCCAAGGTTAACTAGGGACCTATTTGGGTAGCAGAATACAGAAATGGCACACAAGGGCAGAAATCTGCTGTTAAGGTTGAAAGGGAGGCTGAGATGCAGGTGGGATAGAAAAGCTTCTGAGAGTGAGCAGGTACAGCTCCAGAAGCTGGTCCCATCAGTGCCTCTGACCCAGGAGTCAGGGCGTGGCCACCGGGAACTTCATGATGGCTGACTTCTGAGGACTTGAGGGTTAGAGTCATTTTTATGTGAACTGCAAGAACACCATCTGCAGGCTAGAGTTTCCAGGGCAGGTGGAGCTCCAGAGCTAGGCATACACAGGGCCCTGCTAAAGGGGACCAGAGCAGGGTCAGGTCCAACACCGGCTGTGTTTGCCTGCAGTTGACAAGATAAGCTATAGAACTGAGCTGTAACCATGAAGGTGGAAGATGAATCCCAGAAATGGGGTGACCATGGAGAGGCGTTTCCATCACTTCCTACTCTCTCTGTTGGGGAGGCAGGGATTCCCTCCCTGGGGCTACAGGAATGTCCAAACAAATAGCAACTGACACTGAGCAGATGAAATGGACAACAGTTTATTCTTCACAGCCCAGGGAGGAGGACGCCGCATGCCACACGGGGCCACACAGGGTTGCGTACGAGAGCAGAGTGAATCAGCAGGGCTGGGGGAGGTGGCTTTGTAGTATCAACGGTTGGGGGGTGGCCCCTAGTTCCTATGGGGGTGTGTTGACTTGTTTGAATAATTCCATGGCTGGCCCCTGCTCAAGGACTAGCGGGAACTGTGCCTGGTCCCCACGGGAAGGAGGGCTGTTTGGTCAGCGGACGTTATTCACAGGAGTGGGGTGGGGATGGGAACTTGTGTCTAGGTCATTCGAGGCCCTCCCAGTTTTACCAGATGTCAAGGGAGCATATCATATTGGGTCTTAATTTTAGATCTGCCACAGGCAGGTGCAGGGAGTGTGTTGCTCCTCACTACCCAGATGCCTGAGGCCACTGTGCAGAAGTGGCCTGGACAGGATAGCTGAAGCACCATGAAACCTGGTGGCCCTGGCAAAGGCATCCCAGCGACAACAGTTTATGAGTCACATGTCTGGGAATATGACCTGATTCCCAGGCCAGTTGGCCAGGTGCGTGGAAGGGAGTAAATAAAAGCAGGTTGAAGCAATAATGCCTCTGACTTTTGTTGGGCTGGATTGTGCTCAGGCTTCTGTAGGGAGGCCTTCGGTGAATAAGGACCAACAAACTGGGATTGAGGGAAGCAGAAGAAAGGCCCTAGAAGAAAATTTGGATTCCTGGTGGAAGAACTGGATCAGGAATTAGAACATTTGTGTTCAGCCTTCACTCTACCTTAGGGAAGACAGTCATTGCTGAGTCACTGTTTCCTGGTCAGCAAATGGAATCATGATACCACCAGCACACTTGTGAAAAAATGAGAGAAGTGAGATATTATGAAATACTCTTCAGATGTAAGACATTGCTGTTAATGAGGCATTATCATGTGCACTTGGCTTCAACTGATTTTACTACGAATGTGAAAATGTATTTTAAGCAACTAGTTCTGAACAATAAGCTAAAGGGTACTTTTTGGTTTTATTTTGCTTTTAAAGATAGCTTGTGTCTCCTGAGTGTTCTCTAAAAAAATGAAAATAGAAATAATATACTTTTTTAGTTGGGCTGTTTTGTAGGAGGCAGCTATGTCTTAAAAAATGAGTACCACCAGACAAAGACATTACAAAAAAAGAAAACTACAAAACAGTATCTCTCATGAACATATAAATGCAAAAATCCTCAACAAAATATCGTAAATTGCATAAAAAGAATCAAATGTATAAAAATGTGTAAAAAATATAAAAAGAATTATATACCATGAACAGGTGGGATTTACCCCAGGTATGTAAGCCTGAATCGACTTCCAAAAATCAATTCATGTAACCCATCACATTGACAGGCTAAAGAAGAGAAATCACATGATCATAACAATAGCTGCAGAAAAATATTTGACAAAATCAAACACCCATTCATTATAACTGCTAGCAAACTAGGAATGAAGGGGAGCATCCTTAACTTCCTTTACAAATACTCTAACAGCTAATATCACACATAATGGTGAGGAACTCAAAGCTTTCCTGCTAAGATCAGGAACAAGGCAAAGATATCCCCTCTCACCACTGCTTTTCAATGTTACAAGTCTTAGTTAATACATTAAGACAGGAAAAGGAAATAAAAGGCATACAGATTGGGAGGGAAGAAATAAAACTGTCTTTCTCACAGATGACATGATCATCTATGTAGAAAATCTGAAAGAATCAACAAAAAAATTCCTGGAACTAATAAGTGATTATAGCAAGGTTGCAGGATACAAGGTTAATATATGAAAGTAAATTGCTGTCCCATATATCAGCAATGAACAATGAGATTTGAAATTAAAAACACAATACTATTTATATTAGCACCAAAAAATGAAATACTTAAGTGTAAATCTAACAAAATATGTACAAAATCTATATGACAAAAACTATAAATCTCTGATGAAAGGTATCAAAGAATTAAATAAATGGAGAGATATTCCATGCTCATGGATAGGAAAACTCAATATTGTCAAGATATCAGTTCTTCTCAACTTGATCCAGAGATTCAATGCAATTCCAACCAAAATCCCAGAAAGTTATTTTGTGAATATTGACCAACTGATTCTAAAGTGCATATGAAGAGGCAAGAGGCCCAAAATAACCAATTCAATATTGAAGGAGAAGAACAAAGTTGGAAGACTGATGCTACAGTAACCAAGGTAGTGTGGTATTAGCAAAAGAAAAATAGAACAGAGTAGAGAGCCCAGAAATAGACCCACATAAAAATACTCAACTGATCTTTGACAAAGGAGCAAAAACAATAAAATAGAGCTAAGATAGTCTTTTCAACAAATGGTACTGGAACAAGTGGACATTGACATGCTAAAAAATAAATCTAGACACAGACCTTACACCCTCCCCAAAGATTAACTCAAAATAGCTATATACATAAACGTAAAATGCAAAATTATAAAGCTCCTAGAAGATAACATGGAAGAAAACCTAGATGACCATGGGTATGGTGAGGACGTTTTAGAGACAACACTAGAGGCACAATCCATAAAATAAATCATTGATAAGCTAGACTTCCTTAAAATATAACACTTCTGCTCTGTGAAAGACAATGCTAAAAGAATGAAAAGACAGGCCACAGACTGGGAGAAAATATTTGTAAAAAACACATTTGATAAATAACTGTTATCCAAAATATACAAAGAACTCTTGAAGTTAATAATAGGAGAACAAGAAACATTACTGAAAAATGAGCAAAAGGCTTTAACACACACCCCGCCAAAGAAGATATACAGAAGGATGGCAGATAAGCTCCACATTACATGTCCTCAGGAAAATGTAAATAAAAACAACAGTGAGACACCACAACACACCTATGAGAATGGCTGCATCCAGACCACTGACAACAACAAATGCTGGCAAGGATGTGGAGCAACAGGAACTCTCATTCATTGCTGGTGGGAATGCAAAATAGTACAGCCACTTTGGAAGACAGTTTGGCAGTTTCTTACAAACAAAAACCTACCCTCGCCATATGTTCCTTGAGATTTACCCAAAGGAGCTGGAAACTTTCTGTGTCCACATAAAACCTGCACTTGGATGTTTATAGCAGCTTTATTCTTAATTGTCAAAACTTGGAAGCAATCAGGATGTATTTCAATAGGTGAAGAGATAAACAGTGGTACATCCAGACAATGGAATATCATTTAGCACTAAAAAGAAATGAACAACCAACCCATGAAAACACACAGAGGAATCTTAAATGCATATTACTAAGTGAAAAGAGCCAATCTGAAGAGACTACACACTGCATGATTCCAAGTAGATGACATTCTGGAAAAGGCAAAACTATGAAGACAGTAAAAACAAATGAGTGGTTGTCAGGGGTTAGAGGGAAGGGGTTATTTTTAGGACAATGAAACTACTCTGTATCCTATAACAGTGAATATATGTCATTATACATTTGTCCAAACTCATAGAATATATAACATGCAGAGTGAGCTCCAGTGTAAACTATGGACTTTGGATGATCATGATGGGTCAGTGTACCTTCATTGATTGTATAAATGTACTCTCTGGTGGCAGATTTGATGGTAGGGTGGGCTGTGCATACTTGGGGACAGGGTATATAATCTCTGTGCCCTCTGCTGAGTTTTGCTGTGATCCTAAAACTGCTCTAAAAAAAATTAAGTTTATTGGCCGGGCGCAGTGGCTCACGCCTGTAATCCCAGCACTTTGGGAGGCCGAGACAGGCAGATCACGAGGTCAGGAGATCGAGACCATCCCAGCTAACACCGTGAAACCCTGTCTCTACTAAAAATACAAAAAAATTAGCCAGGCGTGGTCGCAGGCACCTGTAGTCCCAGCTACTCGGGAGGCTGAGGCAGGAGAATGGCATGAACCTGGGAGGCGGAGCTTACAGTGAGCCGAGATCGCACCACTGCACTCCAGCCTAGGGGACAGAGCGAGACTCCGTCTCAAAAAAAAAAAAAAAAAATAAAAAATAAAGTTTATTAATTTGAAAAATTACCAAAGTAAAATAAAAAATAATGTTGGAGAATTACATTTAGAGTGTGATAATGCACCTATGCACACACAAACACAAAGGAGGAAGGTGCACAGAATTGTATGGGGAAATAGACAAGGCCCACAAGGGTAGCTGGGGGGACACCCCTGGGGAAGGGGGAGAGAACCAAAGTTGGACATCAGTCAAGGGAACTTTATCTGTAATATTATATTTTTTAAGGAGAATGAATTATTTTTTTCTTTTCTTTTCTTTTTTTTTTTTGAGATGGAGTTTCTCTCTTGTCGCCTAGGCTGGAGTGCAATGGTGCAATCTTGGTTCATTGCAACCTCCGCCTCCTGGGTTCAACTGATTCTCCTGCCTCAGCCTCCCGAATAGCTGGGATTACAGGCATGTGCCACCATGCCCAGCTAATTTTTGTATTTTTTGTAGAGACGGGGTTTCGCCGTGTTGGCCAGGCTGGTCTCGAACTCCTGACCTCTGGTGATCCGCCCAGCTTGCCTCCCAAAGTGCTGGGATTAAAGGTGTGAACCACCGCGTCCAGCAGAATTTATAACTTCTATACTTTACTACTAATTAGAGATAAAAGAATGAAATGAGCTATTGCCTGCAAAAAACAAGAAAACACGGTTATATAGTTGCAACTGTCAGTATCCAGATACAGCAGATACTATATGTCTCCTATAAATAACAGCAGCAAACAAACAAACAGGAAAATAAAAGAGACATGTAGCTCCTACACCTTTATGACAGATATTGGCTTAGTGGCCAAAATGATTCTGGCACAAGTTGGTAGGGCAAGGGAAACTTGATGGGACTGGACTGTTTATTAAAATAAAAAGGTAATTCACTCTGCCAAGGTGAAGGCCTTGGCGCTTGAACTTCTCAGAGTAAAGAAGTAGTGACTTTTGCCTTTTATTTGTTCCTGGGTTTTCAGAAACCAGGAATATCACTTCATTTCCATGTCCTTCTAAAAGCCAGGAAGGTAAGGTGCGAGAGAATGACTCCAGGAGAATTTGCTCTCCTTCTAGATCTTTCTTTTTTTTTTTAAATGGAACTTTTGTGTTTGTCCTGAGATATTGCAGCAGCTGCTGTGTCTCCAAGTTGGAGTTAGTCTCCTTTGAGGCTCAGAAAATACCTAGTTCTGCCAAGGGCTCTTTACTGTCCATGGCCATGTGCTCATCTGGTTTTGTGTTGGTGACATTGACACATGAATCTCGAATCTCGGTGGCTTGAAATTGCTGACCACCAAAATCGCTTTTACACACACATACACCGAGAGACGCTCAAGACACTCAGACATTCTGTTTCTTTGGTTTAAAGGCCAGAAGTAACTAAAACGAGTTGATTTCTGCCTTTATCAGCTCAGAAGTGGGGCCTTTAAAGAGGCAGGGGCTGGGAAATTGGCTGTAAGGCTGTCCACTTAGATTTGGGGCCAAGATTTTCTTTCCAGAAACTTCATGCATAACTGAAAGGTTTCAGGAATCAAATCGTGAGTGTGTTCCCTGGAGTCCCCCAGATTTAAGTGGGTTGTTTTTCTACCCCTGACATTTGTGTTTCTCCAGACTCTACCTGTGCGGCTGACCCCGCCTCTGCTCTGGGCTTTCTCTTCCTCCTTCCCCTAGTCTTCCTCTTTCCCCTCGTCTTCCTCCTTCCCCTCATCTTCTTCCTTCCCCTCCTCTTCCTCCTTCCCCGCGGTTCCACCTGGTGCCCTGGCGGGGGATACAGGCCACACCACTGCAGATGTCAGAAATAAACATGTACCTCAGGGCAGGTGCCACAAGGTGGAAGTTTTCAGTTGTTTTCTTTTGGCAAAAAAGAAAAACTGGAAAATGGCCAACGAACCTGCTTTCTTTCCCCCTCCCTTCTCGCAGCGGAACCGTCGTGGGGCTGAGCTGCTGGAGAGCGGCTTCAGGCCGTGGTCCTAGTGAGCGACGCGCTGGTCTGACTCGAGCACCAACGCTGGCTGCTGCTCGTGTGCGCGGTGATGCCTCCCCCGAGGCCCAGGGAAGCGCCCCGCCCGCAGGCTTCCCCGCTCGGAGGGGCGCCCGGGGGTGCTGACGCCTGCACTGACTCCACACCTGAGGGCTGGAGGGGACGAGGGGTGGGCTCCCCCCACCTCCAGGGATGCTGCCGGAGAAACGCCCCCCAGTCTCCATCCTGCTTCTAGAACAGGGGTGAGGCGGTGGAGCCGCTGATTCCTGACGGTTCTTCCCGGCCATGCGCCCTCCAAGTGGAGAGAGGAGGCGCTCAGGCAGGCCCGAGGGCCCCGCTTAGGACATGCTCAGGACCTTTTTATTTTTCTACCAGGTGACCACTGCCCCCGGTGCTAACTGCCCCCAGAATGTCCTAAAATGTCCCCTAGTGGTGCTGGAGCGTGTGCCTGGAACACACAGAAATAACAGCGGGCTCCTTGGTGCCAGGCGAGGGCGAGCCCAGGAGCCTGCCAAGCCCTCCCTCCTCACCAGGCTCCCTGTGCAGCGCCCGGAGAATAACCAGAGAGCACGCAAGACTCCTAGCATAGCTGCCTCTCTGACAGGGCAGGGCAGGCCGCCGCCTCCACAGTTCCCTTCCTCTCCCTCCTTCGCGCATCGCTCTTCGTGCAGCAGATTTCTATTGCTCTGCCACGTCCGAGGCCTCTGTTCCAGGCAAGGTGGGGCAGGGAGGGGATATAGGGCAGACGGCCTGTTTTCAAAGACTTCCAATCCAGCTGGGAAGGTAAGACCTGCTCCCAGAAGTCAAACATCATAGAAGACAGTGGTGCGTGGTGGCCTAGGGCGGAGCAGGCGGAGCCGGTGGATCAGGCCTGGAGCACCTGCTCATGTTGGCCGAACACCTCTGGAACCTGCTCACTACTGATGCATTTCCGGGACCTGGCTTCCATTGGAAACACTACCGGACGACGTGATGCTTTGACTTATTTCATTTGAGGTGTAAATGACTCGCATTGGATCCTTTCTTCATCTATTATTGCATTTCCCTGCAAGTTGCTGAGGAATTTTCAAAGGAGATTTCTTCCTAAGGACAGGTCTTCACGGGGGAGCTGCGTTTAGATCCTCAAGTAGCTGAAGGCCAGGACACAGCCAGCTAGGGCTGGGGCAGCCGGAGTCCACCTCACCGACTTACCTGATTTCTCTAGGACTGGTTCTGTGATTGCAGAACCGTGGGTTCCTCAGACTGCGTCTGTCTGTCCTTCACCAGGCCAGGGCCGCTGAGGAGCATGCAGCCTCCTGTGCTCCTGCACCCAGGAGGGAAGCAGAGAACACGGACTGGTTGCCTACGGGAAAGCAAGTGCTGTGGGCAGGTGGTGGTCAGTGGCCAACGGGATGGGGCAATTTAAGTGGCTCCCTTGAGCAGCCCCGGCCCCAGAGGGAGCCTTGCCGGCGTGAGACACCTGAGACAGGCAGAGCAGGCACCGGCTAGACCTGTGGGACTGGACTCAGGTTCTGGAATCAGGAGCTTCCTGCTGGATCAGTGACTGGGTGTGGAACTGGTGGCTTGCCAGGGCTCAGGGACCTATCTTGCCGATCTGGCCACTCCTGTTGAGGGCCTTTTGTGCAGTGGTCAGCATGGTCGTGGGTGTTGACAGGGCATTCATCCACCTCCTCAGCCAGTGTGAGCCTTTGCATTGGCTCATGAATTGGGAGGTGCCCACCTGGGCCTCTGGGGGGTGGCCATGGGCAGAAGGGCTGCTTGGTGGCGGTCTGTGGGATTGTGACCCAGCAACAACACAGAGAGACAAACAGCAGCGAGCGCGGTCCATGGCCATCCAGAGCTTCCCCATCCACAGGCTGTGCTCAGGAGTCCCTGGCTTACAGGCTCCAGGAGCCCTCACTCTCCTTCACGGCTGATGATCAGACTCAGCAGCCCGAGCTAATGTGGCAAAAGAGGCCCTCAACCTGCTCCGAGGCTCGCCTGCTCAACCCATTCAATGCTCCTCCTGTTAGTAAGAAACATCTTCGTTCATAAGAAGCCTTCGGTCTTCAGCCCCATCTCTGAAAATTTCAAACAATTAGAGAAGATCAATGGAGACACATTTTTTTTTACTCTTTTTAATTTGTTTTTGTTTCATTTAACATTGAGTATCTCTTCTGCAAAAATGATAAAGTGTTTTATTCTTGTGTCTGTAATACATGTGGATGCTTCACTGCATTCTCTCAATTACTTACCTGGTTATTTGTTTTTGTTAATGAGCTGCCAAATATGAGGATTTTTTACCTTTTGAAGGAGTGTGGACTTTTAGAAAACCCAGGACTATGGAAAATGGTTGAGTCCCTAGAAACTGGGATACACAGGTTCAGTGAAGCATTCCTTGAATGCCTAGCATGTACAAGGCACTCTCTATCTAGTTTTGCAAAAACACCACCCTCCGCCACCACCAGCATGACAGTAGCCATGAGAAGTCACCTTAGACCTGAGCAGGAGCTAATGATGGTGAATTACTGTCCCCACCACTGCGGGAGCTCCTGCACCCAGCCTTGAGCAGATCTCATCTTCGTGCATTCTTTCCTCCTCAGTCACATTCTGCTGTGCTTACTCTCCCTTTCATCCATGTTCAAGAGCCTGTTCATTTCTTCCTGCTCTTGCTTCCTTTGTGTGTCCTTCCTCCCTCCTCATGCACACCTGCTCAAGCAGAATGCAAAGAGAAGCACAGAGGAGATGCAGGCCGTTGGACCTGAGTCAGAAACATCCCTGATACGAAATCTGACTTCTTTTTCCAAAAGATGATGCTGAAGATGGAGCTGAAGAATTGCTTCCCGCAGGGAGCCTTCCATGATTGACTACATCACACCATCGTCAATGTTCTATTCTCTGTCTTCTCGCTGCCAGGGAACTCAATTAGCAGATGTGTCACCTAATAGGTTATCAGTGGAAATATGAGTTCACATCCTGGGTTTGAAAACCAAAATTTCACATACCTTTCTTACATGTAGAATAAATAGACCTTTATCTAAGGACCTGAGTGCCTCAAAACATATCATCTTCTGTTTGCTGTCAAGGAACCCCTGAGAAGATGCTGAGTTTACTTGAAACTTGATTTCAAATTATTTCTTGTATGTTCATTTTCATGTGGTATCATTCTTTCCAACTCAACCAGCTCTTGAGGGGCAGGAATTATTCATGTATCTATATATCATCCTCTACCCTTCCCCTCCTCTTCCTCCTTCTCCTCCTTTTCCTCCTTCCCCTCGTCTTCCTCCTTCCCCTCCTACCCAATATTGCTGGCGTAATGTCTGGATTTCTGTTTCTGTGAACAGAAACACTTCATTAAGAGAGAGTTCTGGAAATGGAACTGCCTACTTAGTTTTGTCCACTCTGGTCACTGGAATATTGATGTTCATATTCTGCTTGCCTGGACACAATCCAGGAATTTTTGTGTTAATAGCATCTGGAGGAGTTCTTAGATTATTTATTAAGATAAAAGAAATTGTTAAGGATGTCTTGAAAATGCACTCATTAGAATATACAGGCTCATTAAAGAAACAGTTAGAAATGAACTGGAATTAGTTACCTGGAACCTAATGTTGTCTCTGCCAGTTACTATCTTAGTTAATTGGGAAAGTTCTCTTCTGGCCTTCAATTTCGTCATCTTTCAAAGAAGGGAGTTGGAGTAGAAACGCTTTGGTGTGATGAAATAAACATTACATTTAGAATCGTAGCAGGTTCCCAATAAGCATTTACAGCATGAATTAATGAATTTGGGTTTACATCCAGCCTCTAGCTGTGTGTCTTACTAGCAGTGAGAAGGAAATTATTAATTTATCAAGAATCACAGCTATTCTTCTACTCAACGGAAATAGCAATAGCATAATAAGGTGGTGGCAAAGGTGCTAGCAGCTAGTGAATATGGGCATATGATATGGATCTGTTATCTAGAGTACACAGCAGGTGCTCAATCCATATTACAGTTGCATTGACATAAAGACATCAAAACCCTAAATATCCAGTGATAGATTAGAGACACTGGTTCTTTACGGATTCTCGTGGGGTGGTTGTAGACGCCTGTGAGGTGTTGTGGATGAATGACCATCTCCAGGACGCCAGTACACGCATGGGGGACCCATGGTTACAGACTCCATCCTGTGAGTAATCAGAGCTCATCCTAAGAAACCTGAGGTGGCACCCAGGTGTTCCTGGATGCATTTCTGCCATCGGGGGTGACACTGCTTTATCTGCAGAGTAGTGGGAGCCATTGAGAGGTTCTTCCATTTGCCGAAGTCTTCCGATATGGTGACTCAGATCAAATTCACTTTGCCAAGGTCATCCTCCTAACTCACGTCCGGGTATCCTCATGCTCCCTGAAAGGCACCTACAGTGAGGACCGGCTCCTTGGAGCCCTGTGGTGCCCTGGGATGGTGCCTTGGCATCCAGTGTGCAGCTCCCATCTCCAGGTGGGTGCTGCCACAACCAGCAAAGGGAAGAAGACAGAAAAGGCGGAGACTTTCTGAAGCTGACAAGTGAGATTCGGAGAGAGGATGGAGAGACCCTCTGATGCCAACATTGGAGCATATCCTTTCACACATATGTCACGTCTAAGTATGTATTTGTGCAAATGGCAAAAGAGGAGCCCAGGAGGATAAGAAGAGGAACTTGCAGAGAAATAAGTGGATATAACAGAGTGGATCTGACTTCACAGGCAAATGACAGGCGAATCATTTTGTTGGGAGATAGCTTCATGTACTTTCTAAATGCTTTATAAGAGTGTCCTTCTATTTTTGGCAGACATGATGTTTGTCTGTGGTGTTGCATTGTTTTCATGGAATCACTGCACCTTCTAAGGTTCTCAAACTTCCTTACGAAATCTCTTTGCTAGTTAGTGATACACTCTGTCCTTTAAGGAAAGCAAAACACAAGACCCAGAACATCTCGCTCTAGAGCACAAGAGCTCTCTCTGTGACATCGGGGTGACAAACTAGTCTTTTATTTCCATGAGCCCTCCTCTTTCTCAGACACTCTTCATGCATATATAGTGTTTTACTGTGTGTTATTTGTATTTGAAGGGTTTTCAGTTAAGCGAAAGAATTTCTTTACAATGTTCTTAGAGCAAATTTTGTTAATCAGCTAAGCCCTAATCAGGTTTGCTTTCTGACAGTGATGATTTCCAGGGGCCTGAAAGAACAAGGCTCAAACTACTCACAATCTCCTAGTGGCAGAAAACCCCATATTAGCACTGACCCACTGTAATGGCTAGGCCCATAGGCAGTGTGGCTCATCAGCTGGCATGGCTCTTCAGCTGTGATTGAAACAAAAGGGTGGTTCTCAGGGCACCTGGGTGTGCTGGGGATGGCAAAGCCATGGAGGTTGTGGTCAGGGAAGAACTGGGATCTTGCACATGGGTGCAGCCAGCATTCCCGACACAAACACAGCTCTTGTTTGCTGCAGGGGAGTTGGACCTGTTATTCCACAGAAATGTTTTATATCTCTGAAGTAACAGAGTTTATTTAACATGTGGTTAGTCCCTCTCCACCTATGAAAAGTGAGTACACTTTCTCATCCTCTCTTATATCAGTCTGACTTCAAAAGTCCACTCCTAGTTAGAGAAATCAAAACACCCATTGCATCATATTTCGCCATTGTGTGAGACAACTATAAGATGTTACCAAAAAAGCACTGGATTAGGAATCAGGAGACCTGGGACCCACCCCCAGCTCTGCCAAGAAGGGCTGTCCCCACTTGCCCAAGTCTGTTCAAGCTCTCAGAACCTCATTTTTTCTGCTCGTCAAAGATGATACAAACGCCTGCTTTTCCTATTACCTGAGATTATTGTGAGAATCAAAATAAGAATGAGTTGGGAACAGGGCTTTGTGAACTTTACACACCATATAAATAAAAAGTATTATCTTACTTTTTCCCCTGTCGGCTTATACAGAAATTTCTGCTTCTAAAGTCCAACCTGAGAAGTCTCAGAAACGGACTTGATGTTAATTAATTGTGTGGAAAGTGGAGGTGCATTTTATGATGTCACAAGGAATCACTTCGTTTCTGCAATGGGAGCCCTCACGCTGTCGCTTCGCCAGGAGCAGGCGTTTCCCTGGTTGGTGTCTGAGCTCCAGACAATCGGGGCAAAGGCTTTTCTTGTCCCACCATAGACAGGCTTCTTGGGGAAGGTTATATCTAGCCTCGAAGGCTATCAGCGTCAGTCATGCTTATTTTGATTTGAATGTGCCGTGAGATGGCCTGCTTTGCCCCCCAAGCTCCGAGGCAGGGCGGCTGAGATGGCCAGCATCCTCTCTGCTCCTGCGTGGGCTCCAAAGCCCGCCTTCTTTTCTGGTTTGTTCTTTCTTTCTTTCTTTCTTTCTTTCTTTCTTTCTTTCTTTCTTTCTTTCTCTCTCTCTCTTCTTTCCCTTCCTCCCTTCTTTCTTTCTTTCTTTCTTTCTTTCTTTCTTTCTTTCTTTCTCTCTCTTCTTTCCCTTCCTCCCTTCTTTCTTTCTTTCTTTCTCTCTCTCTCTCTTCTTTCCCTTCCTCCCTTCTTTCTTTCTTTCTTTCTTTCTCTCTCTCTCTCTTCTTTCCCTTCCTCCCTTCTTTCTTTCTTTCTTTCTTTCTTTCTTTCTCTCTCTCTCTCTCTTCTTTCCCTTCCTCCCTTCTTTCTTTCTTTCTTTCTTTCTTTCTTTCTTTCTTTCTCTCTCTCTCTCTCTTCTTTCCCTTCCTCCCTTCTTTCTTTCTTTCTCTCTCTCTCTCTTCTTTCCCTTCCTCCCTTCTTTCTTTCTTTCTTTCTTTCTTTCTCTCTCTCTCTTCTTTCCCTTCCTCCCTTCTTTCTTTCTTTCTTTCTTTCTTTCTCTCTCTCTCTCTCTCTCTCTCTCTCTCTCTCTCTCTCTCTCTCTCTTCTTTCCCTTCCTCCCTTCTTTCTCTCTCTCTTTCTTTCTTTTTCTTTCTTTCCTTCTTTCTTCTTTCTCCCTTCCTTCCCTTCCCTGCCTCCCTCCTTTCTTTTTCTTTTCTTTTCCTTCTTTTCTTCTTTTCTTTTCTTTCTTTCGACAGAGTCTTGCTCTGTCGCCCAGGCTGGAGCGCAGTGGCGCGATCTCAGCTCACTGCAACCTCTGCCTCCGGGGTTCAAGTGATTCTCCTACCTCAGCCTCCCATGTAGCTGGGATTACAGGCGTGTATCACCATGCTCGGCTAATTTTTGTATTTTTAGTAGAGATGGGGTTTCATCATGTTGGCCAGGGCTGGTCTTGAACTCCTGGCCTCGAGTGTTCTGCCCACCTCGGCTTCCCAAAGTGCTGGGAATATAGGCTTGAGCCACCGCGCCCGGCCCCTTTCTGGTAACAACATAGTTATGATGTGGACTGAGGCTGATTAACAAATACCACTTGTTCACAAAACAAATGTTTTTCAGTGAAGTTGTAAGTTTTACCATCACTTTTAGCAAACGGATACAGTGTTTTGTTTCTTTACTGAACTGTACAGTTTTGTTTTTCTGAGGGGATTTCTTTATACAAGTTAACTGTTCCTATTTGACCACTTCCATGTCTGAATCTACACACGGGTTTAAGCGAATTTCTTTTGTTGTTGTTTAAAATATTGAGTTACTTCTGGTTTCCCTAAATATTTTATTTTACAAATTGTTTTTCTTAAAATGGTACACAGACACCCATCTTACAAACACTGGGCAATATGAAGTGTTTTGTTGTAACTGTCAAGATATATTTTATATTTTTATTTTTATATTTTTATATTATAATTTTATATTTTTTTCCTCTTAAGCTACTCAGAAAGAAAAAGAATTGTTTTAACATAAATACTGTCAACTAAGAGGCTCTAAGCATGTGACATTCGTATCAGTCAGGCTTCTCCTGAGAAACCGAACCCATAGGACATGTGCATATATGGGATATGTGCGTATATGGGGCACGTGCGTATATTGGACAAGTGCGTATATTGGACAAGTGCATATATGGGGCACGTGTGTATATGGGCCACGTGTGTATATGGGACATGTGCATATATGGGACATGTGCATATATGGCACACATGCGTATATGGGACACGTGCATATATTGGACACGTGCTTATACTGGACACGTGCAGATGTAGGACACGTGCATACGTAGGACACATGCGTATATGGGACATGTGCGTATATTGGACAAGTGCATATATGGGCCACGTGCATATATGGGCCACGTGCATATATGGGCCACGTGCGTATATGGGACACGTGCGTATATGTGACACGTGCAGATGTAGGACACGTGCGTATGTAGGACACGTGCGTATATGGGACATGTGCGTATATTGGACAAGTGCATATATGGGGCACATGCATATATGGGCCACGTGCGTATATGGGACATGTGTGTATATCGGACACGTGCGTATGTAGGACACATGCGTATATTGGACATGTGCGTATATGGGACACGTGCATATATGGGGCAGGGAAAGAGGGCGACTGATGCAAGGCATTGATGCACCCATTTGTGGGGCCTGGTGGGTCTGCAGTCTGTAGGACAGGCCAGCAGCCCCAGTTAGGGAGGCGTCAATGCAGCCATCTTGAGTCGAGACTCCACAGGGCAGCGGGCCAGACACTCAGGTAGGGTTTCTAAGTTGCAATTGTGGGGATCCCATCTCTAAGGGCCCTAGGGGATCTCATCTCTGAGGGCCTTTAGTCTTTCCTGGTAGGGCCTTCAACTGATGGGACGAGGCCCACCCGCACGACCGAGAACAATGCGCTTTACTCCAAGTCCACTGAATTCAATGCTCATTGCACCTAAAAAACACCTTCACGGTGACATCTAGGCTGGTATTTGACCAAAAAGTTTGGCACAATAGCCTAGCCAAGTTGACACATAAAATTAATCCTCACAAATCCTAAAGCGGCTTTTACACAACTTGTCTTATATCTACTTTAAGTGATAGGGGTCCATAGGGGTGTTTTCATTCCCAGGCGAGCTACCTATGTTTGTTCCAAAAGAAAAAAAAAATCCCATCATGATTGTCTGCGTCCACAGCAGTTTAAACTGGCTCATTACATCTCATTTGTGGTGTGCACTGATGCAACATACAGGCTGCACAGTGAAGAGACAACTGTCATTTTAGAGGCTGAAATAGATGCTTTTATTGTTTTTTTTTATTTTAATTCTGTTCAGTACAGCTCTGTGTGCATGCAGAAAACTAATGAATAATGAATAGTACCATTACTAATACATTTCCCTGTCCAAGAAGAAGCTCTCAAAAAAATCAGAACTGGTTCATTGCCCTCAAAAGGTCAGGCTGCTTTTAGGGAATTGTCAAAACAAAACAAAGGCAAGCCCGAGACCCCAAACCAAAAATACCTCCCAAATTTAAGTAAAATGTTTTATCTGTAAAGTTGTGCCAAAATATTAAACTTGCTAATTTTAAAAGCCAGCCGAACTTTCAAACCAGTTCTGTGAGGCTTTGCAAGTTTCAGGTGTGTGTGCTCCTCTCTTGTGCAGGGAGGCTTTGGAGGGCTAATGGAACTTCTGTGAATAAATCCGTCGCCCATCACGACAGGGCTATCCAGATAGGGATCAAAATAGAACCCTGTTGGGGTACACTTTGGATTACTTAAAGGACGTCCACTTCTTCCTCAGAGGCATTTGCACACACAAAGCCCTGCCCATCAAGATAAGGCGCGGTCCCTAGAAGCAGTGAGATTAGAAAGCTGTGGGCAGAGAAGGCTCAACTCTAGGAAGAATTCTCCAGCTTGAAAACAGTCTCTACGGAAGTAGCAGAGGCACCATCTTCAAGGGGCGGTGCTGCTGTGATGATTTAAATAAAACCTGGTTGGTCTGAGAAAATAACAATAAGGCAACAGAAATGCTACGTTTGCAAATCTGTGCAGCTTCCGGTCAGCCGGGGATTGGCACCCTACTTCAGGGACATTAACGAGGCCAACCCTCCCACCTTCCTTTCCTGGATCTAACGGCTTACTCTCCAAGACGCGAGAGCAAAATCCCAACACCGAGACAGCAGATCATTGAGTGAATGTGGGCAGAACCGGCGACAGGATTTGAAACGATTTCCTTGTTCTTCTTAAAAAATGATTCGAGCCTCTGAGTTTTTATGCGTTCAACCTTTCTCAATGACCCAAAGGCACGTGATTGATTGGCTGAGTGAACTCTGTGAAAGCCATAACAATTGCTTGAAACTACAAACGGAGCGGGGCTATCTTTTCTGAAATCACCAATTTTGTCAGACGTGTGCTTTTTCTCTGTTTCTGCCTCCCTCCCATCCTTCATGGAATAAGGAAAACACAGAGTCCTCTATGATCTGTCCCTGAAGCTCACCATGCTTTTTTCAAACCCTGAAGCTAAACTTGTTTGTAACTACTTAATAATCAAAATGTATATCTTAACCTGAAGTCAGCATCCTGCTAGGGTGTTTATGTGAAGAACAGGAAAATACGAGAAACTATAAGCTACAGGTTTTAGTCTCTCAGAAAGCATAGAATATTATAGTTTAGATTGGGTGATGGGGAAGGAAGTCTCTCTCTCTCACACACACACACACACACAGCAATTAGAGAACAAAGTAAGAGAACAGCAATTATGTGCTCAATTGTATGACTGTACATGTTTTAAGTTCACAGAAAAAAAAAGAACTCAGTGTGGACTAAATTTGAGATGATTTCATTGTAGCCTGACAGATCCATTTTTAAAGGCAAATAATAAATTGATTCTAAAAATGCTCTTTTAAGGGTTCAGCATTAGAAGGGACTATTTTAGGGAGAAAGAAAAAGGAATGTGAACAGTTACACGCATAGTCACTACCCATTTGAGTTAAGGAAAGTTCAAGCTCTGGTAAAATAAAAAAGTCCTTTTAGCTGATGCATTAGCTTGCATATTGCAGCAGGGAAATTGCGCCCTAGGATTAGTGCCTAGAAGATATTTTACCAGTATATGTGTCCCCATTCTGAATTTCTTGCGTTTGTTCTTCAAGCATATTAATGCCTTTCTAAAGCTATTGAAAGAAATCTGTTGAGCCGCTTATGAAGACTCACAACAACGAGGCTTAAAATAGCTGCGCTTCTGGTCGCTTTATTACACCTAGACGGCGACTCCTCCTCCACCATTGCTCGGAAAAGCAGGGATCCTACATGCAGTCTCTGCAGAACGTCTGTCTGCTAAAGAAGGAATCGCTCCGAATAATCCAGTCAATGAAAAACGCTGAAGTCATGAGCAGTGAGATGTAGTGAGGAACCTTCAAGCCCTGAGCCCTTTTGCTCCTGCTTCTGCCTTGAGGTCCTCAGCTCTGCATGCACGGTCGGTCCTAGGGCCCGGGGCAGCCCAGGTGAGGGGGCGGCTTCCGGAGAACCTCTCCTCCAGCAGCACACGCTTCTCTTTGTTGACCTCCAAATCCAGATCGTTCCAATAGCACATCCTTGGTTTTTCCCGTTTGTTTTTTTCAAATTTGGACCTCAATTTAATCTCAGGCAGGTGGAAGTCATGGTCTCCTGGTCAAGACCTTCAGGAGACGCATCTGTCCCACAGGAGGTCCATCTGGGGGGACTCAACTTAAATGCAGGGGCCAGCAGCCATGTCCCTGTCCAGAGAAAAAGAAGGAAAGAAAGAAGCCACGTCCTGCAGAAGGGAGTTCAGAGTACAGCTGAGGTCCCAACCCACATGAGAATCCCTGCAAATAAAACATTTCCATATTGTGGGGTTGAAAAACCTTATTATTTCACAGCTTTAGACTTGAGCAAATCCAGTAGCCGGCAGAAGGTGGCTCAGAGCACAGGTGTCTGGGTCAAATTCTCGTTCCAGGTTTGACCGGCTTCAGAACTGCAGGTGGTCGCCAAATCTCCTCATGAGGAAAATAGGGCTGCCCAAAGAGCTTCTGAAAACAAGAAATGATACTCATGAAACACTCAACGTATTATACAAAGGCTCATAGCAGCACTAATCAATGCAGCCAAAAGGTAGAAACAGCCCACATGTCCATCAATGGGTGAACGGATAAACAAAATGGGTTCAATTCACACGTTGGAATATTACTCAGCCATAAAAAAGGAATGAAGTTCTGACACGTGCTACAACTTGGATGAACCTTGAAAACATCCTGCCCAGTGAAATAAGCTGGTCCCCAAAGACCACATGTTGCACGATTCAATTTACATGATATATCCAGAATAGGCAAGTCCAGAGACACAAAGCAGATTGAGGATGATTGGGGAGTGACTGTTTCATTGATGTCAGGTGCTTTTATGGGGTGATGAAAAAGTTCTAGAAATAGATAGTGATGGTGCCATACAGCATCGAGAATGTACTAAATACCACTGAATTGTTCACTCTAAAATGGTTAATTTCTTTTAAGAGATAGGGTCTTGCTATGTTGCCCAAGCTAGCCTGAAACTCCTCAGCTGAAGCAATCCTCCTGCCTTAGCCTCCCGAAGCTTTGGGATTAGAGGCATGAGCCACCATGCCCAGCTAAAATGGTTAATTTTACGATAGGTGAATTTTACCTCCATTTAAAGAAAATATTCAGTATACCCTCTGCTATTGTGCCCAGGAAATGCTGGTAACAGATGTTTCTGATTTCTGAGGAGCTTCAGTCCTTCCACGTCACTGGAAGGTAGAGGCTCTTCTCTACCTCCCCCCAGCAAAACATCAGTAGTGGAATCACAGTGAAAAACTACAGTATTGCCTATTTTTAAACCACTTCTCCATTAAATTCTCAGCTGCAAACATCACCCTACGTCTCAGTGTCTCAGATTTACAACTGTAGCAAGCTTGGGTCTGGGCCCCTCTTGTGACATTCCCAGCCAGCTGGCTGTTCATATTCCTGGCATCTACCACCTTTGTTTCAGGCCCACCCAACTGCCTGTCTCACGGTGTTATACTTCTTCCTACTGACTGCTCTGAGGGCCACTGTGTCTGCCTCCGTTTCTCTTCTAACCACTCTGCACCCTTCTGTTGGACTAGCCTTCTGAACAGAGTGTCTCTTTTCGCCTCCCTGTTCAGTAGTTGTCAAGGGATCGGTGGTGCTGTCCCTACAAACAGCCTCAGAGGCCATCAGGTGAAACCACCTGTTGGCTCCTGTCTGAGCACCTGACATTCTCATGTGCTTTTCCCAGACAAGACTCATAGAATTTAGGATTTTGAGAACACAGAGAACTGGAATCAGACCCCTCATTCCATGAAAGTGCAAATGTGTCCTAGGGAAATGCTTTTGGTCGCAGGTGCTGGGTTCTGCCGTCACTGCTGTCTTGGGCTGTGCTGGAGGCCACTCCTTGGGTTGGAATGAGCTCCCCCTCATCCCCCTCATCCCCCTCATCCCCTGTTTCCTCAGCTGGGCCAGTGCCCTGGATCTCCTGCCCTTAGTTAGCTTCATTAAGCGTTTGCGTCAGTGCTAAGACTCCATCATAGATAAACTCTGGGGTGTCAGCTGCCATCGTGGCAGGGACGCTTTCCCAGAAGTTCAGGGGCTTCTAGCCCATCAACCTAATCTCTGAAACAATCCCACTCTCAGTGCAGAAAGATAAGCCACCAGAGTATCTCATTTTACGGAGACACCCCCTCCCCGCCTCCCAGGCTGACACAAATGCAAGCAAACCAGCCACCCCCCAGCCCCCTCTGGGCCGTTTCCTCTGCCCCTTGCCCCCCATGCCCTCTTACAATGGGGTCTCCCCTACGATGGCCGCTGCAGTGAATCCCTCCGTTCCCCAAAGTCCACGTGACTCCTTTGCAAGGGAGACGGGAACCTTGAATGTATTCTTCATTTTAGTTTGATTCACCCACTGTGTGCAATGAAATGTCTTGGCTGGAAAGCGGTAGAAGTTAAAGGTCCCGTTTTAAATCTTGCTGGGAATGTTATCAGGTGCTCACTAAAGATGTCCACCAGTGATGATGCTTCCCTGTGCTTTTCTGTATGTGTTTATCTCTTTGTCTATAAAATGGAAAGGGTCGTTTATTCTCCTAGATGTTTTGAAGATTAACTAAATGAAGCCTGCAAGGAGCATAGCCAGGCAACACAAAAGACAGGTATTACTACGATTTTCCCACAGAGGTTCGCCGTCTCCCCTGCAAAGCCACTTAGGTAAACAGGAAATGTATTGCAAGACAAAAATGACTCCATGCGTCTCTGGAGGTAACCCTGGGGGATTACAGCCTGGCTGCCCTGGGCCCTGTGTTAAAATCCCGGCCAAGGATAAGAAGAAACCACCACGACAGTGGGAGCTAGGATCTTCAGATTCCAGAGCCAGATACTTTCCATCAAAGAGAGAGAAGGCTTTCTCACTGGGAATCAAGGAAACAGAAAGCAATTGCTTCAGAACCGCTATTGCTCACGAGCAGCACAGGCCACCTAGAACACACAGACCAGTAATGCTGAGCTTTGAAATCCGGCTGACCAAACAGAAATAACGATCATAGAGAGAAAGAGTCTGCATGCACCTCCGTGTCTGACTTGGTAGCTCCAGAACATAACGGCGGCCAAATTAAAATGCTTGGGCGCTCCATCCCCTGATTTAATGATTTAAAGGGCAGTGAAATAGTTCGTGATCATTTTTAAAATTTGATCTCTGCCCCAGGAATGAAAATATTCTTTCCCATCAAGATGGTGAAATAAACACAAAAGAAAGATGCAGCCTGTTTGGGAGCAAAATGTGGGAAAGATATTATCAGATCCAAAACCCTACCTGTGCATTTTTTTTTTTTTTTGAGACGGAGTCTCACTCTGTTGCCCAGGCTGGAGTGCAGTGGCATGATCTCAGGTCACGCAACCTCCGCCTCCCGAATTCAAGCGATTCTCCTACCTCAGCCTCCTGAGTAGCTGGGACTACATAAGCGTGCCACCATGCCTGGTTAATTTTTGTATTTTTTTTTTTTTTTGGTAGAGACAGGGTTTCACCATATTGGACAGGCTGGTCCCAAACTCCTGACCTCATGATCCACCCACCTCGGCCTCCCAAAGTGCTAGGATTACAGGTGTGAGCCACTGCAACTGGCCCCACCTGTGCATTTTTGCCAAGACTTGGCTTTTCAAAAAACAGAGACTTATTCTTAGTGCATTTCCTCTTTCCTGACCACAGACCACACTCCTGCCATCTTCCCTCCAAAACTTCCCAGTGCCAGGGCCCTTATGCAAGGGATTTCTGCTTTAGAGAAGATAATTTCTTTAGAAAAGAGGTGTCCTGCTTGATGAAATCTTGTCTGTTCGTACTTCTCAACTTGATCTTGTCTTTTAATATGTTTCTCCTTTTAGTGAAGAAATAGCAAGAAGCAATTATTGAAGCAGGTGTTTTTATGGGATGCATTTAATGAAGAAAATAATTAACATTGTTAAATCGTTTATTGTTTTTACTAAAACTTGCGAACACTTAACGTGATATTTGCTACAAGCCAGAAACTCTTCTGTGTGTTTATATAAATATATTGCGATGTTTAATCCTCACTGCTGAGAGATGAGGAAACTGAGGCACAGAAGGGCTACGGATTTGCCCACAGTCATAAAGCTTGTAGGGCAAACTTGTCCAGCCCATGGGCTGCAGGCCATTTGTGGCCCGGGAGGGCTTTGAATGCAGCCCAGCACAAATTTGTAAACTTTCTTAAAACATTATGGTTTTTTTGTGATTTTCTTTTTTTTTAGCTCATCAGCTATCGTTAGTGTTAGTGTATTTTACACGTGGTCCAAGACAATTCTTCTTCTTCCAATGTGGCCCAGGGAAGCCAAAAGTTTGAACACCCCTGTTGTAGAGAGTGGAGCCAGAATAAAACCCAGGCAGCTGACTCCCAAGTCCTTGCTGTTATAGACAGGACCACGTCATAGAAAGCTTGAGTTTTTTTCGGTTTTTATCCAAAAGACAGGCTCCAAAAGACAGGCGATAACACATGCGGTGAAGATGTGGAGAACCCTCTACGCTGCTGGCAGAAATGCAAATTTGTACAACCACTATGGAGAAAAGTTTGAAAATTCCTCAAAAAACAAATAAAGCTACCATGTGATCCAGCAAACTCACTACTCGGTATACACCCAAAAGAAAGGAAGTCAGTCTATCAGAGAGAGATGTGCACTCCCATGTTTGTGGCAGCGCTATTCACTATAGCTAGAATTTGGAAGCAACCTAAGTGTCCATCAACAGATGAATGGATAAAGAAAAGATGGTACATATACACAATGGGGTACATATACACAATGGAGTACTATTCAGCCATGAAAAAGAGTGAGATCCAGTTATTTGCAACAACATGGGTGAAACTGGAGGGCATTATGTTAAGTGAAATAAGCCAGGCACAGAAAGACATATATCACTCGTTCTCACTTATTTGTGGGATCTAAAAATCAAAACAGTTGAACTGATGGATATATAGAGTAGAAGGACGGTTACCAGAAGCTGGGAAGGGTAGTCAGGGGATGGGGGTAGGGGGAAGTAGGGATGGTTAGTGGGTACAAAAAATAAAAAGAATTGATAAAACAGTATGTCATAGCACAACAAAGGGACTATAGTCAAGAATAACAATTGTATATTTTAAAATAACTAAAATAGTGTAATAGGATTGTAACACAAAAGATAAGTGCTTGAGGTGACGGATACCCCATTTACCCTGACGTGATTATTATCCATTGCATACCTGTATCAAAATCTCTCATGTACCCTATAAATATATACACCTCCTATGTCCCCACAAAAATTAAAAATTAAAAAGAAAGTGTGGACATTTTTTAAAAAGAAAGAAAACAAACTATAATCCCGTAAAATCCTTTCACAGACATCCTTCTTTTTCACATTTACATGCTTTACAGAATTAAAATAATAATACATATTCACTTTTAGCTCCTAAATCCTTTGTGTTACCATGTACGTCTCATGTGTTTTATCATAACCGTTGCAGACTCACCTAATAGTGACTCCCAATTTGCCTGGCTCCTCCCCTTTTGTGGGACATTGAGCTTGCTCCAATTTTTCACCAAAAATAAGAATTCTTCAGTGAGCATCTTTACGTTGTATATTTTCTCATTATTTCTTTAGGATAAATCTAACAAATTATCAGTAGCCATAAGCAAATCTAAAAGGTGTCATTAAAACCCAGTAGTTTTAAAGGAAAATTCTATAAAACCAAGGAACAAGTAATAATTCCTAGGGTATACTCCCAGAACACAACATTCACTTTACAAGGACATGTTCGTCCTCATGCTAAAAAGACTAAACTAACCTTTAAACTGAAAAGATTAAAACAAACAGAAATACAAAGAGAGAGAGAGACACTTTGGACCAATATCACTTATGAAAATTAATGCAAAAATTTAATTTAACAATATTAGCCAAATGAAATGTATTAAAAAATACACCACAAGCAAGCAGGTCTTATTCTAGAAAAGCAAAAGTAATTTCCTGGCCGGGCATGTTGGCTCACGCCTGTAATCCCAGCACTTTGGGAGGCCGAGGCAGGTGGATCACGAGGTCAGGAGATCGAGACCATCCTGGCTAACATGGTGAAACCCCGTCTCTACTAAAAATACAAAAAATTAGCCGGGCGTGGTGGCGGGCACCTGTAGTCCCAGCTACTCCGGAGGCTGAGGCAGGAGAATGGCGTGAACACGGGAGGCGGAGCTTGCAGTGAGCCGAGATCCCGCCACTGCACTCCAGCCTGGGCGACAGAGAGAGACTCCGTCTCAAAAAAAAAAAAAAAAAAAAGTCATTTCCTACATGTGTAGATTAAAGAAGACAAATGTTGGGATCATTTAGATAGACATTAAAATCACAATTAAAAATTCAACAGCCTTTCCTGATGAAGAGCCTTATTAATAAAAATTAGAAGGAAATTTTGTAGAAAGTGATTGAAGACTTGAAAGAGAAACAGGCAACACTGCCTACTGTATTATCTTTATCCATTTTGGAGATTCAATTATTACTGTAAGAAAAAATAATATGAAAATACTGAAAGGTAAAAGCTAATGTTATCTCTATGAATAGATGATATGATTATAAACTTAGAAAAGTCCAAACTTAACCAAAAAAAAGTATTAAGTGTTCAAAAAAGTTGCTAATGTATAAAAATCACATTTTCTTTTTGCATGCATATGGACTTATAAAATTTTATTTTCTATATGTAATTATTAACAACAGCAATATGGACTGTATCACACCCAATTTAACACAGTGAGAAATGTATATGCATTAAACGAAATGATTATATTAAAAATTAAAAAGTGAAAGTGTCGGCCAGGTGCGGTGGCTCACGACCGTAATCCCAGCACTTTGGGAGGCTGAGGCCGGCGGATCACAAGGTCAGGAGTTCAAGACCAGTGTGGCCAATATGGTGAAACCCCATCTCTACTAAAAATACAAAAAAAAATTAGCCAGGTATTGTGGTGGGCGCCTGTAATGCCAGCTACTTGGGAGGCTGAGGCAGGAGAATTGCTTGAACCTGGGAGGCGGAGGTTGCAGTGAGCCGGGATAGCGCCACCACACTCCAGCCTGGGCAACAGAGCCGGACTCTGCCTCAAAAAAAAAAAAAAAAAAAGTGGAAGTGTCCCATGGGAGCTAAGAGAATTTGAAAAAAAAGAGTGAAGGCCAGCAGTGTCCTGCTTGGTTGGTTAGCTGTAAAAGCACACATCTAATGGATAGGCAGACCAGGGATTTTGGAACAAAATATAAAGGACAGAAATAAATCCATGCCCATTTTGGAATTTTATAAATGTATGGTAAAGATGATATTTCAAATCAAAGGGGCCAACCTCAATTATACAACAAATATTAGTGAGACATTGGATGATCTTTAGGAAGCAAAAGCTGGCTCTTGCCTTGTAAATTATGAATGGAATAAAGGTACTTAGGTCAGAAAATAAAAATACAAACTAGAGAGAATTCTTTAATTTTGGGAGTGGAGAAGGTTTTATTGTAGTTGTCTTACCATAACACCAAGACCTCTCACCCCACCCCACCCCCTCAAAAAGAAAATAAATGATTTGGCCAAAGATATCATACATGGCAAATGGAGGAAATATGTGTAACTTACCCAAAAGATAAACCGTTATCCTCTCTAATGTAGAAAGGTGAAAATGTCTACAAGGAAAAGTCAACCTAAGGAAGAACTATACAAAACATGTGAACAATCAATCCCTAGAAATAGACAGGCAAGTGGCCAACATATGTATGAAAGGGGCTGAGCTTTAACAATAATTAAATAAATACAAAGTAGAAGAACTAGATGATAATTTTCACCTGTCAGATGGGTAAAGACTAAAGTATTCATATTCCTTTTTTGGTGAAGATATGAATGAATAGGCACATCTTATGTGACACCACATTTTCTGGAGGAAAATGAACAATATCAAAATTTTAAATATACATACTTTTGGACATGGTAATTCTATAAGAATTTATGTTTAAAAACACTTAACACAGGCATTTAGTCTATTTTCAATATATATGTGTATAATGAATTTTTTACAGAATTTTAAAATAGTGAACATTGTGTTCATCAAAAAGAGGTTGGATAGGCCGGGAGCGGTGGCTCACGCCTGGAATCCCAGCACTTTGGGAGGCCGAGGCGGGCGGATCACGAGGTCAGGAAATCGAGACCATCCCGGCTAAAACGGTGAAACCCCGTCTCTACTAAAAATACAAAAAATTAGCCGGGCGTGGTGGCGGGCGCCTGTAGTCCCAGCTACTTGGGAGGCTGAGGCAGGAGAATGGCGTGAACCCGGGAGGCGGAGCTTGCAGTGAGCTGAGATCGCGCCACTGCACTCCAGCCTGGGCGACAGAGCGAGACTCCGTCTCAAAAAAAAAAAAAAAAAAAGAGGTTGGATAAATGTACTATTGTCTATACTGGAATTTTATGCTCGTGCTAATAAAAATGAGATGGATTTTTGCTTTATGACATGTACAAATGATCACAACATATTTTTAAGTGACAGGACAGTTATGAACCTTTTTATTGTTAAAGTAATGCATTTCTAATTATCATACGTACTGTTATATACTATTATACACGCTCACACTATAAACAATTATACATACCTATATGGGTACTTACACACACACACACACACACACACACACATCTTTCTATCCCCAAATCTGGGAGTGTGTCCGGAATTGGTGGGTTCTTGGTCTCACTGACTTCAAGAATGAAGCCGCGGACGCTCGCGGTGAGTGTTACAGCTCTTAACGTGGCGCGTCTGGAGTTTGTTCCTTCTGATGTTCGGATGTGTTGGGAGTTTCTTTCTTCTTGTGGGTTCGTGGTCTCGCTGGCTCAGGAGTGAAGCTGGAGACCTTCGCGGTGAGTGTTACAGCTCTTAAGGCAGCATGTCTGGAGTTGTTCGTTCCTCCTGGGGGGCTCGTGGTCTCGCTGGCTTCAGGAGTGAAGCTGCAGATCTTCGCGGTGAGTGTTACAGCTCATAAAAGCAGTGTGGACCCAAAGAGTGAGCAGTAGCAAGATTTATTGCAAAGCGCGAAAGAACAAAGCTTCCACAGTGTGGAAGGGGACCCGAGCGGGTTGCCACTGTTGGCTAGGGCAGTCTGCTTTTATTCTCTTATCTGGCCCCACGCACATCCTGCTGATTGGTAGAGCCCAGTGGTCTGTTTTGACAGGGCGCTGATTGGTGCGTTTACAATCCCTGAGCTAGATATAAAGGTTCTCCACGTCCCCATCAGGTTAGTTAGATACAGAGTATGGACACAAAGGTTCTCCAAGGCCCCACCAGAGTAGCTAGATACAGAGTGTCAATTGGTGCATTCACAAACCTTGAGCTAAACGCAGGGTGCTGATTGGTGTGTTTACAAACCTTGAGTTAGACACAGAGTGCCGATTGGTGTATTTACAATCCCTGAGCTAGACATAAAGGTTCTCCAAGGACCCACCAGAGTAGCTAGATATAGAGTGTCAATTGGTGTATTTATAATCTCTGAGCTAGACACAGGGTGCTGATTGGTGTATTTACAATCCCTGAGCTAGACATAAAGGTTCACCATGTCCTCACCAGAGCAGCTAGATACAGAGTGTCGATTGGTGCACTCACAAACCTTGAGCTAAACACAGGGTGCTGATTGGTGTGTTTACAATCCCTGGGCTAGACATAAAGACTCTCCACGTCCCCACCAGACTCAGGAGCCCAGCTGGCTTCACCTAGTGGATCCCGCACCGGGGCTGCAGGTGGAGCTGCCTGCCAGTCCCACGCTGTGCGCTCACACTCCTCAGCCCTTGGGCGGTCGATGGGACTGGGCCCCGTGGAGCAGGGGGTGGTGCTCGTCGGGGAGGCTCGGGCCGCACAGGAGCCCATGGAGGCGGGGGAAGGCTCAGGCATGGCGGGCTGCAGTCCCGAGGCCTGCCCTGTGGGAAGGCAGCTAAGGCCCGGCGAGAAATGGAGCGCAGCGCCAGTGGGCTGGCACTGCTGGGGGACCCAGTACACCCTCCGCAGCGACTGGCCCGGGTGCTAAGTCCCCCATTGCCCGGGGCCAGCAGGGCTGGCCGGCTGCTCCGAGTTAGGGGCCCGCCAAGCCCACGCCCACCCGGAACTCCAGCTGGCCCGCAAGCGCCGCACGCAGCCCCGGTTCCCGCTCGCGCCTCTCCCTCCACACCTCCCTGCAAGCTGATGGAGTGGGCTCCAGCCTTGGTCAGCCCAGAAAGGGGCTCCCACAGTGCAGTGGTGGGCTGAAGGGCTCCTCAAATGCCGCCAAAGTGGGAGCCCAGGCAGAGGAGGCGCCGAGAGCGAGCGAGGGCTGTGAGGACTGCCAGCACGCTGTCACCTCTCAGGAGGACATAGCAAAACACTCATAACCATGAGTCTATGGGAATTTTGGAAATTTTTACTCTCGTTTTTATTCTTTTGTGTTGTTTCAATTATTTACAAGTAGATATTCCTTTTGTAATGATATATATAAAACAGTTTAAGTACTTAAAAATGAAGATAAATGCTGGGCACAGTGGCTCACACCTGTAATCCTAGCACTTTGGGAGGCTGGCAGATAACTTGAATCCAGTTCCAGATCATCCTGGGCAACATGGTGAAAACCCATCTCTGCAGAAAATACAAAAACTAGCTGGGCGTGGTGATGCGTGCGTTTAGTCCCAGCTACTTGCGGGGCTGAGGCAGGAGGATCCCTTGAACCTGGGAGGTTGAGGCTGCAGTGAGCAGAGATCACACCACTGCATTCCAGCCTGGGTGGCAGAGTGAGACCCTGTCAAAAAAAAAAAAAAAGATGAAGATGAAAAGGTCAAAGGATCTAACATGTTTCTATAGCATTAGATGGATAGCACCAAACTACTTCCCAACATGTGGAGCTGGTTTGCCCTGCCCGAGTTCCCTGTTGACTGTATCTTTTCATTCTCTTATGAAAACTGATCTCCGTGAATGGGACTTTAAGAAAATTGCAGTGCAGCTCCTTTGTAGACAGGGTGCATCTATCCATGAGTGAGTTACTCAAAATTCTTTCTCCTCCTTTTTTGCCGTCTACTGAAATGCGTGTCTTGGATGCTGCTGGTTACCCTCTAACCCAAAGCATATTCATGGGAATAAAATCCAACAGCAACCAAAGTGAAATTCCAGCCTGTCCATTTTGCTCTTTATTTAAACTACTCATAATCAGGGACAGAGAGAGTTGAGCTGCACGGCTTACACTGGGCCGGGGGAGTCTGAAAGTGCAGGGGGTCTCAGCTAGCCGTAGAGCACCCTGCAGAAGAGCTTCCCCGTCCCCCGTGCCCAGCCTGCTTGGCCCCCAACCCCACGCATCCGGCAAACTGGCTCCTCCTTTCTCGTGACCATATAATTTATTTGTTCTTCACGTCCATTGCTTATGGTCTGTGGCCTCCTGATAGAATGTAGGCCCCACAGGAGCAGGGATGTTTGTTTTGATCAATGACATCATCCAAGGGACCAGAGCCGTGTGTGGCACCTTGTGGGTGCTTGCTAGGTCACCTTCGGATGAATGAACAGCTGCTCTTCTCCCAATGGTAAAGTGACTGATGTCCAGCAGTCCCTTCCCAATGGCCATTCATAATTCAACAAGTTAATGTAAAACTTTTGCCGGGCACGGTGGCTCATGCCTGTAATCCCAGCACTTTGGGAGGCCGAGGCGGGTGGATCACAAGGTCAGGAGATCGAGACCATCCTGGCTAACACGGTGAAACCCCATCTCTACTAAAAATACAAAAAATTAGTCAAGCGTGGTGGTGGGCACCTGTAGTCCCAGCTACTCGGGAGACTGAGGCAGGAGAATGGCGTGAACCGGGAGGCAGATGTTGCAGTGAGCCGAGATCGCGTCACTGCACTCCAGCCTGGCTGACAGAGCAAGACTCCTCCCCTCCACCAAAAGAAAAAAAAAACTTTTAACAGATGGCAGATCTTGAGGATAAGGTATCAAGTTGAAAAGACTGGTATCTTTCTTTGCTCACAGTTTAGATTCCTGGAATCTCGAGACTGGGAGGCCATGGAACCCAAACACAGATCAAAGGCTTGACTGTGCCTATAACACTCTGTTAAGTACTTGGCTGGCCTGTACTTAATCAAGTGCAGGGACAGAAGACTCTCCAGGCCGTAAAAAACATTTCTCAATTTAAAAGTCTTTCTCTTTTTTGCTTTTGAAAATTTGAACTTAACATTAGTCCCAAACTTACCTGGCTGTGGTCCCATTTATGAAGTAACTCTGCTTCCCCAGCCCCCAGCCCAGAGCCTTATGAGTCAAATTCCCTTCCTCTGTGGTGGGATGAATTTGCCATCATGGTGCCTCTGAAACCTTTCCCTCCCCAGCTTAGTTCCATTCAGTCCTTCATGGTGTGCTGTGTGTTTGCATTTCTAGATCTTCCAGAATCTCTGCTGTTCACTTTTGGAGAGTCCAGTTAGCCTGTGAAAATGTCGTCCCTAGGGGTGAGAGGACTCTGGGCGGGTCTCTCCAGTGCCGAGGGAGACACCAGCCTCCGGCTTTCAATAAATGTAGCCACAGATTACATTTGTGTTTTACAGTTTTGTTTGACTGTTTATGAGTAATTTCATAATACTCTTTACTGATTTTAAAGTGAAAAATAAACTTTTATCACAATACAGATTCTCCTTGACTGATGGGGTTACATCCCAAGAAACACATTATAAATTGAAAATACAGTAAGTCAACAATGCATTTACTATTCCTAACGTACCGAACATCGTAGCTGAGCCGAGCCTACCTTACGCGTGCTCAGGACATTCACACTAGCCTACAGCTGGGCAAAGGCTCTAACACAAAGCCTGTCTTATAATAAAGTGGTGAATATCTCATGAAATTGATTGACTGTACTCAGTGAAAAACGGAATGGTCCTATGGGTGCTCGAAGTAGAGACTGCTGAATAGGTTCCACTTTCACACCATCATCAAATGGAAAAATCCTAATCAAACCATTGTCACAGGAATGACGCCTGGCTGACAGGCCTTTTGTGCTAACCATTCAGAGTTAGAGAAAGTTAAAGAGAGTGTCCAGACATGGAGAATATCTTTGACCTAGATATTCGAAGAAGAAAACTAACTTATGGGCCGGGAAATTTTTGAGGACTTCAAAGGTGGTGGGTGACATGAGGAGGCACAGCGTGAGTGCCGGGGTGGCAATCCCAGGCTCTGGCCCATGCTCCTGCTCAGGAGGAGGGCTCCTGGGTCCCATTTGCTTATCTCCAAAATTGGGTTAACTAGATACGGTAATATCATTGAAGGACTTAGTTTATAAGTTTTCCAATTTATTGAACAATGCCTGTTCAATAAATGATGATGATCATGATTTCATTTGATTTAAACAATAGTTTGAGATAGGCAGGAGTGATACTAAAAATATTTAACAATCCACTGGGTATCAACCAACTAGCATGGACGAGGGATACGGTTGCAGCAGCCAGCTACACCCAGTAAATATTAACTGGTCTTGGAAATAGGTATTACTGCTGTTTTCCAAACAGAGAAACAGACACAGTTAATTGCCCCCAAATAAATTACTATGCATTTGAAATATGAGGACAGCTTGAGAGATTCAGAGAGATGAAATGTCTTTTACTGCCCTGCGCGTTGGGCGTTTGGGTTGGAATACTGCATAGAATATCTTCTGCTTCCAATGCACCTATCTTCTAATCTTTTAAAAGCTTCAGTGTGAAGTCTGTTTCATAACAGGCTCTGAGAAGCAGCATCCCATTTTCAAAATGGATACGTGCCTTGTGATCTCCAGCAACATTACATAATGAAATAATATCTGACCCTCTATATTGTCACCATTGACATGATATTTCAGCAGGGTGGGACCCAGCTGCCGTTTAGATCCAGCAAGAAAGGAAATGAAAACGATGCCGATACGGGGGTTTAATAAATGCATTCCTGTCCCCGCGCTCGTCTCATGGAGAATGACCCAGAGTTAATGCATGTATTGTGCATCCATGAATGTTTCAGGATAAATATTTAAACTACAGCTTGAATCACACAGGCTGGTGTTAAATTAAAGTCATTAGCTTCAGGGACTCTATTTCGGAAATGCACCGAGTCCATAAGTCACACTGTAATTCCAGTGATTTATACTGAACATACACCTATGCCTTTTTTTATTTAAATGCACAAAATGTGCTAAGCCCCGAGGCGTTTGCACTGAGATACATTTCCCATGTATGATATGCATGCCCTGCTACATAAGAATTAACTGCCCTCTTCCCAGCTACGTTATGGTGTTACTGATGGGACAGGCTGTGATATTCCTGTGTAATTTCCATTCATATTGTATTAAAATGTCCAAGATGCATTTTATGTCAAAGAAAGCATCATTTAATAAAATTATTCACTATTACCCCATATAGAGATGTCAGACATTACTAATATAATCCTGAAATGATTGCACAGAAGTATCTTTAGGCTGAGAGGCACAGTCCCTGTGCTGTAGTAGAAGTGGTTTGTTCACTCTATCCTCAGGTAACCGGTCCGAGTCTTGTTTGTTTTTACTCCATGTTTATATGGTGTCATCCCCACTGACAGACTTCTTTTTCCCTTATTTTCTCCTCTTAGTGATTCCACAGGCATAGAAATTGAAAAACATAACAAACAAGATGCCTTATTTCCTTGATTTTGTAACACTGTGAGTAATTTTCAGCTTCGGGATGCATAGAGAGCTTGTAAAAACATGCATTCCTGGGACCCCGCCTTAATGATTCAAAGTTAGAAGATCTAAGGAGGAGCCTAGGAGTCTGCATTTTCGACAAGCTTCCCAATATCTTTTTTAAACCTATGTACTGTGTAGGTCATGCTTTAAGAAGTATTGCTAAGTACATTAACACTACTTTCATAACTAGATTCAGTGTAAATTTCCGTTCCATTTTAAAGACGCCGCTAAGTCAAACAAGTCATATGAGTTTCACTGTCTTCTAATCTGTCACTGTTCAGCCTTCCCTCCTGCCCTTCATCATCTACCTATTCTTCCAGTCATCCGTCCATCAATCCATCCATCCATCCATCCATCCATCCATCCATCCATCCCTTGATCCGTCTATCTATTCTTCTATCCATCCATCCATTCACCTGTTCTACTATACATTCATCCATCCATCTATTCTTCTATTAATCCATCCATCAGTCTAGTCTATCCATCCATTCATCCATCCATCCATCCCTCCTTCTATCCATCCACCCATCCATCTATTCTTCTGTTTATCATCCATCAATCTATTACTCTATCGATCCATCTATTCTATCCATCCACCCATTCACCTATTCTACTATACATTCATCCATCCATCCATCCATTCTTCTATTAATCTATCCATCAATCTAGTCCATCCATCCATCCATCCATTCCACCTTCTATCCATTCACTCATCCATCCATCCATTCTTCTATTTATCATTCATCAATCTATTACTCTATCAATCCATCTATTCTATCCGTCCATCCATCCATTCATCTATTCTCCTATCCATCCATTCATTCATTATCCTTGTAATCATCCATTCATCTTGTCGTCCATTCCTACTGTAACCATTTCTGAAGTATTAGGATTCGGAGATTCTTGTCTTAAAGGGACTAAAAAACTTAAGAAGAGTTTATAATTAGCCATCTTGTTTTCTCCTTTTATCTATTACTAAAAATCTAAACAATGCTCTGCTTTAAACAGACAACAACATAAAAGTAAAACAAAATCAAAATTGTTGTCCACTTTACTTGAACTGCTTCCTATTACTTACATCCATGATGTCACTAACCATTAAAACTGAAGAGTTGTATTGAACTGTAATGAATCTAAGATCTTTATCCAAGTTACATGGCCTGAATGTGTGTGTCCTCTCAAAAATCACATGTTGAAACCTGATCTCCAATGCAATAGTATTACGAGGTGGGACCTTTGGGAGGTGATTAGCTTATGAGGGCTCTGCCCTGGCTAATGGGATTGCAGCCCCCTAAAAGAGGCCTGAGGGAGCTTGTTCGTCCCTTCTGCCATGTGAGGATACATGGAAGGCTTCATCTGTGAGGAACGGGCCCTCACCAGACACCCAGTGTGCTGGTCTCTTGATCGTGGACTCCTCAGCCTCCCCGAAACTGTGAGGAATATATATCCATTGTTCATAAATTACCCAGTATAAAGTATTTTGTTATAGCAGGCAAACAAACTGAGACACCAAGACCCTTTTTCTCTCTCTCTCTCTGACACACACACACACACACACACACACACACACACCTGTGTAGCTATGGACATACTGACCCTAGTAAAAATCACCAACTATTTGACTTTGGTCCATTGAGAATAGAACTTAGCATTTTGAAGGATTTGAAGGACCTGACCCCTCTTTTATAGACTAGGGGGGTCAAGCATCTTGTGAAACACCCCAGCAGTCCCATACCTACTGTATTATGCCAGGACATCTCACTCTCAGTATTTTGAGGGATTTTAAGGACCTGACCCCTCTTTTATAGACCAGGGGGGTCAAGCGTCCTGTGAAACACCCCAGCAGTCCAGAACGTGCTGTACTATTATACTGATGCCAGGACATCTCACTCTCAGTCCACTTGCTCTTTTTCTCATCTTGGGATAAATTTAGTTTGGTGAGGAATTTGTGCAAAGTAGATTACACGGAGTACCAGTCTTAATGTTAAAGTCAGGTATATGCCTCTTTTTTTTGCATGTGGACAATATAAGAATGTATCCTTTAATATGGAAAAATAAGGTCTTAAACACTGCTTTTTGCAAAAATATTAAACCTGGATCCATTAATATTTTGAAAATCTGTACTAAATGAGAATTCATTTATTTCCAATAGAATTTTATTTATATGCATAATACTATTTTTTTCAAAGTACTTTCTCATATATTAAATTGCTATAAGTATATCCTAGGAGTTAAGATATGTTTAGTTGTATATGTAATTTTAAGGAGGTTTAAAATCTACATTCCCCCTGTCCTGCAAATCAGGAATTTATATGAGGTTAACCTCAAAAGTATATTTTAAGTGTAATTTTGGGGTGATTTTTACTTTTTTAAAACTTTGCCCTTAGTGAGTTCTCCTCAAACACCACCGTGTGAGGAAGATACTGCTGAAGGCCTCCCCATCTGCCCTGTGGTGGAGTCATCTTTTTCCCATTGTTACCCAGGTATCTAGTACTGACTCTTGAAAAGATGAAAAGATGGCCTATTTTGACAGCTACAAATCATAAAAGTAACCATGTCCCCTAAAACACTCAACATTCACAATACCAAGACAAATGGCCATGGCTGGCGCTGGTGTCCAAGGGCTGTGTACCAAGGCAATGCTGATTCCCTTTAACCATCGGCTGCCAATTTCATCAGGGGCTGTGGCTACACAAAGTAAGTGGTGTGGAGCACCACCTGGGTGGATTTTGTCCTCCAAACAAATTAGGTGTTTATCTTTAAAATCCTCACACAGGCTGGGCATGGTGGCTCAGGCCAGTAATCCCCACACATTGGGAGGCCAAGGTGGGACGTTTGCTTGAGCCCAGGAGTTCAAGACAAGCCTGGGCAATATAGTGAGGCCTCACTACTGCAAAAAAATTTTTAATTATTATTATTTTTTAATTTTTTTAAAAAAAATTTAAGTTGGGTGCGGTGGCTCACGCCTGTAATCCCAGCACTTTGGGAGGCCTAGGTGGGCAGATCACCTGAGGTTGGGAGTTCGAGACCAGCCTGACCAACACAGAGAAACCCTGTTTCCACTAAAAATACAAAATTAGCCAGGCGTGGTGGTGGGCGCCTGTAATCCTAGCTACTTGGGAGGCTGAGGCAGGAGAATTGCTCGAACCCAGGAGGCAGAGGTTGTGGTAAGCCAAGATCGCGCCATTGCACTCCAGCCTAGGCAACAAGAGCAAAACTCTGTCTCAAAAAAAAAAAAAAGAAAAGAAAAAAATTTTCAAAAGGACTACAGGCATGGTGGCACACACATGTAGTGCAGCTACTCGGGAGGCTGAGGTGTGAGGATTGCTTGAGGCCAGGAGTCAGAGGTTACAGTGAGCTATGACTGCAGCACTGTATTCCAGCCTGGGCAACAGAGTGAGACCCTGTCTCAAACAAATAAATTAATTAATTAAAAATAAAATACAATCCTCACACATACACCAAATAGACGGAATGATTGGCCACATTTTGATCTTTTCTATCAAATCCACATATGCAAATAACAATTGCATCCAGAAGGGGCATCATTAACATAAACAAGTAGAAAGGGCCTCTATACACAGCCCAGGATATGAAGGGAAGTGTCAATATCAGTACCACCTCTGCTCTGTTCAGACAGGGATGGGTCATCCTGACTTTCTTCACCAGTAATCAAGACTTCGCCAGTGTTTATCCTAGAATATTGTGATTTCTATGTGGAATATTTAAATTGTGTAGGTTTAAACTTCTAACTGGATTTCACAAACTTTTTTTTTTTTTGAAAGAGAGATGGTGGAAAGAGTGAAAATGGATCTGTGATATTCTACCCAGATTCGGAGAAACACAAGTTTAGGGTATACAAATCCCGATCAGATTTCTCTAGACCCTCTGCTAGCGTCAGAGACTCAAGTCTCTGCTCCCCACATCCTTGCCTTCCACGTCTGCCCTTTTAAAACCCTTTCAAGGAACACTGACCTGGCTCAGACAAAGTTGGCCTTTACAAGGGCGACCATGGGTAATGCTGACGGCATTCTTCAGAGAGGGCTGCCTGAGCTACCCAGGTGATGGGAGCAAGTGGGGTTGTCACCCAGGGACTAGGACCAAACACTTGAAACCTGCTGTGTCCCCGTCCTGGGACCACTTGAGGACCGGCCTCCCAGGCAACAGAGAGGCTGCATTCCACCACGTGGTGCTGCCTTCTGCTGCCAACCATGGCCCCCAAAGCACAACTTGTTTCATTTCTTTTCCCCTAAAGTAAAGCAATTCATTTTATTCTTGAATTGTTCTACACACACAAAAAGGTCATCTCTTTTTTTGTCCTCAAAAAGTGTAAGTTTATTATTATTTTTTAAATTTGTTGTTTCTATCGGTTATTGGGGAACAGGTGGTGTTTGGTCACGAGTAAGTTCTGTAGCGGTGATTTGTGAGATTTTGGTGCACCCATCACCCGAGAAGTGTACACTGTACCCTATTTATAGTCTTTTATCCCTCACCCCCTTCCCATTCTTTCCCCAAGTTCCCAAAGTCCACTGTGTCCTTCTTATGCCTTTGTATCCACATAGCTTAGCTCCCACTTATGAGTGAGAATATACAATGTTTGGTTTTCCATTCCTGAGTTACTTCACTTAGAATAATAGTCTCCAATCTCATCTGGGTCTCTGTGAATGCCATTAATTCATTCCTTTCTATGGCTGCATAGCATTCCATCGTATATATACCACAGCTTCTTTATCCACTCATTGATTGATGGGCATTTGGGTTGGTTCCACATTGATGGGCATTTGGGTTGGTTCCACATGAATGCTTATCTTACCATGCTAAATGCTAACATAAGGCTGGGCGCAGTGGCTCACACCTGTAATTCCAGAACTTTAGGAGGCCGCAGTGGGCAGATCATCTGAGATCAGGAGTTTGAGACCAGCCTGGCCAACGTGGTGAAACCCTGTCTCTACTAAAAATACAAAAATTAGCTGAGTGTGGTGCTGGGCACCTGTAATCCCAGCTACTCGGGAGATGAGGCAGGAGAATCACTTGAACCCGGTAGGCAGAGGCTACAGTGAGCCAAGATTGCTTTATTGCACTCCAGCCTGGACAACAAGAGCAAAATTCCATGTCAAAAACAAACAAATAATAAACAAACAAACAAACAAATAAATAAATAAATGCTAACATAAGCATTTTGCAAAATATAGGATAACTAACACTACAATTTTGGTTTCCTTTCTTGTTTCTATTTTTAGTTAAACTAAAAAAAATTTGGTTTTCTTAGACTTCTGGGTGGCTATGTTGAAAATTTGTTTTTCAATCGTGGTAAAATATATGTATAATAAAATGTGCTATTTAACATTTCTAAGCGTACAATTAATTACATTCACAATGTTGAGCAACCGTCACCACTCTCCATTTCCAAAACTTTTTCATGACTTCAAAGGGCAAATTTAAGTCCCATAAATAGACTTAGGCTTAATTAAGCAGATGAAAGAAGAAGAAGCGAGCTGCAATGGGTGATCAAGGTGTTACGTTTACAAGGAACGTGAAACTCTGGGGTTTTTGAACTAAGTGATTAAGCCCACAGCTCAAAGCAAAACCCAGAATTAAAGCTCAAGTTCACATTCAAGGGAACATTAGTTAATTCACTTGGACCCACCGGTTCTGAATTTGCCCCATTTCTTCTGAATACCTCTCTCTTCTCTCGGTCATATCGATGGAAGGGCCTTCAGTTTTCCCCTTGTATTGAATTCCGGAGGGTCTCACTTGCCCAGTGCTTTCTGTTTTGTTTTGTTCTCAGGTTATTTTTTTTTTTCACAGAGAATACACTGCATCGAACACAGAACAAAAAGACTCACTACAACGCTGCAGCCACAATAGTGTGTGATTTCAAGTCTTAAAAACCAGAATCACTTTCTTCTCTGGACTGGAAGCATATTTATTTTGGCCGGTAAATGAGGACTTGTTCCCTGCCTGGGGTGGCGGGGCCGGGGAGAAGCTCTGTTCCGCTGGCTGTGGCGGCAGGCGGGCAGGCAGGTTCCAGTTTCCAGTTTGGCCCAATTCCTCCAAGCTAGCCCTGCTGTCACCTACGGAAAACAGAGAACCTGGGGGGATGTGCTGAAGGCAGCTCCTGAGCCTTCCCACTCCCCACACGCCCTCACATCAGCAGCAGAGCCCGGGGCTGACGGAGTGGGTTTCTCTGGGAAGGACTCTGCCCTTGGATAGATCTGTATCTATGGTAACAGTAAGATGTTTGTGTGAATAACTGAAAAAAAAAAAAAAGTCTTTCAAATCTCTTCTTCTAAACTGTCAAGGCATGTTATTTCCAGCTTCAAATATTATTTTTAATAAATACTTATTTTTCCCATGTAAACACTCAGGCAACTCTCTTTAGAACTTATATGTTCCCAGGGTGCATAATGGGAGGTGTTTCATTACACACGAGGGAAACATGCCGTGAGTCAGAGGAAAGAGTAAATTATGTAAGAAAAGTGTTGTGTGTGTGCCTGCGTGTGTGCGTGTCTGCCTGCGTGTGTGCCTGCGGTGGAGGGGGCGATGTGCCTGCGTGTGTGCCTGCGTGTGTGTGTGTGCCTGCGTGTGTACCTGCGTGTCTGCCTGCGTGTGTGCTTGCGGTGGCGGGGGCGGTGTGCCTGCGTGTGTGTGTGTGTGCCTGCGTGTGTACCTGCGTGTCTGCCTGCGTGTGTGCCTGCGGTGGCGGGGGCGGTGTGCCTGCGTGTGTGCCTGCGTGTGTGTGTGCGTGCGTGTCTGCCTGCGTGTGTGCCTGCGGTGGAGGGGGCGATGTGCCTGCGTGTGTGCGTGTGTGCGTGTCTGCCTGCGTGTGTGCCTGCGGTGGAGGGGGCGATGTGCCTGCGTGTGTACCTGCGTGTCTGCCTGCGTGTGTGCCTGCGGTGGAGGGGGCGATGTGCCTGCGTGTGTACCTGCGTGTGTGTGTGTGCCTGCGTGTGTGCCTGCGGTGGAGGGGGCGATGTGCCTGCGTGTGTACCTGCGTGTCTGCCTGCGTGTGTGCCTGCGGTGGCGGGGGCGGTGTGCCTGCGTGGTGGGCTCCCTGGAGTGATGGGCATTAGCCTTCTCATGACTGCCGCCTGGGAGACTGGTTATTCCAAAGGACCTGGCGCCCAACGCCAGCACGACCGAAGCCTTGAAGGCGAGCAGGCACCCTCCGCAGGAGTGGTCTTCCGCCCAGAGGGCCAGGAATGGCATCCTTGCATCCCAGTCATGCTGGTTCCCCAGACAAGGGCAGGGGTTCCAATTGGAATTTCTTCCTCCATCTAGGAAGAGAGGACTTTTGCGATTGGTATATTCGGACCGGAGTATACACTCACCCACATTCAGTCTGGGTGAAGTGGGAACACTGGAAGGCAGAGGGGGACTGCGTGGTTGGTTCACTTTCTGGGGTGCCAGGTAGAGTCCCCTCTACCCTGAAGGTGCCTGCCTGCACACAGCTCTTTGAGTTGGACATCACGGGAGGGAATCCTTTTTCCGGTGAGGCAGGGTCTCAAGACAAGCACATTCTTTCATTCTTTCGCACAGGTCCGATGGAGAAAGGGGGTGGGGCCCCAGGTTAAAATGTGCCGCTGAGTTACACAGAGAGGCAGAGGGTGCCATGAGCCCTGCCCAAAAGCTCATGGCTGAGTGCATGTAGATGATGGGTGATGTCTCCCTCCCCTGAAGTCCCATGGAACACACGTCCATTCCAGAGCACAGAGGAGGTGGGGTGGCCAGGGTGCGATGGGGCGGGAGAAGGTGTTGCCTGGAGTGGACTTAGGAAAGGTGGGAGGAGATGGAGCAGATGGCATTGAAGGGGAATTGTGAGAGAGCCGGGAAACGCGACGATGGTATTTACCTGGCCAGGGCACAGGGAGGCCTTTATCCTGCTGATATTAGTCTGCTCCCTGGACCCATATCCCCTCTTTCCAACTGCCTTAGTCTATTTTCAATTGCTTATAACAAAATACCTGAAACTGGATAATTTATAGGAAAGGGAATTTATTTCTTCCAGTTATGGAGGCCTCTGAGAAGTCCAAGCTGGAGGTGTGGCATCTGGTTAGGGCCTTCTTGCTACTGGGGACTCAATAGGGAACACCAAGGCAATGCAGGGCTCCACATGGAGAGGGGGCTGAGCATGTTAACATGGCAATGTGCTAGCTCAAGCCTCTTCCTCCTCTTCTAAAGCCACCTGTTCCCCTCCCGTTATAACCCATTAATCCATGAACCCACCAGTCCATGAAGGGATTCATCCATTCATGAGGGGGGTGCCCTCTTAAAGGCGCCACTTCTCAGTGCTGCCACATTGGGGATTAAGTTTCAACATGAGTTTTGGAGGGGACATTTAAGCAGGAACGCCTCTCTCCCTGCCTTGCTCCTGCCAAACTTGTAAAACATTGCAATCAACTCTGAGAAAAGGGATGGAGGCAGGGGACACGAAGATGTTTCTAAATGAGACGTCTTTCACAGTGGAGGGAGGTAGAGCAGAAGGGTTAGGACTCGGGCCCTGGGCCAGGCGGTCTCGTGCAAGCCCCGCCTCTCCCTTACTAGCAAAGTTGTGAGGACAGCGCCTGCACGCAACACTTGCTTACTAACTTGTAACTGTTATTACAGAAAGCGTGGAGCCAAACAGATGGCAGAGGCCCAAGGAAGAGCGCGCTAAACCCGAAGTAGATCTGATTTCACATCTTGACTTGGCGATTGTTTAGCTGGGTCAGGGTAAATGCCTCACTGTTCCTCGTCTGTAAATGAACACGGGTGCTGAGGTTGGGGTGAGCGCCTCACCGAGCCTCAGTTTCTCATCTGTAAAATGGACACCTGTGCGCGCCTCGCGGCAGGGGCTGCTGAGCACGCGGATGGGTCCTCTGGAGGCTGGGCCGCCAAGAGGCGGCGGCTGCACCATCTGATGCTAGAGAACGAGAACCGCAGTGCGTGCCCGACACAAAGGGAAGGACAGGGGACACTGGAACAGGGGAGACGACATGGAAGAAATCTGGGGGAGCCAAAAGCCGCCATGCCGAGAAGGGGGTCGGAGGAGGCGCGGGAGAGAAAAGCCCAGGGCTGTACACTCGCATCCCTCTGCTGCCGGCCCTTCGGGTACATTCAAATACTGGGCATGAGTCCCGCAGACAAGGCTTTGAAAGGATATTGTTCTCCCATAAATAGAAGTGAAGGTGCTGGAAGAGGCACGAGCAGGAAAATTATGGCTGGGCTGTGGACATCTATGGAGAAGACAGACTTGTGTGTCACTGTTGAGCAAAGGAGAGCCCTGCACACCTGCCCAGGGAGAAAGCACCCTGCCTTGGGCTACTTCTGGCTGCAGAGCCAGCCTGGCACATCCTGCAGTTCCTCCCGTCCAGACTCAGTAGCAATTTTGACGCCTCCTTTTTTTTTTTTTTTTTTTTTTTTTGAGACGGAGTCTCGCATGCCCGGCTAATGTTTTGTATTTTTAGTAGAGATGGGGTTTCACGGTGTTAGCCAGGATGGTCTCGATATCCTGACCCCGTGATCCGCCCGTCTCGGCCTCCCAAAGTGCTGGGATTACAGGAGTGAGCCACCGCGCCCGGCCGACGCCTCCATTTTTATAGGCACCTGAGCCCCCTGTTTTCTTTGCTTCCTTTCGCTCTAGAAAAAAATGTAAGCAATTTGAAGGCAGTCATCGTCCCTCACCCAGCTACACATTCATATACGTAGATGCAGAAACAGGTGTAACTTTAGGTTATAGGAGAAAGTACCTTCTAAATTTGCAGCAAGAGGCAGAAGCAGTCTTAAAAAGGGGGTTTGAGAAGCCAGCAGCTCAGTCTCAGGTTGTCTAGGGATCCCTTCCTGCCATGGTAGAAGCCTGAATTTTCAGATTTTCTCCAAGTATAAAGATAAAAAAGTAAATGAACCAAAACAGTTCAAAATTAAGTTGATATTATTTAAACACTTCATTATATATTCTGGTTTCTCTTCTGATTGCATAAAATCCAAAGGGAAATTCTTTGCCTTCTGGAAATGAATTTGTCCAAAGGAATCTCTAGCCTTGAATTTGTACCAAAAAAAAACACCCTAAAAACATATGAGTGATCAGCTGGCCCTGTTGGGGTCTTTCTGGCTGGAAGATGAATAAGGAAAGGCACATCTGACATTTCATTTCACTGACATTTTATTTTGTTCTCAGTCTTTTTTTCTGTTTCCTCAAGTACATTTTCTGCTATGATGCTGCAAACAGGCACCAGGATGAGTCAGACCCATTTAAGATTGTTGAGCCTCACAGGTTTAGCGATTTAATTACGTGTTTTGTGGGATTTGCAAGCTGCGTGCAATCTCCCCGCGTGCCTCAGGTCCACAAGTGGCAGTGGCCCTTGTCTCTCTCTGGTTTTGTTTGGTGGTACATCAGGCCAGTCTCTGGAAGCCCGGAATTGAGGATGCAAGCATGTTCATGCGCGTGGTGTAGGATCGACGGGGAAGGAAATCGCTGGAGACCTTCCGCTCCCTCCTCCACCTGGGGCTGGGCCGTGAAAACGTGAGTGGGATACAGTGAGGGTTTGTTGTGTGTGTTTGTTTTGTGAACATGTTGATTAAGGGTGCTGGCCAATCATATAGAAAGAAACATCTGGCAGGCACTTGGAAATGTGGAAGGGGTGTTCAGGGCAAAGGACCATCCAGTTCGCCAAGTCCACAGAGGCTGATCTTAACGGCAGTCTCCGTTACAAGATGCTGTTCAAGATGCTGTTCTAGATGCCAGAGATATTGCAGGAAGCAAACAAGTGCTTGGGACTCAGTTTCTAGATGGGGAGGCAGAGGGACCAAGGCAGCGACGCGTCTGTCAGCAGTGAGGTGCTAAGAGGTAGGAAGAGGGGCATGCAGAGGGGCAGGGAGTCAGGGAAGGTGGAAGGGGGATGGGAAGGGCATTGGAACAGGGGGAGGGCCCAAGGCTGTGGGGGAGAGGGCTTAGAGCAAGGGGACCTGTGGTGCTGCGGTCCCAAGAGCGGTGGTGACCAGTGCACGATGTCATGAAGATACTAAGAACTGCTGCACTGTAAACTTTAAAGTGGTAGATGTCATGGTATGTGAATTGTATCCCAACACAAAAAAGTGATTCATCATAAAATGGTTGAAAGCAGTTTAAAAATATTGAGTGATATAAATTTAAAAATTAAAACCTCTTGATTCCTTCACTGACTTCACCTTCCTCATTGCTAATTTCCAAAGGGAAATCATGTTACCACTGTGCAGAAACCTTCTAGGACCAGTAAAGTATATATGTGAGCATCTTTTTTTCTTTTTGGCAAAAATAGGATCAAACTTTAAGTGGTGTTTTGCAGCTCGCTTTGTTTAAGGGACAATAAACATCTCCATGTCAATTCAAGTGCCTAACTGTTAAAGAAGTGCCTAGTATCCCATTGTCTGGCAGTCCTATCGCTTACTTAAGCAGCCCTTTATCAATGGACACTTAAATGTTTCCAAAATTTTGCCATGAGACTCTGAACTGAATATGCTTGTGCCGGCATCTCTGTAAACTGATGCAAGCATCTGCGTTGCATGAATTCCTGGAAGTAAAACTGATGGGCCAAAGGACATGTGTGTTTTAGATCTTGATAAATATTGCCAAATGGCTTTCCAAAAACTGTTCCTAATGGACAGGGTCCCAGCGGTCAAGCAGGCCCCGTTTCCTCCTACCCTGCGGGCTGAAGTCTTCGTCCTCTGAAGAAGTCTCCAAGACCACTTGACTGGGGGTGATGGAGAAGGCAGGGTGTGGGGAGATGAGCCTCAGCCCATCATGGCTTGAGCTAGGATGGCTGTATTTTCATTTGGATATAAACTGTAATTCTGATAACAAGGTTTTTGAGCAAATAATTCTGCTTTAAAAAAAAATAAGAAAAATAGGCCGGGTGCGGTGGCTCACTCCTGTAATCCTAGCACTTTGGAGGCCGAGGAGGGCGGATCACCTGAGGTCAGGAGTTTAAGACCAACCTGGCCAACATGGTGAAACCCCATCTCTACTAAAAATACAAAAATTAGCCGGGCGTGGTGGCAGGTACCTGTAATCCCAGCTACTCAGGAGGCTGAGGCAGGAGAATCGCTTGAACCTGGGAGGTGGAGGTTGCAACGAGCTGAGATCGTGCCACTGCACTCCAGCCTGGGCAACAGAGCGAGACTCCATCTAAAAAAATAAATAAATAAAAAAAGTTTAAAAAATAAGAAGAAGAAAAAGAAAAAAACATGTTTGGAAACCATTAACAGGTTCTCCTAAAGCCATTTTCCCTCTCCCTTCCAGAGTCCCATTTAACCCTGCTGTGGCCTCCAAATGGCACCCAAGGAGCTTCATGCCAGCATTCACACCTGTGTAGCCCCATTTCACACCTAACAGAGAGGACCTGTGTTACCACAGGTAATGCAGAATGATGGTATTAAGGACATTGCAGCTTCCGCCTTGTGTGGTCTGATCTCCCATTCTGGAGTAAGATAGCACTGTGTCCTGAGGGCAGAGGGGCAGCCCTTTGAGACCCCAGGTGAGGCAGAGCCGGCCTGGAAGTCACCCTTAGGCCCTCAGCCTGACCCACACCATGCCTGCGGTCTCGTGGGAGACCTTGAGCCAGCACCACCCCGCTGAAGTGCTCCTGAATCTCAGCCTGCAGAAACTGTGTGAGATAACCTGTGTTGATTGTTGTCTAAGCCTCTAAAGGCCGGATGAGTGTTAGGCAACAATGGATAACTAGTAGACCTGGACTTGTGTGGTTCGGGGTCCTAGATGCTAAAAATCTGGTTTTATGCTTGGATTTAAACCTACCTCTGCCTCTGCCCCGTCGGAGGTCCTTGGCATTTCCTCCCGGGTTAGGACACCTAGCCCCAGGCATCTCCTCTCATGACCTTTACCAATGTGGTGACAGTTCAGATGAAGGTCCTTGGCATGAACAGGAGTTGTAAGGATGGATATAGTGACTCGGTGATTGAATACTAAACCCAAATTTAAAATAAACGTGGGTCATTTGGTCCTATAATCTTTGAAAAAGCAATTATGTATAACGGCAGAAGGTTTCAGCTGGATGTCAGATTATACGGATCTAAGAGTCAGTAGGAGGCCAGAAGAGTGGGAACTATTCTTTTCAATGTGATGGTGGGAAGCGAAAACAGAGGGCTCTTTTTTTGTTTCTTGGTTGGTTTGTTTACTAAGGCATGGAGAGGTGAGCTTGTGTTGTGGGAATAAGAGAAGGGATTCGTGGGAGGAGATTGAAAATGCAATCTAGAGAGGGTCATGGGTGGAGAGGGGTGCAGAAAGATGGGGGTCAGCTTGACTCTTGTGGTTTCCCTGAACTCTGCCTCATTCTAGAGATAACTGGGGTGAACTGGTGTCTCAGTGGGACTGTGGAATCCACAGGTGCAGAATGAGGTGCTTGTCCAGCTGAGGTGGGTCTTCCTGGAGTTGGAAGCATGGATGTACAGGAAGCCCTGTCACCAAGGCTGGCAATTCCACCTGAGGATCAACTCGAGAAGTGGCCATCAGAAACCTGTGACGATGAACCCGTGGCTCTCCTTTTGCCTGCTGCACCCCAAGTGTGGGGACTGTACTTGGCACACAATAGGCATTTAATGCACATTGAATGGATGAAGTCTGAATGTGGTTGCTCAGAGTTGGTGATTACCGAAGTCAGAATGGAGGGAGGTCAAGGGGCTGTGTCTTGAGGGAAGAAGGAAGAACCTCGTGGCAATGGCTGAACTGGGAATCCAGAGGTAAACTGATCCAGCATGGGGGAGGGAGGCTTAGGGTCTGGAGATGATTTAATAAGAGTAGCAGGGCCCGAGAGGGAGGCAGCAGGAATGTGGCTGGAGGAGCCTCCAGGAGCCCTCTGCCAGGGTCGTGAGAACCCATGGGCTGGGGCCAGGGAGATGAGAGGTGGAGGCTGGGACCATGGTGTCCTCTTCTTAATCAAAAGCTGATGCATTTTGTTTCCTCTTGAAGGTCTCAGAGTCCCCACAAATCCCTGCCTTGTTCACAACAGTTGGGGCTTTGTGCTTCTCTCTGAAATAAAACTTTTATCTTAAAAAAAGAAAAGAGAATGTATCCAATATAGTATATCATAATCACAGTATTGGGAACTTTCCCAACCCTGGTGGGAAGGAGGAGGAAGTCGTGGGTTCACTGGGGCACAGGAAAAAAATGCCAGAGATGTCCACCCCTAATTTTTTTCCTCTCCTCTTCTGGGTTTCTGTTGTAATGGATTGAAAATACACAGGAGATGTAATGCAAAACTTGGCTTTGATTTTTTTTTCCCACCTAACTCTTTAAAGGTTTGGAAAGATTTGATTACATGGCAGGGAAAGTAAAAATGTGGATGAGATATCCTGACGCTCAGGCCACATGACCAGGTGATAAGGCGTTCAGAGACTGCCAGCGGCAGCTGCTGGCTCAGGTGCGGCCTGTGTGGGAGGACTCGTGTCTCGGTGGTTACAGAGAAGCTGGCTTCCACGGTGTGAACCCGACTGAATCACAGGCCGCTTTTTTGTTCTCCCTCGGCCTTGGAGGGCCTGGGACGTTCCTGTTGCCCAACATCCTGGTGAGCTGAGAACATTCTGTAGATTAATTAGGTTCTCTCCTCTGGCTCAGCAGGTCTGTTCTAGCCATTTGACCAAAGGCTCTCTGATATTTTCTACCAGCCTTAGAACGACAGTCTGCAGATGTGTGCACATAAATGTCTGGGAGGAGCACACAGATACTGTGGGAGGAGTGGGTCCGGCGTAGCTATTGGGAGATCTCGCTCGTACACATGGCGCTACATAGAAAGAATGCCCTGAGGTGAAGGTGACAGCTCGGCAGTTTCTTAATACCCTGAACTTGAGCGTGGCCTGCGCTAGAGAAAATACACGGTGCTTCTTAAAAACAAAAGCCAGCAGCCTGCAAGAGGGCTGTGCCTGCGAGTTCCTGGGAGCAGGAGGGGGCTGTTCCTCCGCCCCTGGCTCCAGTTTCACCCAAGTCACTTCACAGCAGTTGGAAGGAGGTCACCAATTGTTGAGTGTAGGCGGGGGGCGGGGAGGGAGAGGAAGAGGGATGAAAAGGGAAGGCCCGGGTCAGCTGGGAGAGGAGCTCGCGGGCTTTCCGGCGGGCTGGCCTGAAGTGGAAGGGCCCAGGGCTGCCTGCCACCCTCAGATGCCACGCAGGTGTTGGGAGGGCACCCGTCTGTGGGCTCAGGGACGTGTTCCCACCGACAGGCACAGAACGGAAAGCACCTTGGGGGAGACGCCCTTCTCCCCATCTCAGGAGGGAGGCCGGGCCTGCAGACCTCCAGCCCTTCCCCAGCGCTCGCTGTGAGCTCCCCCCCCCCACCCGCCCCCCACGTGCTGGGGAGCAGGTCCGTTTCCCCACCAGTTTGCCTCTGGTCTTTGTGTTTGCTCTGAGGCCAGGCGCGCCCCCTGCTGCAGGCCTGGGCTCCTGTGTGGAGTTCTCCTTTCAGATGTTGCTAAAATGTCTTGAAAGGCTGCGGCCACACCAACAGACGTCGTCCGGCCTTCTTCACACGCAACGAAGCGCCCAGGTGGAAATGCATGTACCCGCGGCAGCTTCTCGGCAGCGGGCTTCCTGGGACGGAAGACACAGGCTCGCCCGAGGGAGACGGAAGCAGGGGATCTGCTAGAACTCAGCTCGCCTCCTCCTTTCTCAGCAGGGCAGAGAATCATGGGCTTGTGCTGACGAAAGCTCCAGAAAATGGACTCATTTAACCTTTCCAAAGATATTATCCAAGCTGCAAAATCTTGGCAATCTGAAGACCTTTTAAGTCGATATACCAAAGAGCTTTAGTCAGGATTGAATGCAAAATGCCAAAATTTCACTTTTAAAATCATCGTAACATCTAAATACAACCTAAGCACACTTGTAAACTGATGCCGAACAGGCACTTGGAGAGCCCTCCCTGCACCCCTTCCTCGCCCCCTCCTTTGTGCAAATGCTGTTTGCCCAGAACTTCAGCCACTGAAAATCCTGGGAACTTTCTCTTCCTGGCTGCCAACCTAGCAGTTTGGACTCACAGACGAGATTTTTAAATCACTGAGGGATTTAAGCCTCTCTGTGTCACAGAAAAGCGAACACCCTCCCAGTTGAAGGTGGCCCCAAAGATGCGGGCCTGGGACCCAGGACTTCTGCAGGAGAGTGGACGCCTGGGTGCCCCCCGCCTTGCCCTGCACATGGTAGGTGCTCAATAATTACACAATAAATATTCACACAAAGCAGTGATTCTGCCGAAGAGATCCACTGCAATGCACCTGGCTTCCTAGAAGCAATAAATGAAAAGCTTTTCTATTTTTTTAAGAAAAGAAAAGATTAATGAAGCCCTGACGTAGAGGCAGAGAGCTCAACAGAATCCAGTGACTCAAGGCGTGCGCAGAAGCAATTTGCTTCTGAAACTCTAAACACCGTTCTTTAGTACTTCCTGACACTCCTCAGCAGCAAGCAAATAAATATTTACATGTGGAAGGAGACTGTCCTTTGAAATGTAGGTTGTTCCATTCAGAAGAGAAATACGGCAAGGTGCCACTACTTTAGTGGCAACACGCGTTATTATTTATGTTTTCCAGTTTGAAAATCGTGCACTTTCTATCAGGACCCTTAAATGGTAAACACTGATTCCCACGTGAAGCGAATTAGTCCAGCAGCCACCCCCCCCTTGGTGGTTCAGGGACAACAGCATAAGCTTTGACAAATCACCCTTTGTTTTATGCTTTGATTACCTGGTGAGCTAAAAACAATGATAGTAAAAGCCTGGACCTGCCATGTATTCAGTCTGCATTTGTTACTCTCCCCTTTCTTCCATTTATGAGTTTGTTCCCAAAAGATTTTTTTAAAAAAATTCTGACTTGAGTAACTTTTCCTCTGATCTGATCTGTTGTCAAATTAGTGGGTGGCAGGAGAAAGCCAGTCACATGATATCATCGTTTCCTATTCAAACAGACGGCTTTTTTTTTTTCAGTAAAAATACTCGACTGCAAGACTATGAGTGTGCAGATAATTCTGCTGCTTACTCCGATTGGAGGTGTCTCCAGGGAGTTTCCAAGCACAGGAAGCATTCCTGCTCTGAGGTTTCGGAAGAACACTTTCAGCAGGATTTTGGGTCACTGAAATGAAAGTGAACTATGCTCTGTACAAATGTATCATGTTTAATTCAGGAGAAATTCATGCATTTCTTTGTTCTATAAATATTTACTGGCAGCTCGTTTTGTATAGGAGGCTGCCACCTCCCAAAAGCCCCCTGCTCCTCGAGTGGGTTGAGCCTGAAACCCCACATCCACAGACGTGCCCAGCGGCCTTGGGTGCTCAACACAGGCTCGTTCAGGTACGACCAGATAACGGGGCATACCTGGTCCCAGAGTTCAAGGGCTTGTCTTATTTTATTTTAAACATCAGACTCTAACTGCTTGTTTAATCTAAATGTTAGCAATCAACCTACAGCCACCTGAAATATGTGAGTGGTGTTTAACAGATGATAAAGATCATATATTACTTGCATGGAAAGAATGTAGAAATATAGGTGTCCCTTTTAGTCTTTAGTGTGTCCCCATAATCAATGTCCCCAGCTCATTAATGAAAAGGTCCCCTCCTCCTCCCCCATCGCTGCCCTCATTCCTATAATGTAAACAGCCACCAATGGCTCCTATTTCTTTGTTCAAACAAACAATAGCCTTATAACGAAGAAGAAAATTAGTATCAGGTGAAAGCCTCACTTCAGGGTGCTTATGGCTTTTTCTTTTTTCAGAATAACAGAGTACACCAGTCATCATAAGAAGAAAAATTCACATTTAAAGTTTGGAAAGCAACAGGACAAAGGTCTGTCTTCAGTGGTGCGTAGACATGCTCGTGATTGAATTGGAAATAGTTCTCTTTCCTTCTCTCTGACTTCCTAACTGAAAAGCTGCAGCGTGGGGAGAAAGGCTGCTCAGAAGCCTGGAGCCAGAACACGCACCCCGGCTTTTGCAGGGCCGGCTCACTTGGTTAGAATCAAAGGAAAAGCCTTGTTATTTGGGAAGCTGGGCGTCCTCACCAAATTAGGGGATTTAATTTGCAGATATCTAAGGAGTGCTTTGAAATGAAAGATGAACTAAAATCTGCTCTGAGGCCCGTGATTTTTCACCAGTGAAGGACTCTCTTGCTGCTGGACATACATGAAAAGCATCATCTGATCTGAAACGCAAGTCCCTGCAAGACAGAGGAGAGACTTTATAAACATTTTATACCATTCTATGAAATCAATTCGATTCAGGGCTAGAATTCAAGAAGTAATCCATGGGCAAGTATATCTGATGGTAAACCCAAACGATTATATTGTTAACCTCTTGTACTTTTTTTAATTTTTTATTATTTGATATTATTATCACAAAAGTCGCTGGAACAGGATCCATGAGCTGCTTCTTCACTGCTTAGTGTTTTCAGAAGCTGATGGATTATTAAGCTCCAATTGAATACTTGATTTCCAATGATTCCATTAATTTTTCTGGTTTGTGGTAGGATTTGATTTACTTATTTTGTACTTTAACACACCAATAAAAAATAGATACTAAGAAATAGTGAAATTTGTTGCTTCAAAATAACCCTTAAAATTTAGAGTTTAGTGAAATTAAGCAATTCAAATAGAGAAACGATTATCCTTCATTTCCTTAAGGCACAGAAATTGAGACTAGGTTCAAGAACCTTCATATTTTAAAAACTGGAAAATACTGGCTAAGTGAGGACTGGGCGGTCATCCTCCACACATGCTCTGTGTGCTTGGAGCGAAGAGGGGAACGCACTGAATGAGATGAACTGGAAGGAGGTGCAGCAGCGAAGGAAATCCTTCTGTTGGGAGAGTTCACGTGTTTAGGATAATCCTTCGAATAGGACGCAACAGTGATGTGAGGAGAAGCTTTGGAGCTGATTTAGATTGAGACAGTCTATCACAGGCTGTTTGGTTGCATCCCTTTGGGGCCAGTCTCATTTTAGGTCTAAATATGCAGGAATGGGGCTCTGGCTTCCAGAAGTTTCAGGCTGCAAAAGGCTGGGGCCACCATCTTTACAGATAATCCATTAGTTTGATTCTCTTGGGGGCCAGGAAGAAAACCAAGAACACTCAATGGACTATGGGACTCAAATAATCCACAGGAGGCGTTTGTAAAGGGGCAAAACTGTGTGTGCCCAGTAATTCTTGGAGCTCGCAATAGAGGTGGAGAAGCAGTGATGGGCCCCACAGCAGCAGGGGCTTGGGAATGACGGAAAAGAACAAAATGATGGAAGGACAGCTGGAAGAAACAGGGAAGCTTCCTTTTAACTGGATGCTGGGTCTCAGCCTTGAATAGTTCCTGGCCTTCGGAGGCCTTTTCTCAGGGAGCATGGCCTGGGGACTCCCTGCTTGCTCTGCTGAGCTTTCAGGGAAGGAGAAATGGGCAAGGCCAGAGGCGACCATCAGGTGCTCCGTAGGCACAGAGGCAGAACTCAAGGTTTAGCTTTACCTTAAGAGGGTGACTGCAAAGTGTGCTCCCTGGACCAGGGGCCTCGGCCTCACCTGGGAGCTTGCTAAAAATGCAAGTTGCTCTCACCCAGACTGAATCTAAAATTCTGGGTACAGCCCAGCAATCTCTGCTCACACTTTCTCCAGATGATTCTGGTGCAAGCTAACCTTTCAAAAGTCCTGGGTCCCATTCCCAGAGGCTGTGATTAAGTTGGTCTAGGGCTGTGGCCTAGACCTGGGGATTTTGGAAGCCCACAGGTGATTCTGTTGTGCAGCCATGGTTGGCAGGCTGTTCACGGTGCTGTTCAACAGGTCCTGCTGTGGGATGGAAAGGGTCTGTATCTGCACTGGCCAATGTGGGAGCCAGCCCTGTGGCTATTGAGCACTTGGCCCCTGGCTAGTGCAACTGAGGAGCTGAATTTTTCATTTCATTTACTTTTAATTAAGTTTAAATAGCTAAATGTGGCTATTGTCTGCCTTATTGGATAGCAGAGTTCTAGAACCACAGATAAATGTAATACTGTCCCTTTAGTTGATTTAAAAATCCAATGCCTCTGTAATCCTAGCACTTTGGGAGGCCAAGGTGGGCTGATCACGAGGTCAAGAGATCGAGACCATTCTTGCCAACATGGTGAAACCCCGTCTCTACTAAAAATACAAAAATTAGCCGGGCATGGTGGCAGGCACCTGTAATCCCAGCTACTCGGGAGGCTGAGGCAGGAGAATCACTTGAACCCACGAGGCGGAGCTTGCAGTGAGCCAAGATTGCACCACTGCACTCCAGCCTGGTGACAGACGGAGATTCTGTCTCAAAAAAAAATGCCTCACAGAGTTAAATATTTAAGTTGATAAGAAAAATGGTAGTCGAGTCTTTGAGGATTATTTTAAAATCCACTTTTGGTGATAAATAGATAAAAACAGTGTGGTAGGGCCCAGAAGTTCTTCCTGATTTCTACCTGTTGGAGCTGAATTCCTCAATTTTACTTGTAGGAGAACGGCTTCCTAAAGGGCACCTTACCCAGCCATTCCTGCATGCAAGTGTGTATGAGAACTGCAGGGGGCATTATATGAAAATCCAATTCCTGGGCTCTATCCCAGATGTTCCTATCCAATAGGTCTGGGTTGGGGCCCTGGAAACTGCATTTTTGGCAAACCCCTTACTGATTTGGATGCACAAGTTTCAAGGAACAGGCACTAAGGATCGCTGATGTAGAATCTGTTTGTCCATCCAGGAAAGCCAGAGTCACCACACTTGAGTAAATGGGTTTTGATGTAGGAAAGGTCTTTATAATTCTTTCATGAATTCACCAAACTTTAAAAACTGTACTATTTTTGGCTGGGCTTGGTGGCTCACGCCTGTAATCTCAGCACTTTGGGGGCCAAGGCGGGTGGATCATGAGGTCAGGAGATCGAGACCATCCTGGCTAACACGGTGAAAACCTGTCTCTACGAAAAATACAAAAAAAAAAAATTAGCCGGGCGTGGTGGCGGGTGCCTGTAGTCCCAGCTACTCAGGAGGCTGAGGCAGGAGAATGGCGTGAACCCGGGAGGCGGAGCTTGCAGTGAGCCGAGTTCGCACCACTGCACTCCAGCCTGGGTGACAGAGCGAGACTCTGCCTCAAAAAAAAAAAAAAAAGCGGTAGTATTTTCAAGACTGTGCTAAGCTGGAGGAGAAATCGGTGAACAGGGTTCAGTGCCTCCCTTTAACTAATAACATAAATACACTTCGTGTTGCTGTGTAGTTAATATTCGCAGCTGCTGAAGGTGCTGCAATTCACCGGGTGACTGCTGAAAACTCCAATCAGTGCCTGACTTATGTTCCTTTCCACACTGCACAGGAAGGGCCTTTTTGGGTAGTGTCTACAGCTGTTAACTGTTTGTGGGCTCAGCCTTCAGATGCTGTGTTACAGAAAGCCCTTACCGCAATCCTAAATGCTGCTTCTTTTATTAATGGTACTGTCATTTATTTAGGGCCTCCTGTATGTTAGGCAATCCACAAACATTGCACATAGCATGAATGTATTGTTCAAACTGAAATATTTTTGAAAGTAAATGGGGACAAATTAAAAATTCTTTCAGGACAGCAAAACTGTGGGACACACTGGGAGGTACTGTCACCTTAATTAGACATCATCATTACTGGGGGAATGAGAATTATGAGGTCACACAGCTAGGAAGGGGCCAAGGCCCCAGCATAGGTCTGTCTAATTCTATCCTGGGTTGAATTCTGTGCCCCAAAATTCATGTCTACCCAGAAACTCATAATTTGACCTTATTTGGAAATACGGTCTTTGAAGACATAATTAATTAAGATGAGGTCATATTGTCCACTGCCTGGCTAAGTATTGAAGGTGTGTCCCAACCTGCACAGGGTCCATTGGCAAAACCTGGGAGACTTACCGATTCCAAGTAGTTAAGGAAATCTCTAATTATTAGCTGATTTCTAAGCTAACTAAGGAGAGACTTCAGTGGCTATACATGACAAAGAATAGAGACTTTACAGAATTAGTTCAGAAAAGTCACTAAAGAAACAATTAGCTATACCTATAACAAACAACAACAAATCCTCAAGAGGGGAAAAATATTTCCAGAATTGTCACATTATATTATCTAAAATACCTAGTTTTAAATACAAAATTATGAGACATGCAAAGAAACAAGAAAATATTACTCATTCACAGGATAGGAACTGTCCCTGAGGAAGCTTAGACATTGGGCTTACTCAACAAAAACTTTGAATCAGCTATTTTAAATAGATTCAAAGAACTAAAGAAAACCATGTCTAAAGGTCTAAGGAAGGGATGATAATGCTGTTTCAAGAAACAGAGAATATTAAAAGTGACATATAAATTATAAAGAAGAATCAAATAGAAATTCTGGAGTTAAAAAGTACAGTAATGGAAATACAAAATTTGCCAAAAGAAAGTCTTAACAGCATACTTGAGCAACAAAAGAAGCAAATTTGAAGGTATGTCTATAGAGATTACATAGCCAGAAGAAAAGAAATTAAAAGAATAAAGAAAAGACAAGGAGCCTCAGAGACCTGTGTGACAACTTTAAGCATAAAAATATATGCATAATGGGAATCCAAGAAGGAGTAAAGAGAAAGAGGCTGAATGAATATTGGAATAAATAATGACCAAAATCTTCCCAAACCGGTTGAAAGACATAAATCTGTACATCCAAGAAGTTTGATAAACTCCAAGTAGAATAAACTCAAACAGATCCACATCAAGACACATCATAATGAAACTTTCAAAAGATAAAGACAAAGAGAGAATCTTGAAAGCAGCAAGAGAGAAGCAACTCCTCATGTATAAGCAATTCTCAATAAAATTTATAGCTCATTTCTCATCAGAAGGAAATCCTTCAGGGTAAGATGAAGGTATCCTAGAAAATAAATTGAATCCACACAAAGAATAAAAGAACACTGATAAAAGTATCTACAAAAGTAAACATATAAGACAGTTATTAATGTAATTTTTGTTTGTAACTTCTCTCTTTTTTTTCTTTATTTTGTATTTCAATAGGTTTTTGGGGAACAAGTGGTGTTCGGTTACATGAATAAGTTCATTAGTGGTGATTTCTGAGATTTTGAAGCATCCATCACCGAAGCAGCATACACTGTACCCAATGTGTAGTGTTTTATCCATCATCCCCTCCCACCCTTTCCCCTGAGTCCCCAAAGTCCATTGTATTATTATTATTTGTACTTTAAGTTCTGGGATACATGTGCAGAATGTGCAGGTTTTTTACATAGGTATACATGTGCCACAGTGGTTTGCTGCACCCACCAACCTATCATCTAGGTTTTAAGCCCCACATGCATTAGGTATTTCTCCTAATGTTGTCCCTCTCCTAGGCCCCCCATCCCCTGACAGGCCGCAGTGTGTGATGTTCCCCCCCTGTGTCCATGTGTTCTCACTGTTCAGCTCCCACTTATGAGTGAGAACATACGGTGTTTGGTTTTCTGTTCCTGTGTTAGTTTGCTGAGAATGATGGTTTCCACCTTCATCCATGTCCCTGCAAAGGACATGAACTCATTCTTTTTTATGGCTGCATAGTATTCCATAGTGTATATGTGCCATTGTATTATTCTTATGCTTTTACATCCTCATAGTTTAGCTCCCACTTATGAGTGAGAACATACCATGTTTGGTTTTCCATTTCTGAGTCACTTCACTTAGAATAAGGGTCTCCAATTCTATCCAAGTTGTTGTGAATGCCATTATTTCATTCCTTTTTATGGCTGAGTAGTATTCCATGGTGTGTGTGTGTGTGTGTGTGTGTGTGTGTGTGTGTATCACATTTTCTTTATTCATTTGTTGATGGATGGACATGTGGGCTGGTTCCATATTTTTGCAATTGCAAATTGTGCTGCTATAAACATGGCATGTGTAAGTTTCTTATAAGGACTTTTTCCCTTTGGGTAGATACCTAGTACTGGGATTGCTGGATCAAACAGTGGGTCTACTTTTAGCTCTTTAAGGAATCACCACACTGTTTTCCATAATGGTTGTACTAGTTTATATTCCCACCAACGGTGTAAAAGTGTTCCCTTTCTACCACATCCATGTCAACATCTATTATTTTTTGAATTTTGAGTATAGCCATTCTTGCAGGAGTGGGGTGGTACCACATTGTGGTTTTGATTTGCATTTCCCTGATAATTAGTGATGTTAAGCATTTTTCCATATGCTTATTGGCCATTTGTATATCTTTGAGAATCTCACTTTTTGATGGGATTGTTTTTTTCTTGCTGATTTGTTTGAGCTCTTTGTAGCTTCTGGATATTAGTCCTTTGTGAGATATATAGATTGTGAAGATTTTCTCCCATTCTGTGGGTTGCCTGTTAACTGTGCTGATTATTTGTTTTGCTGTTGCAGAAGCTTTTTAGTTTAATTAAGTCCCATCTATTTATCTTTGCTTTTGTTGCATTTGCATTTGGGTTCTTGGTCATGAAGTCTTTGCCTAAGTCAAGGTCTAGAAGGGTTTTTCCAATGTTATCTTCTAGAATTTTTATGATTTCAGGTCTTAGATTTAAGTCTTTGATCTATCTTGAGTTGATTTTTGTACAAGGTGAGAGATGAGGATCCAGTTTCATTCTTCTACATATGGCTTGCCATGTACTTCAGCACCATTTTTTGAATAGGGTGTCCTTGCCCAGCTTTATGTTTTTGTTTGCTTTTTCAAAGATCAGTTGGCTCTAAGTATTTGGCTTTATTTCTGGGGTTTCCTATTCTATTCCATTGCTCTATATGCCTATTTTTATACCAGTACCATGCTGTTTTGGTGACTATGGCCTTATAGTATAGTTTGAAGTCGGATATGTGATGCCTCCAGATTTGTTCTTTTTGCTTAGTTTTGCTTTGGCTTTGCGGGCTCTGTTTTGGTTCCATATAAATTTTAGGATTTTTTTTCTAGTTCTGTGAAGAATGATGGTGGTATCTTGATGGGAATTGCACTGAATTTGTAGATTGCTTTTGGCAGTATGGTCATTTTCACAATATTGATTCTACCCATCCGTGAGCATGGAATGTGTTTCCATTTGTTTGTGCCATCTATTATTTCTTTCAGCAGTGTTTTGTAGTTTTCCTTGTAGAGGTCTTTCACTTCCTTGGTTAGCTATATTCCTAAGTATATTATTATTATTATTATTATTATTATTATTATTTTGCAGCTATTGTAAAAGGGGGTGAGTTCTTGATTTGATTCTCAGCTTGGTCACTGCTGGTGTACAGCAGAGCTACTGATTTGCGTATATTAATTTTGTTTTTGTTTGTTTGTTTTTGTTTTTGTTTGAGATGGAGTCTCACTGTTGCCCAGGATGGAGTGCAGTAGCACAATCTTGGCTCACTGCAGCCTCTGCCACGCAGGTTCCAGTAATTCTCCTGTCTCAGCCTCCCAGGTAGCTGGGATTACAGGCATGCACCACCACGCCTGGCTAATTTTTGTATTTTTAGTAGAGATGGGGTTTCACCATATTAGCCAGGCTGGTCTTGAACTCCTGACCTAAGGTGATCCTCCCGCCTCGGCCTCGCAAAGTGCTAGGATTATAGGCATGACCCACCGTGCCTGGTCTGATATGTATATATTAATTTTGTATCCTGAATCTTTGCTGAATTAATTTACCAGTTCTAGGAACTTTTTGGATGAGTATTTAGGGTTTTCTAGGTATACAATTATATCATTATCAGTGACAGTTTGATTTCCTCTTTACCAATTTGGATGCCCTTGATTTCTTTCTCTTGTCTGATTGCCCTGGCTAGGGCTTCCGTTACTATGTTGAATAGAAGTGGTGAAAGTGGGCATCCTTGTCTTGTTCCAGTTCTCAGAGGGAACGCTTTCAACTTTTCCCCGTTCAATATAATGTTGGCTGTGGGTTTGTCATAAATGGCTTTTATTACCTTAAGGTATGTCCCTTCTACGCCAGTTTTGCTGAGGGTTTTAATTATAAAGCGATGCTGGATTTTGTCAAATGGTTTTTCTGCATCTATTGAGGTGATCATGTGATTTTTAATAACTTCGCTTTTTTTTCTATCTGATTTAAAAGGCAACTGTATAAAACAAAATTTATAAATCTATTTTTGATGGGCACTTAAGGTATAAAGATATTTTGTGACAATAGCAGCATGGAGAGCAGAGCTATAAAGAAACAAAGTTTTTATATTTAGTTGAAATCAAGTTGGTATGAATCCAAACTAGATTTTCAGAAATCAAGATGCTAATTTTAATCCCCAGGGCGACTACTTAGAAAATAACTCACAAATATAAGTAAAAGAAACAAACAGGCCAGGCGCAATGGCTCACGCCTGTAATCCCAGCAATTTGGGAGGCCGAGGCGGGTGGATCACCTGAGGTCAGGAGTTCAAGACCAGCCTGACCAACATGGAGAAACCCCATCTCTACTAAAAATACAAAATTATCCAGGCATGATGGTGCATGCCTGTAATCTGAGCTACTCAGGAGGCTGAGACAGGAGAATTGCTTGAACCCGGGAGGCAGAGGTTGCAATGAGCCGAGATCACGCCATTGCACTTTAGCCTGGGCAACAAGAGCGAAACTCTGTCTCAAAAAAAAAAAAGAAAAAAAAAATTAGCCGGGCGTGGTGGCACGTGCCTGTAGTCCCAGCTACTCAGGAGGCTGAGGCAGGAGAATCATTTGAACCCGGGAGGTGGAGGTTGCAGTGAGCCCAGATCATGCCACTGCACTGCAGCCTGGGTGACAGAGCGAGACTCCGTCTCAAAAAAAAAAAAAAAAAAAAAACAAGGAAACATCCTTCATTATCAGTAATTATATTAAATGCAAATGAATTAAATTCTACAATAATTCTACAATGAAAAGGCAGAGATTTGCCGCATGGATTTAAAAAACTACTTGATCCAAGTATATGCTCTTCACAAAAGACACTTTCTTTTTTTTCTTTTAAGTTCTGGGGTACATGTGCAGGATGTGCAGGTTTGTTACCGTAGGTAAATGTGTGCCATGGTGACTTGCTGCACCTATCAATCCATCACTTAGGTATTAAGCCCAGCATGCATTAGCTATTTTTCTTGATGCTCTCCCTCCTCCCCACAGCTCCGGACAGGCCTTAGTGTGTGTTGTTCCCCTCCCTGTGTCTATGTGTTCATGTTGTTCAGCTCCTGCTTATAAGTAAGAACATGCCATGTTTGGTTTTCTGTTCCTGCATTAGTTTGCTGAGGATAATGCCTTCCAGCTCCATCCATGTCCCTGCAAAGGACATTATCTCATTCCTTTTTACGGCTGCATAGTATTCCATGGTGTATATGTACCATGTTTTCTTTATCCAGTCTATCATTAATGGACATTTGGATTGATTCCATGTACAAAAGACACTTTCAATTCAAAGACATAAGTAGGTTGAAAGTCAAATAATGGAAAAAAATATTCCTTGCAAACAGTAACCAAAAGAGAGCTGGAGGGCTATACTAACACTAGGCAAAAAAGACTTTATGACAAGAATTGTTATAAGAGATAAAAGAGTCACTCCATTAAGAAGATATGACAATTAGGAACATATATGCACCTGCAAACAGAGCCTCCAAAATACGTAAAGTTATGAGATAATTGAAAAGAGAAAGAGTTCAACAATAATATTTATTTGAAGATTTCAATATACCCCTTTCAATAATGGATAGAACAACTAAACAGAAGATCATCAAGGAAACAGAAGACTTGAAAAAATTATAAACCTACTAGACCTAATAGACATTTATAGGACACTCCACTCAACAACAGCAGAATGCCCATTCTTCTCAATTATACATGGAGCATTCTCCAGGATAGACCATATGTTATGACATAAGTCTTTATAAATTCACGTCATACAAAGTATCTTCTCCAACCCAATGGAATAAAACTAGAAATTAATAATAGAAGAAAAACTGGAAAATTCACAATATGTGGAAATTAAACAACACACCTAAACAATCAATGGATCAAAGAAGAAATCACAAAGGAAATTAGAGAATATTTGGAGATGTATGAAAGCAAAAACACACAATACCAAAACCATGGGAAGCAGTATTTAGAGAAACATTTATAGTTGTAAAATTCTGCATTTGAAAAGAATAAATATCTCAAATCAATAACCTAGCTTTGTACGTTAAGGAACTAGAAAAAGAAGAGCAGGCAGGGCATGGTGGCTCACACCTGTAATCCCAGCACTTTAGGAGGCTGAGGCAGGCGGATCACAAGGAGGCAGAGGTTGCAGTGAGCCGAGATTGCGCCACTGCACTCCAGCCTAGGCAACAGAGCAAGACTCTGTCTCAAATAAATAAATAAATAAATAAAGGAAAAGAAGAGCAAACTGAAACCCAAAACAAGCAAAAGAAGTAAACAATAAAGATTAGACTAGTGATAACAAAGTAGACAATAGAAAAATGAGAAAAGAAGTGAAACCAAAAATTGGCTCTTTGAAAAAAAAAAAAATCAACAAAATTGACAGACCTTTAGCTAGTCTGACCAAGAAAACAGTGAGAAGATTCAAATAACTAAAATTAGGAATGGAAGCAGGGACATTGCTACCAACTTCACAGGAAAAAAATGAATAAGACTATAATAATTGTATGCTACTAGGATTTGGATGTGGTTTGTTCTTACCAAAACTTGTGTTGAAATTTCCTTCCCCATATGGCAGTGTTGAGGGGTGAAGTCTAGTGAAAATGTTTGAGTCTGGGGGTGGGTCCCTCATTGACAGATTAATGCCATCTTGTGGCAGTAAGTTCTCACTCTCATGGGACATTGTGAGTCCTGATTTCAGCAGCAGCTGTTCCAGATGTACTGTCCTTATTAACATGCAGCCATTATTCTGCATGTTTCTGTGTGGATATTTTTAGATAAGATTAGCATTTAAATTGGTGGACTTTCAGTAAAGCAAATTGCCTTCTGTAATGTGGGTGGGCCTCATCTAATCAGTCGAAGGACTGAATAAATCAGCCTAACCTCTCCAGAGCAAAAAGGAATTCTGTGGCAGACAGTCTTCAGACTTGAACTGCAGTCTTGGCTCTTCCTTAGATCTCCAGCCTGCCAGTCAACCCTGCAGATTTTGGAGTAGCCAACTTCCACAACTGCATGAACCAATTCCTTAAAATAAGTCTCTTTATGTGTGCACTACATATACACATCCTGTTGTTCCTCTTTCTCTGGAGAACTCTGACTAACACCATCTTCTACAGACAGGACCAACAAGCTGTCAGGTTTATGAAGAATTAATATTTGGGAAGCCCTCGTGTATAAAGACTTCAGACCATTTGAGGTGTTGGCTGAAAGCAAAATAAACCTGATAATAAAAAGAAGTCTTAAATATCAGCTTTGGCCTCATGAACAGCTGCAGAAATCCAGACTGTATCCTCTCCTTCCTGCTGTGTCATGTATATATTTATGAGTTAATTAATTTTTGTTTGATTCCTCTCTCTTCTCTCTCACTATTATATATACGGTTTGTTTACAGTTAACTGTAATTTAGTTCATAGGTTTCAGAATAACGCAACTACGGTGCAAGTGGAACTTGAGAATGAATGAACATTCAGGATTGAGGATGGATGCGGTCAGTAACTGTTGTCACCCATTGGTGAGGGAGTGAGCACATTTTTTGTTTGAAATAAGGAGAATGGCATTGTCTCAAACAGAACAAGTTTGTTACTGTTGTTATGGGTGGAAATGAATGTCAGGAAAGAATATTATGTATGTAAATCTAGAGAGTCAGACGAATAGATTTCAAAGGGTGTTTGTCATTCCTTTGTATTCTGGCAGACTCCCCAAGGTGTGTATCAGTGGATGCAGTGCTGGGTCTTCCCCTAACAAAGCTGAAATGCAAGTAAATCCTCCCTCTCCCTGCTCCTTGGTGGTCTGAACTCAGGATCTGGACCTGTCCTTACCCTACGGGATGCTCCCACGTGGATCTTTGACTCTTCCACAGCAAAGTCCTGTGTGCTTTCTGTGGCTCATCCAGTGTTCTACCTCCTAAGACACAACAAAAAGAAGTTTGGTGTTGGCCCATTGCACTGGGAGCAAAGAAGGAGGTTAAAATGTTTTTCTAGGATGTTCTCTATAAAAACCTTCCTGATGCAAAGCACCTCTTTTTAGAGATTTGGGATAGGCTATTTAACCCCTAGCATCCTGGATTCTTCCATGGACAAAGACTGTGTCCTGTGGTTCTGTTGCTGTGGGTACCTACTCCAGGCCTTACCCCCTGGATGGTAAAAAGCTGTCAGGTGTTAATAGAAGGATTAGCACATAATAAAGTGCCCCCCACCCAAGTAATATTGGAAGAATTTAAAGAGGATGGTAATAATAAGAGCACCTTGGAAGAAAAAATCAAACAAGCATCTGCCATTGCATTCTATGCTGAAATTAGGTCAAATTTTGTTTTTAACACAAACCTTTATGCTTGTTTAGGAATAAAAGACACAGTGCCAATAGGCACTAACCTACTTTAGGAATTTTACCTGCTCACCAGAATGTCTAAAACATATTGTCCCACAAGTAAAGATTTTGCCCTATTGTTTCAAACACCATTCATTCCCATGGTACAAAACAGTGCAAAGTATAGGACATGTTTGGTGGAGATAAAGAATCCTTGAATGAGTTTAGATGGTGGTGGTGATGATGATAATGATGATGGATGTATTAAAAAGTCTAGCCGGGTGCGGTGGATCACACCTGTAATCCCAGCACTTTGGGAGGCCAAAGCGGGCAGATCACCTGAGGTCATCAGTTCCAGACCAGCCTGGCCAACATGGCAAAACCCCCTCTCTACTAAAAATACAAAAATTAGCCGGGTGTGGTGGCAGGTGCCTGTAATCCCAGCTACTTGGGAGGCTGAGGCAGGATAATTGCTTTTTTTTCTTTGAAACAGGGTCTTGCTCTGTTGCCCAGGCTGGAGTGCAGTGGTGCAAACACAGCTCACTGCAGTCTCAACCTCCTGGGCTCCAGCAATCCTCCCACCTCAGCCTCCCAAGTAGCTGGAATTATAGGTGCACACCACCACACCTGGCAATTTTTTTTTCATTTTTTGTATAGATGAGGTCTTGCCATGTTACCCTGGCTAAGGTTCTTATATAGTAAGTGGCTTAGATTGTAGATTTAGAACCAAAACATCGATCTCTTGCCCCTCCAGTCAGTGCTTCTTGTACTGGAATGGATCTCTAGACTTGGTGTATGCACTCTCAATAGTGTGTATCGAAGGAGAGGAGAGGGCAGAGCAGGGGTAGTAGGGTGGGCTGGCCATTTTCTTGTGAGTTGAGAGGCTTAGACTCTGTTGGCACTAAGTGTCTTCTGATTTTAAAGAAGTCTCCTTACCTCCCGCTGCCTCAGTTCCTTTCTGTAAACCAGAGGAGAAGGGAAATTGTAGGATACTCTCCTAATATGATCTCGTGTTCTAGGAAAGTCGTATGAAGGCGGAAGTGAAAGTAGATAATCTATTTTATTTCGTATGATTTTACCAACACATCTGTTGAAATTTTTTTTAAAACGTCATCATTCTGGTTCACATTTGCTTTTTTAAGACACATATTTGAGAATTCAGCCACTGGGCTTATTTATACTCATTATTATTCTAGGATAATCTTTGGGGTTTGAAATCACTTATAATCCCATAACACAAAACTGTGACGAACGTGTCCTCTGACCTACATGAATTATTTTCTGTGAAAATGAAAGTCGTGGACAGCCCTAATTAAATCCCTGCTGAGCAGATGCCAGTGCTTAGGACAGCTCTCCACGTGATCCATAGAAACAAATCAAGGTTTGCAGTTGGAGAACCACCAAAAGCAAGCCAGTGACTGTTCCTATGGCTTGTAAACACAAAAGAAAATATTAAAAAGTACACATGAGATACAAAGAATACTATTACAAGCAGGCCCAAGTCAGCCACTCAGCTTAGGCCTTAGAGCTGTGTCAGTATCGCTGAAGACTCTAAGGACTGGGCCTTCCCGACGCCATTCCTTCTCCTTCCTCCCAGAGCCACCATCGTCTAATGTTGTGTTCATAATTGACTTAATTTCCTTTCTCATTTTCCTATATAACCATGTATCCTTAAAGTATATGTTGCTAAATCTTGCATATATTTGAAGTTTCCATTTAAGATAAGTGGCATTATATTGTAGATAACCCAGTCTTTGGTTCAAGTTTATGTTTGGGAAGTCATCCACGGGTGTTGACATTTTCAGCTGAATGTCATTCATTTTCACTATTCTATAGAATTCCATTGCATGAATATCCCAAGATGTATTTACTCATAGGGGGATTTTTTTCTTTTAATTACACAATTATATTATCTTAGTATTATACATACATAACAATTATCATACCCTATTACCCAAAAGTTGTAAACATTCTGTGAATATAGGCTCCAATACATAGACGATTGAGCTGTGAACTCATTAATTTTCTACATAGTTTCTTTGGAAACCAAAGATTTGAAAGCCAGAGTTATTGCTGATCTCCTCTTTCTGCTTCATTAGGCCTGCCTTTCCCGGTAACCTGTTCCTCAAATAATATTTCTCCCAACTGTGACACCAACTAGATGTCAAAACCTCAGTGATATCCGTTGATGTCAAAACATCAATTTATGTCAAATATAATTTAACCTAAAGCCGTTTCCTTTATTAGAATGATAATGTCATTTATCATATGTCTTTTCTTTCACTTTCCCTGATTTTAGTTATTAAAACAACACCCCACTTCAATGTGCTCATTTGTAAAATAGCAATGCCATTACTAACTTGTGTCTGTTACAGAGAGTATCCTACAAAGATGGTCTCAAAGTACTTTGAGATGAACAGAATGTTCTATAAATGGGTATTGAAAATAATCAAGACATTCATGGATCCAAACAGGCCACAGAAATACCATAGCAACAAATGAACAATAATTGCTGCATTATGGGCTCTTTCCCCAGCTGCACTCATGCAATCAAAGCTCTGCTGCGTCTTCAGAGGAGCCCAGGTCAGATCTGGCTGCCATCACCCATGAGGAAGACGTGCGGAGCCAGACAGGTGCCTGGAGGAAAGGTGGGTGTGTGCTGTCCTGCCCCATCCTCTCTGTTTCCCTCCCACGTGTTTGCAGAGACGTCCTCAGCATGGAACCAGGGCCCTTGACAGAGACATTGTCATTCTGGACACCCCACACCCAAGCCAGTTCATCCAAGTCACCCGATAAAATTGTGCTCTGAAGAAACTGCCTGTTTCAGCAAACTCCTTACCTTACTGGACGCATAGCGATGGCCAGCACAGGATGAGGCCATGGGAGGATCTTAATGACACAGTCCACTCTGCAAACCAAGGTCAACAAGGCAGCAGGTATGGCCACGGCCCCTCACCGTGGACTCTGTACGAGCCAATACACTGTGTTCTATTCCCCAGTTATTTCTGAATACGGCCACAGGGAGATGTGAGCCAGCCCTCCTTCTCTAGGGCACACAGAGGCTAGAAAAGATCCACAGGACCTGTTCAACTTGCCAGTGATCCCAAACTCCTGACCCAGGCAGATCACTAAGAGAGAGAGAGAAATATTCCCTTTTCTAGGAAGGTCCTCTGGCCTCACCCAGCTCCATGATGTGTCCACTAGCTCGAGACACCCCAGTTATTGGGGGCATCTTCTCCAACAGTAGGGAGGACTGCGGCGAGGGCAGCTGTGGAGATGGTAGAATCTTTCCTGTGGGATTCTGGAATGTTGTGTCCCCTCTGGAAGAGACACAAGGAGTGAGGGCGAGACTGGAAAGGGTGTGGAAGGGAGAACCTTCCTTATTGCCTAGCGTCCCTCAGGGGCCAGTGACCAACCTTATTAGCCACCTCTGTGCATTCAACCACTTCCTCTCTCCTGAGGCAGCCCGAGCCTGAATATCTCAGCAAGGCATTAAGAAAGGCTTTAATAATTGATTTAATTAAAGTCTAAAAATTATAGAACCAGCTCCTATGCGTTGAGTGATTTCAGAGCTCTCTTTTTCTTTGCCGTCTTCGAAGGGTAATCTGGATGCTGGAGGGTTGCTTTCTGGCTTGACAAACTCAGTTTGTTTCCATAGTTACAAAACACTTGTGCTCTTCCCGACCCACAATCCATCAGGAGGGGTACGCTGGCTGCCTGGTAACCACGAGATCATTTCCTGAATTCGCAGACCTCTTTAACATTATCCAAACATTAGAAAGGTGGTTGACCACACCTGTTTTGTGCACTGCCTGACAATCTCATTTTGATTTAAGTATTTTGTAGGAAGCAAAGTAAAGACTATTTGCACTATAAATTACAAATATTTATGTCTAATCCCCCAATAAATGGGAATTTCAAGGGAAAAGGCGGGAACTCGAAAGAGTGAGCGCAGTTGCTGCAGTGGCCCAAGGAGTTTGCTCTTGCCCAGGCTGACTCCATGAGTCCAGCTCCCTCCTTGGAGAAAGGAAGCTGTCGGGGGAGCTGAATGCCACGGTAGTCAAGGGCCAGGCAGCAGATCTGAGAGATCTGGACGTAAATCTTTTTCTTTTTCTTAGACGAAGTCTCACTCTTGTCACCCAGGCTGGAGTGCAGTGGCGCGATCTCGGCTCACTGCAGCCTCTGCCTCCTGGGTTCAAGCTATTTTCCTGCCTCAGTCTCCTGAGTAGCTGGGATTACAGGCGTATGTGCCACCATGCCCGGCTAATTTCTGTACTTTTCGTAGAGACGGAGTTTTGCCATGTTGGCCAGGCTGGTCTGGAATTCCTGACCTCAGATGATCTGCTCACCTGGGCCTCCCAAAGTGCTGGGATTACAGGCGTGAGCCACGGCGCCCGGCCACGTAAATCTTTTTCTTACTAGATGTGGATAATTTATTCTCTCTTAACTGTATTAATAGTTCCCTTATCTGTGAAAGAGGTAACTCATGGCTTTGTTGAGAGGATTAAATAAGTGAAGGATTTAATACAAGTATATATTTTGCACTCAGGAAGTGATCATTGCTATTTTGCCCTATTGTTTCAAAACACCATCCATTCCCATGATACAAAACAGTGCGAAGTATAGGACATGTTCAGTGGAGATAAAGAATCCTCGAATGAATTTAGATGGTGGTGATGATGATAATGATGATGGATGTATTAAAGAGTCTAGCCAGGCGTGGTGGCTCACACCTGTAATCCCAGCACTTTGGGAGGCCGAGGTGGGTGGATCAACTGAGGTCAGGAGTTCCAGGCCAGCCTGGCCAACATGATGAAACTCCTCTGTACTAAAAATACAAAAATTAGCTGGGTGTGTTGGCGGGCACCTGTAATCCCAGCTACTTGGGAGGCTGAGGCAGGAGAATTGCTTGAATCTGGGAGGTGGAGGTTACAGTGAGCCGAGATTGCGCCACTGCACTCCAGCCTGGGCAACAGAGTGATAGTCTGTCTAAAATTAAATTAAATTAAATTAAAATTAAAAATCTAGAGCCTTTCATGTAAATGTGGTTGCATTTGCTCCACTTCATGCAAGAGGCTGTTTAGCATGTGATTACAAGTGGCCCTCAAGCCAGAGTGTATGAGTTCAAATCTTGTCATTATCTCACACTAGATGTGTAATCTTAGGTAACCTCCTCAAAGTTTATTATACTTGCGTAGGTTTCCTTATCAGTAAAATAGAAATAATAATATAAATCTTACTGCACTGGTAAGAGGATTAAGTGCACTCAGATTTCTAAAGGGCTTAGACCAGTGGAATGAGTTGGACACCCTGTGATACACACAAACCTCTCAGTCTGCTCTGTGAGCTGTTTCTCTCCTGCCACCTTGGATGAAATCTTCTGCTGGTCCTCATAATTTTCACAATCACTCCTGAATGGTACAAAGTCCTCTGGTCACTTCTTGAAGTAGTAATGACCTTATTTCAGAGATTAACATGCCTAGTCCCACATGAGAAAGTACTAAACTTCATCGCATGTTTCTCTTCCCCCAGTTTACGCTGGCCTAAGGGTATATTTGAATTTGTAGCTTTTGCTAAGAAGGTTGATGGAGGGGCAAGAGTCATGGAATTGATTTTTTACCACTTCCTTTAAAAGTCCCTCATAGGCCCTGCACCTTGCGTGGAATGTGGTTGTAGCTGACACTCATTATCCTGAGGCCTGGGCTGAAACTGGGAGAAAAAGAATCCCATTCCCCAACCCCCAGCTTCATTAAGATATCATTGAAAAATAAAAATTGTATATATTTATAGTGTACAGTATGATGCTGTGACATATGTATGCACTGTGAAAGGGCTCAATGAAGCTAATTAACTCATATAACACCATATATATATACACACACACACACATATATATATCACCATACACACACACAGACACACAGATGAAAACATTGAAGATCCACTCTCTTAGCAATGCTCCAGTACGTAATACATTACTATTATCTGTGGTCACTGTGCTGTGCGCTATAGAGCTCCCAAACTGCCTAATGAAAGTCTGTGCCCTTTTACCAGCATCTCCCCACCCAGCCAGCCCTCACCATTCTACCCTCTGCTATGAGTTCCACTATTTTAGTTTCTACACTTAAGTGAGATCCTGCAGTACTTGTCTTTCTGTGCCTGGCTTCTTTCACTTAGCATAGTGGCTTCCAGGTTTTTCCATATTATCACAAATGATAGGATGTTCTTATTTTTTTAAGGCCGAATAGTGTTGCATTGTATATGTGTATATATAAGTCTATATATACACATACATACCACGTTTTCTGGTTTGTTTGTTTGTTTGTTTTTGAGACAGGGTCTCACTCTGTCACCCAGGCTGGAGTACAGTGGCTCAATCTCGGCTCACTGCAACCTCCTTCTCCCAGGCTCAAGCGATCCTCCCACCTCAGCCTCCCCAGTAGCTGGGACTGCAGGCATGCAGCACCACGCTTGGCTAATTTTTAAAAATATTTTGTCGAGACCAGCCCTCACCATATTTCCCAGGTTGGTCTCAAACTCCTGGACTCAAGCTATCCTCCTTGGCCTCCCAAAGTTCTGGGATTATAGGCATTAGCCACCGCGTCTGGCAATACCACATTTTCTTTATCCTTTTATTCATAGATGGACTCAGGTGAGTTACAAGTCTTGGCTGTTGTGAAGATTGCCACAATGAACACGGGTGTGACATCTCTTCGACATGCTGATTTCATTTTCTTTACATATACACCCAGAACTGGGATTGCTGGGCCACAATGGTGGTCCTGTTTAGTTTAGGTTTGTTTTTTTTTCACCCAGGCTGGAGTGCAATGGCATGATCATGGCTCACTGCAGCCACAACCTCCTGGGCTCAAGCAATCCTGCCTCAGCCTCTCAGGTAGCTAGGACTACAGGTGTGTGCCACCATACCCAGCTAATTTTTTTATTTTGTAAAGACAAGGTCTCACTATATTGCCCAACCTGGCCTCAGACTCCTGGTCTCAAGCAATCCTCCCACCTTGGCCTCCCAAAGTGCTGAGATTACAGGCGTGAGCCACCACACCGGGCTATTTTTATTTTTTGAGGAAACTTCATCTGTTTTCTATAATGGCAATACTAACTTACCTTCCCATCAACAGTGTACAGGGGTTCCCTTTTCTCCACATCCCGACCAACAGTTATCTTTTTTTTTTTTTTTTCCTAATAGCCATTCTGACAGGTGTGAGATGATACTTCATTGTGGTTTTCATTTGCATTTCCCGACTGATTAGTGAGGCTGAACATTTTTTTCATATACCTGTTGGCCATTTGTATGTCTTCTTTTGAGAAATGTCTATTCAGGTCCCTAGCTCATATTAAAATCTGGTTATTTGTTTTCCGGGAGTGGAATTGTTTGAGTTTATTTTATTTTATTATTATTATTATTATTATTATTATTATTATTATTTTGAGATGGAGTCTTGCTCTGTTGCCCAGGCTGGAGTGCAGTGGCGCAATCTTGGCTCACTGCAAGCTCTGCCTCCTGGGTTCACGCCATTCTCCTGCCTCAGCCTCCCGAGTAGCTGGGACTACAGGTGCCCGCCACCATGCCCAGCTAATTTTTTGTATTTTTAGTAGAGATGGGGTTTCATTGTGTTAGCCAGGATGGTCTCGATCTCCTGACCTCATGATCCACCCGCCTTGGCCTCCCAAAGTGCTGGGATTGCAGGCGTGAGCTCCCGCGCCCGGCCTTGAGTTTCTTATATAGTTTGGATATTAACCTCTTATTAGATGTATAATTTTCAAATATTTTCCCCTGTTTTGTAGGTTGTCTCTTTGATCTGCTGATTGTTTTCTTGTTGTGGAGAAGCATTTTGAGTTTGATGCACTCCCCTTTGTCTACTTTTGCTTTTGTTGTCTGTGCTTTTGTGGTCATAGCCAAAAAGAAAAATCCCAGTTTTAATACTTATATGTGTAAAACAAATGTGACATTATTACTCTCAAAATGACAAATCTGAAATGACAGATCCTCAGTTTCACTCACGTATTGGGAGTCGAATCTAATGCAGCCTGTACAAACACTAATTTTCAGTTACCATATACATCCATACCTATTCCAATACTGGGTTACAAGATTTAGCAAATAAAAATGTGAGAAATGTAGTCACATTTGAATACCAAATAAACACAAGTAATTTTTTATAAGACTCAATCCTCTCCCATATATGGGGCATACTTATACTAAAAGTGTATTCACTATACTATGCAGCCATAAAAAATGATGAGTTCATATCCTTTGTAGGGACACGGATGAAGCTGGAAACCATCATTCTCAGCAAACTTTCGAAAGGACAAAAAACCAAACACTGCATGTTCTCACTCATAGGTGGGAATTGAACAATGAGAACACTTGGACACAGGAAGGGGAACATCACACACCGGGGCCTGTTGTGGGGTGGGGGGAGGGGGGAGGGATAGCATTAGGAGATATACCTAATGTTAAATGGAGAGTTAATGGGTGCAGCACACCAACATGGCACATGTATACATATGTAACAAACCTGCACATTGTGCACATGTACCCTAAAACTTAGAGTATAATAATAATAAAATTAAAAAAATAAATAAATAAAAATGTATTCACTGTTTATCTGAAATTTAAATGTAACTGGATGTTTTATATTTTGTCTGGAAACTATTCCAATAATTCTTCTATTGGAGGTAGCTTGAGTTTTCAAGCCTAGATCAAGTAGAGTATTTTGGTTGCAAATAACAGATTACACATCTCATAACCGATGAGTAATTGGCATTTTCCCACAGAATAAGACATTGAGAAGAGGGTGGTTCCCCTGTTGGTTAAACACGTTCCTGGTCATCCCTTCTACAGTGTTCTCAGTTTCCATCACGGGTCAGATGCAGCTCCAACATCACGTCCTCTCACAGCACATCTTAATGGATGCGACCCAACCCTGGGCAGTCCTCTTTTAATTAAAGGAGGAGTTGTTTGAGACCCGTGGGGAATGGACTGGCCTCCTCTCCTAGGGTTGGCTGCCGCTTGTTGGGGATGTGGATAAGGCACTTCGGGTCTTTGCCCCGTGACAGAGAGACTTTCAGTTGCCCCTGGAGGCTGTCCAGGGAGATGCTGAGTTGGTGCTGGCTCAATAGCTCTGGCGGGCGGTGGCTGGAGGCCCAGGCCTGGAGGACCTGCCCAGTGAGGAGATATGGGAACGGGCACCCACATAACAATCTGGCCACTTTTCTGCAGGGCTGCCGTGCTATGCCTGGGGCCCGCTTCAGTCTCTAGTCACCTCGGATTTTCCAGAACCTGGGCGTGTCACTAGGGAAGGCTGAGAAACAGCAAAGATGACAGCCTGTCCCTCCCTCTGGGAGCTTTGTCCCAGGGAGGAATGGACTTGTTGCCTGCTGAAAGGCATCTGTAGGAAGTGGCTGGAGACCCCGGTTGAGAAGCCCGGCCCAGCGGAAACGAACGGGATCAGGACCCGCTTAAAAAAGCAGAGTCTGGCTCCCTCTCCCTCCCCCTCCCCCTCCCCCTCCCCCTCTCCCTCTCCCTGGTCTCCCTCTCTCTCCCCACGATCTCCCTCTCCCTCTCTTTCCACGGTCTCCCTCTGATGCCGAGCCGAAGCTGGACTGTACTGCTGCCATCTCAGCTCACTGCAACCCCCCTGCCTGATTCTCCTGCCTCAGCCTGCCGAGTGCCTGCGATTGCAGGCGCGTGCCGCCACGCCTGACTGGTTTTCGTATTTTTTTGGTGGAGACGGGGTTTCGCTGTGTTGGCCGGGCTGGTCTCCAGCTCCTAGCTGAGAGTGATCCGCCAGCCTCGGCATCCCGAGGTGCCGGGATTGCAGACGGAGTCTGGTTCACTCAGTGCTCAATGGTGCCCAGGCTGGAGTGCAGTGGTGTGATCTCGGCTCGCTACAACCTCCACCTCCCAGCAGCCTGCCTTGGCCTCCCAAAGTGCCGAGATTGCAGCCTCTGCCCGGCCGCCACCCCGTCTGGGAAGTGAGGAGCGTCTCTGCCTGGCCGCCTATCGTCTGGGACGTGAGGAGCCCCTCTGCCTGGCTGCCCAGTCTGGAAAGTGAGGAGCGTCTCTTCCCGGCCGCCATCACATCTGGGAAGTGAGGAGCGTCTCTGCCCGGCCGCCCATCGTCTGGGATGTGGGGAGCCCCTCTGCCTGGCTGCCCAGTCTGGAAAGTGAGGAGCGTCTCTTCCCGGCCGCCATCACATCTGGGAAGTGAGGAGCGTCTCTTCCCGGCCGCCATCACATCTGGGAAGTGAGGAGCGTCTCTGCCCGGCCGCCCATCGTCTGGGATGTGGGGAGCCCCTCTGCCTGGCTGCCCAGTCTGGAAAGTGAGGAGCGTCTCTTCCCGGCCGCCATCCCATCTAGGAAGTGAGGAGCGTCTCTGCCCGGCCGCCCATTGTCTGAGAAGTGAGGAGACCCTCCACCCGGCAGCCACCCAGTCTGGGAAGTGAGGAGCGTCTCCGCCCGGCCAGCCGCCCCGTCCGGGAGGTGAGGGGCGCCTCTGCCCGGCCGCCCCTACTGGGAAGTGAGGAGCCCCTCTGCCCGGCCACCACCCCGTCTGGGAGGTGTACCCAACAGCTCATTGAGAACGGGCCATGATGACAATGGCGGTTTTGTGGAATAGAAAGGGGGGAAAGGTGGGGAAAAGATTGAGAAATCGGATGGTTGCCGTGTCTGTGTAGAAAGAGGTAGACATGGGAGACTTTTCATTTTGTTCTGTACTAAGAAAAATTCTTCTGCCTTGGGATCCTGTTGATCGGTGACCTTACCCCCAACCCTGTGCTCTCTGAAACATGTGCTGTATCCACTCAGGGTTGAATGGATTAAGGGCAGTGCAAGATGTGCTTTGTTAAACAGATGCTTGAAGGCAGCATGGTCCTTAAGAGTCATCACCACTCCCTAATCTCAAGTACCCAGGGACACAAACACTGCGGAAGGCCACAGGGTCCTCTGCCTAGGAAAACCAGAGACCTTTGTTCACTTGTTTATCTGCTGACCTTCCCTCCACTATTGTCCTGTGACCCTGCCAAATCCCCCTCTGCAAGAAACACCCAAGAATGATCAATAAAAAAAAAAAAAAAAAAAAAAATTGGAGAAAGAATCTAATATTCAATATAAGAAAACTCTCTCCACCTAAGGAAATACTGATTCAGGATATCAAAGCAGATTACTGAATAAAGACAAAATAAATAAAAAGAGAATACCACCAAGATTAAAAAAAAAAAAATTAGCCCGGCATGGTGGCGCATGCCTGTAGTTCCAGCTACTCTGAAGGCTGAGGTGGGAGGATCACTTGAGCCTAGGCGGTTGAGGCTGTGGTGAGCTGTGATCACGCTGCTGCAACCAGCCTGGGCAACAGAGTGAGACCCTGTCCCAAAGAAAAGAAAAAGAAAAAAAAAAAAAGAAATTTAAAGATTAAGATATAAACAGTCAATTCACAGTTATAAAAATACAACAGACAAATAACTATAGGAAAAGGGGCTCAAGCTCACTAATAACCAGGAAAATGCAAAATAAGATGGGTATTTCTCAATGACCATAATTTTAAGTAAGAAGTAGGGCTATAAACTGAAACACCACTTTAGTAAGCAAATTGACAACTTCCAGTAAATTTAATGCATGTATACTATCTT